>NC_000008.11:36829799-37132829 GCF_000001405.40 Homo sapiens
TGTGGTATAATTTCCCAGGTAGAGAGCTTACTAACTTTTATTTCTAGGTACTTGGTATTTTCTGATATTAGTAAAAGTAATATCTTCCAGTAGGGTTTACTAGTTGTTTGTTCTTAGTACAGGAAAAACACAATTAAATTTTGTATATTAGTCTTATATCTAACCACATAAATTTTATTTTTTTCTGTAGTAATATTAGGGGTTTCCATATAAATAATTATATTTATATTATTTATATTTGTGTAGTTATAATTATTTACATTAAAACAATTTATCTTTATTTTATCTTTGTAATAAAATAAAATAAATCTTTATTAATCCAGATTTGTAAATCTTTATAAATAAAATAAATATTTATAATAAAACATAAATTGTACACATAAGGATTAGAAAGAAGGAAATAAACTATTTGTCTGAAATAGTATAATTATTGCTGAGACATCAAATATAACGTTGAAAAAGAGCAGTGATGATATCTTTTCTTTACTTCTCATTTTTAAAAGCACCTTTAATATTTTTTCATTAAAGATATCTTTTTTATTTTAAAGATATTTGTTGGGTTAAAAATATTATCTTCTATTTCTAATATACCATGAGTTGTATTTCTTAACTCTGAAGAAATATTTCTATCAATTTGTCTCTGCGTCTGAGGTGATTATATAAGTGTTGTTTTTTAATTTGTTAATGTGAATCTCACGGATATTTTTGGTAATATGATTATTTTGTCTTTTTTAGTATTGGTTAGGAAGTATTTCCTATTTTTAATGTCTTTAAAAGGCTTTGTAGAAAAATGAGATTATGGGTTGCTTTAAAGTATGGTAGAAGTTAAACGCGAAACCATGTAGAACTAGTGGTTTCCTACATTTTATTTGAGGGGTGTGTGTGTGTGTTTGGATGTGTAGGTTTGTGTTTGTGTGTGTGTGTGTTGTGTTTTGAGAGATTTTTTTCTTTTTTTTAATTTATTTATTATTATTATACTTTAAGTTTTAGGGTACATGTGCACAATGTGCAGGTTAGTTGCATATGTATACATGTGCCATGCTGGTGCGCTGCACCCACTAACTCGTCATCTAGCATTAGGTATATCTCCCGATGCTATCCCTCCCCCCTCCCCCCACCCCACAACAGTCCCCAGAGTGTGATGTTCCCCTTCCTGTGTCCATGTGTTCTCATTGTTCAATTCCCACCTATGAGTGAGAATATGCAGTATTTGGTTTTTTGTTCTTGCGATAGTTTACTGAGAATGATGATTTCCAATTTCATCCATGTCCCTACAAGGGACATGAACTCATCATTTTTTATGGCTGCATGGTATTCCATGGTGTATATGTGCCACATTTTCTTAATCCAGTCTGTCATTGTTGGACATTTGGGTTGGTTCCAAGTCTTTGCTATTGTGAATAATGCCGCAATAAACATACGTGTGCATGTGTCTTTATAGCAGCATGATTTATAGTCCTTTGGGTATATACCCAGTAATGGGATGGTTGGGTCAAGTGGTATTTCTAGTTCTAGATCCCTGAGGAATCGCCACACTGACTTCCACAATGGTTGAACTAGTTTACAGTCCCACCAACAGTGTAAAAGTGTTCCTATTTCTCCAC
This sequence comes from Homo sapiens, assembly GCF_000001405.40. Classification (NCBI taxonomy): domain Eukaryota; kingdom Metazoa; phylum Chordata; class Mammalia; order Primates; family Hominidae; genus Homo; species Homo sapiens. Next base: position 36,831,404 of record NC_000008.11, read on the forward strand.
ATCCTCTCCAGCACCTGTTGTTTCCTGACTTTTTAATGATTGCCATTCTAACTGCTGTGAAATGGTATCTCATTGTGGTTTGGATTTGCATTTCTCTGATGGCCAGTGATGGTGAGCATTTTTTCATGTGTTTTTTGGCTGCATAAATGTCTTCTTTTGAGAAGTGTCTGTTCATGTCCTTTGCCCACTTTTTGATGGGGTTGTTTGTTTTTTTCTTGTAAATTTGTTTGAGTTCATTGTAGATTCTGGATATTAGCCCTTTGTCAGATGAGTAGGTTGTGAAAATTTTCTCCCATTTTGTAGGTTGCCTGTTCACTCTGATGGTAGTTTCTTTTGCTGTGCAGAAGCTCTTTAGTTTAATTAGATCCCATTTGTCAATTTTGGCTTTTGTTGCCATTGCTTTTGGTGTTTTAGACATGAAGTCCTTGCCCATGCCTGTGTCCTGAATGGTAATGCCTAGGTTTTCTTCTAGGGTTTTTATGGTTTTAGGTCTAACGTTTAAGTCTTTAATCCGTCTTGAATTGATTTTTTGTATAATGTGTGAGGAAGGGATCCAGTTTCAGCTTTCTACATATGGCTAGCCAGTTTTCCCAGCACCATTTATTAAATAGGGAATCCTTTTTCCATTGCTTGTTTTTCTCAGGTTTGTCAAAGATCAGATAGTTGCAGATATGCAGCGTTATTTCTGAGGGCTCTGTTCTGTTCCATTGATCTATATCTCTGTTTTGGTACCAGTACCATGCTGTTTTGGTTACTGTAGCCTTGTAGTATAGTTTGAAGTCAGGTAGTGTGATGCCTCCAGCTTTGTTCTTTTGGCTCATGATTGACTTCGTGAGTGGGCTCTTTTTTGGTTCCATATGAACTTTAAAGTAGTTTTTTCCAATTCTGTGAAGAAAGTCATTGGTAGCTTGATGGGGATGGCATTGAATCTGTAAATTACCTTGGTCAATATGGCCATTTTCACGATATTGATTCTTCCTACCCATGAGCATGAAACCACAGCTTCAATTTCTTTAACAGTTTAGGCTTTTTATTTTTTCTAGAGTTAGTTCTGATAAGATACACTTTTAAGTAATTTGTTCATTTTGGCTAAGTTTTCAGAGCTGTTGACATTCAGTTATTTGCTGTCTACTTTTGTTATTTTTTAATCTCTACTTTGACTATATGTATTGTATCTTCTTTGTTCAATATTTGCATCATTTTTGTCTTTTATTTTTTCTCCATTAACTTTACAAAACTTTTGCCTATTATGCTAGGTTATTTTTCAAAGAACTGACTTTTGATGTGGTTTATCTTCTCTGTTTTATCTTTTTGTTCCTTTTTCATTGTTTCTTATTCTTGTTTTCATCATTTCTTTTATTTTTATTTCCTTGATCCTATTCTAATACATCTCCAAAGCTACAAATTATTCCTAAAGCACGGCTGTTGCTGTATCTCAAAGCATATATATTTAATATTTTCAACATATTTCTAAGAATAATGATAAAGAATTGTTGCAATTTCTTCCAAGCTCATAATATTTTTAGCACTCTATTTTTTTATTCCTAAATCTGAAAACTATTTTTATTTGTGTTTTGGTTAACTTCTAAGTTAATTGTATTGTGATCAAAGATCATTATATGTAATAACTTTGTTTTTGTAATGTGTTGAGGCTTTCATTGTCTGTCAAGAAAAATACCGTTTTGATAAATATTTGTGTGTTCTTTATAAAAATTAGTTCCTCTAAATGTTCTTTTCAGAATTTATAAATATTAAACATGTGTGTTCAAAATCTGTGATGATTGTTTTCTGCTTGCTCTATCAATAGTTTAAAAAGATATGTCAAAATCTCTCATAACAGTGGCAGACTCATCAATTTCTCCTTCTAATTTTTTTCATATTTGCTTCTTATATTTAAAAGCCATTTTATTAAATGCATAGTTGATTTAAAATGTTATGCCTGTTTCAGTAACTCAGTTTTTTAAACTAAATAGTGAACTTCTTCATCCTTAGTAATTACATTTTTTAAAAAAATAGTATTAACTTGATTTGTATTTTTTCATATCACTATGAGGGATTCTACTAAATGCACCAAATTAGTTATAAAAACCTCTAAACCCAGAGTCAATCATCTTTTTTCCCTCATTGCTGCCACGTTCTTTTTTGTCCAGAACCCCTCCTTCTTTGGAACTTGAAACCATATTTAAATGCTACTTGGCCTACACAACGTTCATTTCTGGATCTGCAATGAAGTGGGAGGATCTGAGGCGAGTTGCGGTAAGATCTAGCTGTTTTTGTTCCTTGTAGTTTTCCTTAGTTGCAACAATTAAAATAATAGGATATATTGCTTTTTAAAAAAGGTATTATTTCAGCTTCTTTAATTGGTGGAAAATATAACTTCCTCAACTTTAAAAACAATTGTAAAGGAGGTGTAGTAATTGACCCCCAAATCTGATTTCAGAAATGTCAAGCAGACCTCACTGTTTGCCAACACTTATATTTAAATTATTTATTTCTCAAAATTCTCTATCTAAATCAGTTTTATTTTATCAGCCTAAGAGGTCTGAAAAAGGTATGGATAGCAAGGTGTGTTTGATCTTACCACACAAATAGAATTCTTACCAGAAGGCAGATCTCTGAGTCCATCAGCTTTAATCAACTTCTCCTCCTAAATGCATGGATATGCTTTCCAATAGGAAAAACATAAAGGAAAATAGTAGAAATCTCATTAAAGTTGTGACGCAAAATAATGAGCAACAGCCAACCCTCTAGACAGGTTTGGCTTAAGATCAAAGGCAGCTTCCTGTCATGTTCTCAGTCTCGGAGAATCAACAAACAGAAAAGTTTCTGTTGAAAGCCAAGATCTATAGAGTAAACATGAAGAATTGACAGACCCAGAAAAATATTTCTCTTTCCTGCAGTTTAGTACTGTAAGAGCCATTTCAGTAATTTTCTAGAACTTTGAAATTCACACTCCACCAATATTGAATAACTGCTTATTAGAGCCAAGTAGACTCCCAGTTCCTCTGTTTTTAACTGTCCTGAAAGATAAGTAAATACACAGACGGTTGCTTATAAAGGCCTTAGGGCTTATCACTAGGCATCAAATAATGGTGATGGATGGTAGGAAAAATATAACGCCTTATTTTACCCATTTGAAAGCAATCTTTTACCTATGTCAGAGACCCTGTGTCCTAGCCCATCAGCTGCAACCCTTGCCCTTTGCAGCATTTGCAGGACAACAATCCTGATGTAAAGACATCCTCATTACAACTTATTCCCAAGTGTGTCCTCTTTTGTGTTAGCAATTTTATTACAAAATTGTTAGAAAACCCGAAAGGGGAAGACCAGAGCATTTCCCATGTAATTAACAAGATGGCTCCTGTCCGATCTTGAAGGGTAGGTGGAATCTGCAGAGGCATGCCTGATTATAGCCAATCCTTTGTGCAGTGATTCCCATGCTGAAGATATTTCCAACATTATGAGGTAAGAAGCTGTGTTTTGTATGCTATAACGATTATTTTTTTCTATCTCTTTTAAAGTAATGCCCGGTACATAAGCATAAAAAGGAGAAAATGTCGTCTATCATATCACTAGGTTCATCATATTCCAAGGTTCTGCCTACTTTTTGCCTGCTCCCCAAGACTGTGCAGATGGATGCAAAAGGATAAAAACGGAGCATCCTGAGTGTGAATGTGCTTCTCCATATAATTCCCTGAAGTTTCATATCTATAGTAGCCATCTGAATTTAAGAAGCAAGCATACAAATAACTGATTATTGTTCAGATAGAACCATTATAACTAATATCCTCTCCTCAAAAATGAAGATGCAATTTTATGAACCCTATTAGTGCACGTTATTTATTGGGATTTTTCTCTAGTAGTTGTGGTGAAAGATTATGCGTGGTCCGGTATGACGTGCTTTTTGTTTGACCATCAGTAAGTATTCTCTTTTCTTTTCTTTTCTTTTTTTTTTTTTGAGACGGAGTTTTGCTCTTGTTGCCTGTGCTGGAGGGCAGTGGCGTGATCTAGGCTCACTGCAACTTCCACCTCCCCGGTGCAAGCAGTTCTGCCTCAGCCTTCCAAGTAGCTGGGATTACAGGCATGTGCCACCACGCCAGACTAATTTTTTATTTTTAGTAGAGATGGGGTTTTACCATGTTGGTCAGGCTGGTCTTGAACTCCTGAGCTCAGATGATCTGTCCACCTTAGCCTCCCAAAGTGCTGGGATTACAGGCTGGGCCACTGCGCCTGGCCTGACCATCGGCAAGTATTTTCAAGATGGCTAGAGTCAGTGTTATTACATTAAACTGTGAACTCTTCTAGCAAGAACGTGACTTGTGATAACTGTGATTATGATGACAATGGCATTTTGGCTAATCCAGATGAACTTCCAATCTCCAGAGTAAAATAAACACAGATAGCTGAAGGTGACATTACATATAGCAAGAAACAGCTGAAAATCTGTACCATACATAGTACAGTAAATATGACGTAGATCTTAGTTTCTTAATTTGTAAAATGGGGAAGTTGAATTAGACAGTCTATGAGCTATTTCAAGCCATAGACTACCATCAAATTTCTATTTTTACCTGTAATTATTAGGTTTGGGTTTGAAAGCTAAAACATGAAACTGTTGATTTCCTCCTCAAGAATTGGTCTCAGAAGAACACAGTCTTCTAACACCAAGAGATAATCATTCCATAGATTTGGTTGGCAAAGTCATGAAAACAATGATGCTCTTCTGTGTAGGCTACTAAAAACATTTTTAGAAAACAACACAACAATAAACTTTATTATATGCCAAGTTTTTCTACACTTACCTACATATCAATTTAACTCTGAATTAAATTATATTACAAAGCCCTTTGGCTATGACACATGACTAATGAGAGTGTTTGGGGTTTATATAGGGTGCTCTCTATCAAGAACTATGATTCTACCACCAGAATCATCATACAGATACTGCAATCCCATAACAAGGTATAGTAACATTCTAGCATATTCCATCTCCTCCTTTTATCTATATAGCTAGACGAACTTTTTAATTTTCTAATGGATGTGTAAATAAAAAGTTTTTGCTAATCATAGGTAAAATTTGGAGTCTTATTAAGATGGATAATCACTTAACAATGTAAATTGGGGGCAGAATTAGAAGTTTAAGTCATTTGACCTGATTTTGCAACTCTAGCTATTTTTGTTTCAAAAAATGAGAGCCATTGACCACTAACCACTTTCAAATGCTGAATTTGTTCTTATCATTTTCATTGACCTGGGCACCACTTTTGTGTGCAAAAATGAAGAATATATGATTTCAAGTAAATTTAAAAAAAGAAAGACATCCATCCTCAAGAGCTTTCTTGAGGTGTGTTTATTCCTAATGTTTGACCTGCTTTGTGCTATGGAACAGGTTTATCTGCCAAAGATTCCCAGCTGGAACTGGGACACCGGAGACAACATCATCTGCTTTGCTGAATTAAAACTTGGATTTATCGCCCAAGGCTGTTTGGTGCCAGGCTTGTGTACCTTCCTAACATCTCTATTTGTGGAGCAAAACAAAAAGGTAACCTTGTAAATTACTGTTGATTCTTGGCTCTGTTCCTATGTCCTACATATTAAGATCAGAAATAGGAAAAAAATTTGAGAAAAGCATCAAGGCCCCAAGCAATGAGATATGACTTCTGCTTGAGCTGGGAAGGGATTAGAAGATCTGAATTTAAAAGTCCCAGGTACCACACTGACCTTGAAGAAATCATTTATTTTATTCCTGCCTAAGAATATTTATCTACAAAACAGAAAAAATATAACTCTGCTTCCTACCTACAGTCCAGGATGTTTTAAATCAAAGTACATTCATCAAAGTAGAAGCATTGAGTTATCGAAAGTGAAAATATAAATAAAGGTTATATTATTAATGAAGGATTCATATATTTCAATATAAATTAAATCCAAAATAATAATTGGTATAATAATTATATTCATCAAATAGAAATGATACAAATAGTAATTAAAATCTAATTTTTCCAGGTTGTTTAAGGGAGCATTCCATGCAGGAATAATAACAGTAACCACATGATGAGTGCCTACTGTCTTGTGTTTCCCCTCAATAATATGTTGTTAGTATCCCAGCAGTGAATTGGTGAAGCTAACTAACTTGATCATGCAGTAAGTTAGTGAGCCGCAGAGCTAGAACTGTCTGGTCCACAGTGTTGTTACCACAATGCTGTATGCCTCTGGTGTTATTTCCACACAATGTCTCACATCAAGATTTTTGATATTTTTGTCTGAGACAAAGTAAGGGGCTAAAAGTGACTCTTGGGATAAATTTTTGTAGCACAAAAGGTGGTCTTCCAAATATCATTTCCATGAAATGCTCCAGGCAAGGTGTGCTAGCCCTTGGCTGGACCTGGTCTTCCTTTTCTAAAGTGCTTGCAGAGAATGACCTTACTTTCCATTTAATTCTGAGTCCATGCTTGCCTTTCATACACGTGACTTCCCTCTTGACCTCTCTTTGCTCGCTCTTTCCTCTGTTCTCTTTTTTCTGTGTTCAGTACAAATATTTGCATCTTTTTCTGTTTCTTCCCTGGTGCTATTTAACGAAAAGCAAAAGAAGTAAGAGGTGCTCTGGCCAGCTATATCCTAACTGCAACAAACGGAATGCTTCTGTAATTCCTTCCGTGAATGTAAAGAGATGTAATATACAGGTGAAAAGAAATGGTAGTCAGGGTGGAGGGAATGAGCCTTCATGCAGCTACAACACACAAGCTTTTACTTTCATGTAGTGGTCACTGTATGCAGCCTAGAAAATGGTTGATAAGGACACTGTCATTGTGTTGTATATTTAGAAAGTGGCAGAGAACTTCAATATTTCTTGTGATTATTGTGATTTCAATCTCCATGGCTGGAGAAAGTAAATGGAAATAAATGGAATGTGAACTCTATATGAAGACTTATCCTCCTTCATGAAACTATAGAAGACAGGGATGTAAAACCATCCTCTTGTATTTTTCTTATTTAAAGAGTTGTGGCCAGGTGTGGTGGCTCACGCCTGTAATCCCAACACTTTGTGAGGCTGAGGTTGGTGGGTCACTCGAGCTCAGGAGTTTGAGACCAACCTTGCCAACGTAGTGAAACCCTGTCTCTAGTAAAAATATATATAAAAAAATTAGCCAGGCATGGTGGCGTGAGCCTGTAGCCCCAGCAATTGGGGAGGCTGAGGCAGGGGAGTTGCTTGAACCCAGGAGGTGGGGGTTGCAGTGAGCTGAGATCACGCCACTCCACTCCAGCCTCAGCGACAGAGTGAGACTCTGTCTCAAAAAAACCAATAAATGAAATAAAAATAAGATCTAGAGTTGTAACCTCCCCACTGAGGATGATCACCTGTCATTATTTATACAAGATGGATTTTAGCTTACAGGAATTGAGAGATATTTATGGTCTCCATAATGTTTTTTTGAGTGAAGTCTGAAACCTACTTTCAGGAATCCTCACTGAACAGCATCAGGCAAAATATGTGAAAGCTGCATTATTCTTTGGTGCTTTCAATTCTATAACAAACTATCGACTTTGGTTTAGTGGCTGGGACTCCAGAGTTTTATGACTGATTTCTCTCAGAGTAGGCCCTTACTTTCCCTGACTGTCAATTTCTCTATCTATAAAATTAAAGTTATTAATCTCATAACTGGCTTTTTCCAAGTATTGAGTTAATATTTGTAAAACTTCTGAGAACTCAGATTAAAAGGCCTTGAGTCAATGCCATGTGTTTTAATTATATTGATCATATTGTGAGAAATTGTAGCTCGAAGAACATTTCCAGTTGGTCCTGGGTTCAGAGCATGGCCTTAAACTTAAATTTACATTAGATCTGATCCAACAGGCTTACTTGAGCACCCAGATTCTTCTATCCAAAATCCTCCTGTTTTCCTTTCTGATCTTTTTAAATCTATCTCTGGAACTCTTCTCCATCCCCACGCTATCATTTTTTACCTTCTTTCAAACATTGAAACATTTAGATTAGAAGCACTAAGCCAATTTATTTAGTTATTGGAAATTAGTGGTATGAACCACCTAATAATCAGAGCCCGCCTCATGAGAGGACTTTAAGAAAGTGGGAAAAGGGAAAAGATTCATTCAGCTGAATCTTCGTGGTGGAAGCAGGCACTGGAATGCCTGAAATAGTCTGTCCTTTTTCGTAGGGCAGAATTGTTTGTCTATGTGTTTGTTTTTGTTTTGCTTTTTTTCCAAACTGCATCACGACCATCTGAAGATAATTTCTGAACCAGCCATAACTCTCCATAGCAACAGTGCTCCTAAACGTTTAGAAATTCAAGATTTTCATCTGAGATTCTCGGTTTTAAGAAGACTGTCTTGCCATATCAGAACAGTGTGGTGGTGATTCTCATGGCAGTAGGTGGAGAAGGATGAGGAGAGGGTCCTACACAAACGTCAGCCACGAGTTCCTAACAGCCTTTCTGTTGGGTTGGGTGCATTTAGCCATTTTGAGATATCTTTCTCCTTTCACATCTCCCATTTCTCTGGAAACCTACTTTTTGCCTTGATTTCTCCATTCTCTCTTCCATGCATCAGGATGGCCCTTGAAGTTCATTTGAACTTATGAAGGGTTCTGATGCTGGACAGAAGCTATGAATATTTTCTTCTTTGAGATAAATGGTTAGTAGAAAACTAAAATATTTTAAACCAATCTTGAGTAGTCATATCCAGAGAGAGATAATTTAGATTCCACATTAACTTTCCCATCTGATTCTTACTAACTGAAAAGCTGAAATCAGGACTGGGTGATGGAGAATTCTCACTGCCAGCAAGGAAACTTGAACGCCATCTGCAAGAAAATAAGTAATGATGTGTCTGCCTCATCCTGAACTCTGGTGAAAATAGTTGAGATGGAGTTAGCTTTTTAGTTATTCCTTTAACATTTCTCTAGTTAAGCACTAAGATAAATCTCTTTTTTATGACTTACATGCAATGAAGACTTGTTTGTGCTTAGCAGAATATGCAATGTGAATTCTAACATTCTACATTCCTTGTCGTTTTGCTTCGTGTGGCATGATTATGTATTCCAGGTTATGCCTAAACAGACCTGGAAGAAACACTTCTTGAATAGCATGAAAAACAAAATTCTGACCCAACGTCTCTCTGATGACTTTGCTGGAATGAGCTTTCCTGAAGTTGCCCGGTAAGTGAAGTGAAATACTTCCCTCATTCTTCAGACAACAGCATTCTTTCAACAACGTTCACTGAGGGCCCACTATAGGCCAGGCTTCATTACAAACTGAAGATCTAAGAAGGGACAGCCCAGGGTCCCTGAAACTTAGAAGTTTACAGTTGGGATGGGGCAATTTCATCTCTGTCCCAGTTGGTGCAGTGGCTGTTGGTTACTTTAGGTGGATTCACTTACAAGGGATCATTCCACATTGGGAGTTCTTTCCTCTAAGATGTTGGTTTCCTCCTAGGCACAGAGCACAGAGTGTTAGTTATTTTGTTGTTCACTGACCGCTTGCTCTCCTTTTGACTCCTCGTCTTCCTTCCCAGGCTCTGCTTTCTGAAGATGCACCTCCTGTTGATAGCCATCGAATACAAGTCCCTCTTTACGGATGGTTTCTGGTACCAATAAGTCTGCTCATCTCTTCAGTTGTTTTTTTTTTTTTTTTTTTTTTCCTGGAGATTCTTTGTGATTAAGAATTTTTCCAAAGATGCAGCTATAACTAAGCTTTTTCCCTTTGGTGGATTGGCTGAGAGGCAGCCTCTGGGGCTCTCTGGCTCCTCTGCTGTGCTGTCTCTGATGGCTCAGGTTAGGGTGGTGACCCTCTTGGGCAAACACTTCTCTTTTGTTCCTCGGACCCTGCCCCACCTCTCTCTCAGGAGCAGAGAGGAGAAGAAATGGTCACCTTCTCAAATCTGTTTCTCTTAATAATATTACCAGATCTTGACCATGAAATAATACCACAAAATTGAATCATTTGTGATAAAAATGTTCCCACAAACACTGGCCATGCAAAGTAAAGAACAATGCTGGGCATGGTGGCTCATGCCTGTAATGCCAGCACTTTGAGAGTTTGAGGCAGGCGGATCACTTAAGGCCAGGAGTTCAAGAGCAGCCTGGCCAACATGGTGAAACCCTGTCTCTACTAAAAATACAAAAATTAGCAGGACATTGTCGTGCACCTGGGCCTGCAATCCCGGCTACTTGGGAGGCTGACGCATGAGAATTGCTTGAACCTGGGAGGCAGAGGCTGCAGTGAGCTGAGTTCACACCACTGCACTTCAGCCTAGGTGACAGAGCAAGACTCTGTCTCCAAAAAATAATTTTAAAAAAAGTACAGGACAAACTATGGCAAAATGGGAATCTGACCAGCCGACCGGACAAAGGCTTTTGTTGATAGAGTTGATAAAGGAGACCTCATCACCAGACATCAGCATTTCCCAAAAACCCATAAGTGAATAAATATGAAAGTAAGAGAAGTTATCACATAATGCAAAATAAAATTCAGAGCAAATGAAATATACATAAACATAAATGGAAGAAAAGGTGGAAAAGAAAGACAAATAGATACTATAATATAGAGAAAAAGATCTGTTAAAAAAAAAAGAAAAGGGGTGGGGCTTAAATGGGATGAGGGCAAGAAAGACTGTGTGTTGGCTCATGTGTACTTTTTAGTGAAAAATTAACTTGTGCTAAATAGGAATTAACAGACTAGATTCTGATCCTGACTGATTTGCTGGCCCTGTGGCCGTGGATAAGGATTCATCATTTGTAGAATGAGGAAATAGAGTTAAAGAATCTCTCACACACCTTCCTTTTCTAAAATTGACATTACCAGAAATTGTAAAATTATAGGAAAACATTCAAAATGCAATAATTTTCAATTATATCAGGTGGGCGATAAAGGAATTATTATATGTGAAAAGTTGGGAAAGCATCAAAGACCTGTCTGAGTTGACAGGATATAGAAAGCATCTGGGTAGAAGATGTCAGTGGGATTGTAAAAAGCAAGTCATTAAGAAGAGAATAACAAGTAGTATTGTCTGGCTGCCTAAGTTCTGTTTAAAAATCCTGCTGTGCTCAAGAAAATCTCACAATCAAAACCTCTGAATGTAAACATCTGCATAAATGAGCCTCCTACTAGAAACAGGTCATAGTAAAATGGGTAGACTTGGAATCATAAGCCAGGTAGTTCGGGTTTCAGACTGGCCCAAAATTTTATCAAGTTTTAGTAACAAGTTTGTCTTTCAATCACCTGGCTTATATGTCAGAATTATTTGCATAAGTTTTTTTGTTTTTGTTTTTGAGACGGAGTTTCACTCTTTTTGCCCAGGCTGGAGTGCAATGGCACAATTTCGGCTCACTGCAACCTCCGCCTCCCAGGTTCAAGTGATTCTCCTGCCTCAGCCTCCTGAGTAGCTGAGATTACAGGTGTGTGCACCACACCCGGTTAATTTTTGTATTTTTAGTAGAGACGGGATTTCACCATGTTGGTGCTCTCAAACTCCTGACCTCAGGTGATCCACCCACCTCGGCTTCCCAAAGTGCTGGGATTACAGGAGTAAGCTACTGTGCCCAGCCTGTTTGCATAAGTTTTAAAGACTTATAGATTCCAAAACCCTACTTTTGACTGCAGAACCAAATCTTCAAGGGTGAGCCTGAGAATTCTTTCTCAAGTCTCCATGATATCATTGGTTTATTCACTGGAATCTGGAAACTACAACCACATGCCCTTAAGATCTTTTCCACCTTTAACATTCTAGATTTCTGTAAACTTTATTAAGATGACGGTTAGGACATCACAGACCAGAAACATGAATATTTATTTAGCAACTAATCTCACGTAGATTTAAGAGGCCCTGTTTACTACCTAACACACATGTACCTCAATGAAGGGGGGATCTATGGAAACAGAGATTTAACTTTGTCTTCTCACTGGGAAGTCTGGTGAATCAAAAGGATTAAGTTCTGATTTGGCAAATGTATTGATAAGAACATTCCCTTCTATGATTGATACTTTGTGACCAACACTGCTATAGACCTGTTACATATGTTAACTCTTGAATAATCCTCACAACAGTGCTGTGAGATAGGTACTATTATTAGTCTCATTTTACAGAGGAGGAAGCTGAACCCCAGAAAGTTTTAATGATTTTCCCAACCTCACACAACACCCAAGTGGCAGAGCCAGGATCTGAACTCAGGTCCTCTGGCTCCAGGGCTGTGCTTCTGTAACCACCCTGTAGTAAATTCACTGCTGCCATTATTGGTAGAAGGAAGACTGCATGTTTAAATAGTTGGACTTTAAGCAAATATATTGAAATTCTGGGGAAAAAGCCTATCTTTTCTCACTTTTTAGCTCCTCTTCAAATTGGCAAGCTTGAAGAGATCCTACGACTTGCAAAATGCTTGGAGAATTATAAGAATTTTTCTTACGGAATTATTTGTCACCTGCTAACAGATGAAGCTGGATCTGACCCCATCACTTACTGTAATGATTTTGTTCCAGGGACAAACATTCTCTGATAGAGCAACCAGCCAAATCATAAAGAGTGAATCAACTAATAACACCATGTTAGGAAAATCCTTAAGAGAGGCTCACCTCTTTTCTCAAATACAGTCAAATATATGTTTTATTGTGACAGTATCTTCATAGCTAGATATTTAATATGAGTTCAGAGAAACCTTTCTCCTTTTAAAAAAATGAAAGGAGCGGCCAGGCGCAGTGGCTCATGCCTGTAATCTCAGCAGTTTGGGAGGCCGAAGCAGGTGGATCACCTGAGGTCAGGGGTTTGAGATCAGCCTGTCCAACATGGTGAAACTCCGTCTCTACTAAAAATACAAAAAATTAGCTATGCATGGTGGTGCACACCTGCAATCCCAGCTACTCGGGAGGCTGAGGCAGGAGAATCACCTGAACCTGGAAGGCAGAGGTTGCAGTGAGCCGAGATCATGCCATTGCACTCCAACCTGGGCAACAAGAGTGAAACTCCGTCTCAAAAAAAAACAAAAAAAAAAGGCTATGTAAGACACAACTAAGCATGCATCTGCTAGTTAGTGAGCATCAGCCAATAATATTTAAGGGGCCGCAGTTGTATTTTCCTTCCAAAGTTAAAACCAATTATTTCACTCATTAATATAAGTCAGTAAATACTCAGAAAAGGCCATCCATTGTCTGAGGTAGTAATCTACCTGAACACAGCTATATAGCCTGGGTCTATTCTTGGCATAAGGCTGAAGAACTTTGGCTGTGCAAGCTCATTTATTTTTGTGAGGGTTCTCTAACACTTGAAAGTTGTAAGTATCCCAGCAACAGAATAAGCTTTGCCAGAATTAAAACTTCATCTCATTTCGATGTGAATACAAGAGAAGGGATGATTTTTAAAGGAGGAAAGGAGAACTTCCGTTCTGCAAAAAAGAAGTGAGGGGAATTATAGGGTTTTGAGACCTCACCATAGACATCTGAATTGAAGGAAATAAAGGCAGGAGATCCTGATAAACAGGGAGAAATGTGGGTAATTTGAAAAGCCATAGCAGAGTACTGCATCAAAGAGTATCATGGACAGAAAATTATAATACAATATTCTCAAACACATAAACCACAAGAAAATAGAAAATCAAAAGGTTCAAGTAAGATAACAATAGAAATAATTCACATGCTGTCAAAAATCTGGCAATCAAAATAAGCAAAACTGAAGTCAAAAGAAACGCACAACCTCAAAAACTGCATAGGTGAATAGAAGAAACTTTTGAATCCAGCTGGTTAATTAAATGTTAACTTTAAATGGCAAGTGGCCTAAAGATGAGCACTACTAGTATGACGCTAAGCCTGGCAATTGTGTGGTCTCGGCATATTTGTCATTTGATAGCTTAAATCAGCAAGATGTTGTGCACCTGAGTTGGTCGGACCATCTCAGATGCATGACAGAATCCGGGAGAGGCTTTGCCGCAGGTCCGCTGTGTGTTCAGCTCACTGATCAAGTTGTTCCCTGGCTCCCCTCTGCATAGTCAGCCCCAATCAAACAAAGAATTACAAATGTCAAATTCACATTCTCCACTGTGTTTGGCAGTAAGAGGAGGTTGAATACGATTAAATTAGCAACTCAGAGAATCCATTGATCATAACAGAAAGAGGCACCAACTGTTGCCACTGAAATCAGAGGGAAACATTACCATGTGTTTATTTTTTGTTTCCAGTGGTCTGATACTAAATCCACCTCCACAAGTGAGGATACGTAAGAACACATTAGGGTTCTTTATTGCTGAAACTCCAAAGGACGTCAGAAGGTAATTTTATTATTTTATGGGGGAAAAGCACTAAAGCAACTACAGCTTAATGGGAGGCCCACTGAGTCAGCACCATGCCTCCTTTGCATTAAGACTCACATAATTCATTCTTGGTTTTCTTTCATTGTCCAGAGCCTTGTTTTACTGTTCAGTCTGTCATGATGATGTGTTCATTCCTGAGCTAATTACAAACTGTGGCTGCAAAAGCAGAAGCCGGCAGCACATCACAGGTAATTGCACTTTATTTCTGGCTGTCCTTAGCCCAGCCTCTAGGGAGCTGCCTGACGAAAGAGAAGAGGGTTCCATCTCTTAAAAGGCAATGTCCATTTGAACTTGGCCAGGAAGTGGCAGACATTTCCTCACTGACCACACAAGAGGTGAGAATCAGTGTTTTAGAGCTGGAAGAAACCTAACTAGTTATCGAATTCAGTTCCTTTAAAAGCAGGCAAATGCATTTTAAGAGATCCAGTCACTTTGTCCAAAGTCACATAGCCAGTTAGCGGCATCACCAAACTCAATCCCAGGCATGCTGACTTTCAGCCCATTGCTTTTTCATGATTTCACAGTTTTTCACAACTTCAGACTGAAAATTCAGCCTATATCTGACCACTTGGTTGGCCACGAGGATGCTACCTCATGACCATACCTTAAGTACTCTGTTTCCTTAATGGATAGCAAGAAGTTTAAAGTTTACTCATCCTGACATGGTGCCGAGGGAATGTAATTTTCTCTATTTTCTCTAACTGAACTCAGCAGTTTACCAACACCCCTTTCCACTTAATGGCAGAAAAGGAAAAATTAATCTCAAGCATTCATAATCACTTAGTCCCTTCTAGTTTAAAATTTAGCCTCAGTCGGGCACGGTGGCTCACACCTGTAATCCCAGCATTTTGGGAGGCCAAGGGGGGTGGATCATGAGGTCAGGAATTCAAGACCAGCCTGGCCAAGATGGTGAAACCTCGTCTCTACTAAAAATACAAAAATTAGCTGGGCGTGGCAGCGTGTGCCTGTGATCCCAGCTGCTTGGGAGGCTGAGGCAGAGAATTGCTTGAACCTGGGAGGCGGAGGTTGCAGTAAGCCGAGATCATACCACTGCACTCCAGCCTGGGCGACAGAGCGAAAAAAAAAAAAAAAAAACTTAGCCTTGTCCAGGTACATTCAGACTCTATGTGTAAAACCCCAGTGTTTCAGAATTTAACCTTAGTCAATTCAAAATATGAATTTTCTATCAGGTCTATTTTCATCCCTGAGGTTCTTGTTCTCTCCTTCTTCTCAGAATGCTATTTAAATGCAAGAGTAAGCTGGCTTAGCATCATGAGTGTTCTTGCAGTGAACCGCAAGTCTTCACTGATTTCTCCTGAGGTTCCTCATTAACTTTGGTCTGTAATTGTTACCTTCTGTCACCTCTGCATCAACAACCAATGAATCTGCTCCTCCTGGCTTTGGGTCAGGCTCTATCATTTGTTACTGAAATCCATTCTCCTAGTCTTGAAGTCTGCAAAACTCTTTTCAGTAGTCCTTGTCTTTTCATTCCTTTTTAAATTTTTTTTCTGTTACTTTTAGTTCACATGTAATAATTGCATATATTTTTGAAATAGAGTGATATTTTGATATAGATATACAATGTATAATGATCAAATCGGGGTAATTAGCATATCCATCCATCACCTCAAACTTTTGTCATTTTTGTGTTGTGAACATTCAAAATCCTCCCTTTTAGTCTTTTGAAAATATACAATAAATTATATTTAACGATGAAGGACACTAGAAATTATTCCTCCTGTCCAGCTGTAACATTGCATTCTTTAACCAATCTCTCTGCATCTTCCCCTCCCTCTCCCCTTCTCATCCTTTAATAACCACAAGTCGAGTCTCTACTTCCATGAGCTCAATTGTTTTTTAGCTCCCATGTGTGGGTGAACATGTGGTGAACCTAATATCCTCCAGTCTCATACATGTTGCTGCTAATGACAGGATTTCATCCTTTTTAATGACTGCATAGTATTTCATTGTTTATACGTATCACATTTTCTTCATCTATTTATCTTTTGATGGACATTTAGGTTGCTTCCATAACTTAGCTATTGTGTATAGTCCTACAATAAACATGGAAGTGCAGATATCTTTTTGATACACTGATTATTTTTATAGATACACAGTAGTAGAATTGCTGGATCATATGGTAGATCCACTTTTAGTTTTTTGATGAATTCCCATACAGCTTTCCATAGCAGCTATACTAATTCATGTTTCTACCAACAGCGTATGAGTTCCCTGTTCTCCACATCCTTGTCAGCATCTATTGTTTTGTTTTGTTTTTTGTCTTTTTCATGATAGTCATTGTAACTGGAGTAAAATGATAGCTCATTGTAGTTTTGATTTGCATTTCTTTGATAATTAATGATGTTAAACATACTTATATACCATTTGTATGTCTTTTGCAAAATGTTTATTCAGATCTTTTTCCTATTTTAATCAGATTATATATTTTTTGCCATCAAGTTCCTTGTATATTCTGGATATTAGTCGCATGTCAGATGAATGGTTTGCAAATATTTTCTCCCATTCTACAGATGTCTCTTCCGTCTGTTGATTGTTTTCTTTGCTGTGCAGGTTTTGGTTTAATATAGCACCATTTGTCTATTTTTGGTTTTGTTCCCTGTGCTTTTGAAGTCTTAGCAATAAAATATTTGCCTAGTTTAAAATCTTGAACCACTATTTTCTTCTAGCAGTTTTGTAGTTTTGGGTGTTCCATTTAAGTCTTTAATCCATTTCGAGCTAATTTTTATATGGGGTGAAAGAAAGGGGCCTAGTTTCATTCTTCTGCATATGGATATCCAGTTTCCCCAGCACCATTACTGAAGTGGATCCATTCCACTTGGTGTGTTTGTGGCACTTCATTGGCCTAACGTCATTTTAGTCTGTCTGCTGTTTGGGATTTTAAACTCTCCTCCTTTATATGCATTTGTCTGTCAGGACATGGGAACCTCAGTGGGTTTCTCTCCACATTTCTCCCCGCGTACAGACACTGTCGTGTTTCTTCTTCTGCAGTCCTCTTGCATTGTTGCTAGACATGGTTTCAAGAGCACACCACTGAGAATCCATATGAAAAGGGAAGCATCTCTCTCATTTTTCTCCTTGCACGTCAGACAAATATCACATTTTCCTGGCCTAGTCACCCCTTATCAACCTGAAGCACTGTATATATGTGTGGGGGAGGGGGGTGGAGAACTGGGTTCTTTCTCAGAGATCAGGCTGTGTCCTATCTTTATAACATCTTTATTCAGATATATTCCAAATACCATGAAATAAATATATATCCATTTACAGTGTACAATTCAATGAGTTTCTTTATACAAATAGAGTTGTGTAGTCATCACTACAATCAATTTTAGAACATTTTCCTCACCTCAAAAAGAAACCCCATAGCCAATAGAAGTCACTCTTCCTTCTCCTCAACCCACAGCCCTGGAAACCACTAGTCTACTTTCTGTCACTGTAGATTTACCTATACTGGTCATTTCACACACAAAAAAAACAAAACGAAAAACAAAAAAAAGGATCCTATAGTTTGTGGCTTGTTGTGTCTGGCTCCTTTTATTCAGCCATGCTGTAGCATGTATCAATACCTCATTTCAGCTAGGCACAGTGGCTCATGCCTGTAATCCCAGCACTTTGGGAGGCTGAGGTGGGCCGATCACTTGAGGTCAGGAGTTTGAGACCAGCCTGGCCAACATGGTGAAACCCCGTCTGTACTAAAAATACAAAAATTAGCTGGGTGTGGTGGTGTGTGCCTGTAATCCCAGCTACTTGGGAGGCTGAGGCAGGAGAATCTCTTGAACCCAGGAGGTGCAGGTTGGCAGTGAGCCAAGATCAGGCCACTGCGCTCCAGCCTGGGTGACAGAGCAAGACTGTCTCAAAACAAACAAACAAACAAACAAAACCCACCAAAAACCTCATTTCTTTTTCTTGCTGAATATTATTCTGTTGTATTTTTCTTGCTGAATAATATTCTGTCATATAGATCTATACCTCATTTTGTTATACATTTATCTATTGATGGACATTTGGGTGGTTTCCACCCTTTACATATTGTATATAATGCTGCTATGCACATTGGGGCACAAATATCTGTTCAAGTTCCTGCTTTCCATTTTTTTATGTATACACCCAGAAGTAGAATTGCTAAATCAAATGCAAATTCTATGTTTCATTATTTGCAGAATCACCACACCATTGTCCACGGCAGCTACACCATTTTATATTCCCACCAGAAATGCAGAAAGGTTCCAGTTTTTCTACATTCTCACCTACACTTACTTTTCATTTATAAAAATAATGGTCATCCTAATGGTTGTAAAGTGGTATCTCATTATGGTTTTGATCTAAATTTTCCTAAATGGCATTTTTTCATGAGGAGCTCATTGACCATTTACATATCTTCTTTGAAGAAATATCTACTTAGATCCTATTTTTAAATTTGATTATTGTCTTTCTACTATTGAGTTGTATAAGATCTTTATATATTCTAAATACATAGTCCCTTATCAGATGTATGATTGGCAAATATTTTCTCCCATTCTGTGGTTTTGCTTTTCATTTTTGTTACATATTTTGAATCACAAAATTGTTTAGTTTTGATGATGTTCAATGATATATTTTTTATTTTGTCACTTGTGCTTTTGTGCAATATCTAAGAAGGTTTTGATCAATCTAAGGTCACCAAGATTTACCCCAAAACTTTCTTCTAAAAATTCTGTATTTGGCTCTTACAAAATCGGTGATCTTTTTTTTTTTTTTCCTTTGGGACAGGGTCTCACTCCATCACCCAGGCTGCAGTGCAGTGGTACAGTCATGGCTCACTACAGCCTTGACCTCCTGGGTTCAGGAGATCCTCCTGCCTCAGCCTCCAAAGTAACTGGGACCACAGGTGCCCACAACTATGCCCAGCTAATTCCTGCATTTTTTGTAAAGATAGGGTTTTATCATATTTCTCAGTCTGTTCTCGAGCTCCTAGGCTTAAGTGAGCCACCTGCCTCAATCTCCGAAAGTGCTGGGATTACAGGCATGAGCCGATGTGCCCAGCCTCTATGATCTATTCTGAGCTATTTTTGTTTATGGTAGAAGAAGAGGATCCAACTTTACTCTTTTCATTGTGGCTATCCAGTTGTCCCAAAATTCATTTATTCAAAAACTATTCTTGTCAAAAAACAATTGACTTTAAATATCTGGATTTATTTCTGGGTGTCAATTGTATTCTATTAATCTATATGTGTAACCTTATGCAAGTACCACACTGTCTTGATTACTATAGTTTTGTAGTAAGTTTGACACTGGGAACAATAAGTCCTCCAACTTTGTTATTCTTTTTCAATATTATTTTGTTTAATCTGGATTTCTGCATTTCCATGTGGGTCAGGATCAATATGTTAATTTCTGCAAGGAAACTAGCTGGGATTTTAACTGTGAGCCTTTTGAATCTATAGATAAATTTTGGAAATATCTTAATTATATTAAATCTTCTGATTTATTGATATGGTTTGGCTCTGTGTCCCCACCCAAATCTCATCTTGAATTGTAATCCCCGTGAGTCAAGGGAGGAACCTGGTGAGAGGTGATTGATTATGGGGATGGTTTCCCCCACGTTGCTCTTGTGAGAGTGAGTTCTCACAAGTTCTGATGGTTTAAAGTGTGGCACTTCCCTTCTCTCTCTCTCTATCTCTCTCTCTCTCTCTCTCTCTCTGTCTCTCCTACCACCATGTGAAGAAGGTCCTTGCTTTCCTTTTGTCTTCTGCCATGATTGTTAGTTTCCTGAGACCTCCCGAGCCATGCAGAACTGTGAGTCAATTAAACCGTTTTTCTTCATAAAATAGTCTCAGGCAGTTCTTTATAGCAGTGTGAAAATTGATTAATACACGATGAACATATGATGTCTTCATATCTACTTAGATCCTCTTTAATTTCTTGAAACAGTGTTTTATAGTTTTCACATCATAGGTTTTGTACTACTTTTGTTAATTTGATTACTAAGTATTTTATTTTTATTGCTATTGTAAATAAAATTGTTTTTTAGCTTTATTTTTAGATGGTTCATTTGTAGTATATACAGGTATAATTGATTTTTGTATATTGGTCTTATATCATGCAACCTCACTGAATGTGTTTATTAGTTCTAACAGTTTTTTGATTGCCTCTTATTTCATTTTCTTGCCTAATTATTGTGGCAGAACCATCAGTACCTTCTTAAATAGAAGTAGTGACAGCTTGTATTTTTACTTTGTTCCTGACCATAGGGGGAAGGCATTCAATCTTTCACCATTAGTTATGATGTTGGCTGTGAATTTTTCATAGATGCTCTTTATTTGATTGTGGAAGTTCTGTTCTATTCCTATATTGTCAAGGTTTTTTCTCATGAATGGCTTTGATGTTTGTCATTTTTTTTGCTTTGTTGAGATAATTATGTGGTTTTTATATTTTATTCTATTAATATGGTATATTGGATTAATTGATATCCAAATGTTAAACTCACCTTGTATTTCTGAGAGAAATCTCACTTGGTCATAGAATAGAATCTTTTTTATACATTGTTGGGTTTGATTTGCTAGCATTTTGTTGAGGAATTTTGAATCTATATTCAATACAAATTTTGGTCTTTAGGTTCCTTTTCTTGTATGTCTTTGTCTGCTTTTGCCATCATATGAAAACTCACCCCATAGAATGAATTGGAAATTCCCTCTTCTTTTATTTTTTGGAACGGTTTGTGAAGGGTTAGTGTTAATTCTTCTTTAAGCATCTAAAAGAATTTTACTTGTGAAGCAATCAGGGCCTAACTTAACATTTTTTATTATTAATCAACCTCTTTACAAGTTATAAGTTTTTCAGGTTTTCTACTTCTTCCTAAGACAGTTTTGGTAGTTTCATCTTTCTACCAATTTGTTCATTTAATCCACATTATCAAATTTATTGATTTATATACATCTAATCGTATGAGTATACATCTGATCATATAAGTATACATGTTGTATACTTATGTGTACATATGATATGCATAAGTATTGCTTTATATTTCTTTTATTTTTTCAGACCAGTAGTACTAATCTGTCTTTCATTTTTTATTTTGGTAACATGAGTGTTCTTTCTTTTTTGCAGCTAAACTTGCTACAATGTTTATCTATTTTGTTGATCTTTTCAAAAAGAACAACTTTCTTAATGGATTTTTTTCTAATTTTTTCTATTCTACAATTGATTTATTTTCATTCTAATTTTTATTATTTCCTCCTTTCTTTTAGATTTGGGTTAACTTGCCTTCCTTTGTTCAGTATCACCTAAGGTGAAACATTAAGTGAAGTAACTGATTTCAGATTTCTCCTTTCTTTAAAAAAGGAAAAAAAACTAGGCTGCCAGGTGCGGTGGCTCACACCTGTAATGCCAGCATTATGGGAGGCTGAGGTTGGCGTATCACCTGAGATCAGGAGTTCGAGACCAGACTGGTCCACATGGCAAAACTCCATCTCTACTACAAATACAAAAATCAGCCAGGTGTGGTGGCACATGCTTGTAGTCCCGGCTACTCGGGAGGCTGAGGCAGGAGAGTCACTTGAACCTGGGAGACAGAGGCTGCAGTGAGCCAAGATCATGCTACTGCATTCCAAGCTGGTTGACAGAGCAAGACTTCTCTCAAAAAATAAATAAATAAATAAGTAGGCATTTATATCTAAAAATTTCCCTCTAAGCACCTTTAGAAGCATGGTGTATTTTTAATGTGTTATGTTTTTATTTTCATTAATTTAAAATACTTTATAATTTCCCTGTGTTTTCTGTTTTCTTTTTTGTATGTTTTTGACCCATTGTTAAGAAATGTGTTGTTTTTACTTTCACATATTTGTGAATTTTCCTAATTTTCTCTTTTATTGTATTCTTATTTAATTCCATTGAAGTTGGAAAGCATACTTTGTATGACAAATTCTTATAGTATTTTAAGACTTGCTCCATTGTCTAATACATGGTCTATCCTGGAGACTATTCAATGTATACTTGGGAAGATCATGTATTATTCTGTTGTTAGATGGAATGTTATATGGATGTCTGTTAAGTATAGTTGGTTTATAGGGTCGGTTAAGTATAGGTTGGTGTGTGTGTGTGTGATTTTTATTTCTTCCTGTGGATTTGAATTACTGCCTAATGTGCTTGTATTTCAAACTCAAGGAATCCCGTTAGTATTTATTGTAGGGTTTGTCATATGTGAACAAGATCTAAGTTCTTGTTAATCTTAAAAATGTCTTAATTTATCATTTATTTTTGGAGGATAGTTTTGCTAACTATTAAATTCTTTGTTGGCAGTTGTTTCTCATTCAGCGCTTTAAATATTTCATCCTACTTCTTTCTGGCCTCTATTGTTTCAGATTAGAAATAGCTTTCAATTTGATTGGTCATCCTTTCTACACGATGAGTCACTTCTGTCTTGCTGACTTGAAGACCCTCTGTCTTTGAGTCTTACATTTTTGATTATGACAGGTCTCCATGTGTCAATCTCTTTAAATTTATCCTACTAGGAGTTTATTAAGCTTTTTAGTTGTGTAGATTAATGTTTTTCAACCACTTTGAGAAGTTATTGGCCATTATTTCTCAAATATTCACTCTACTCCTTTCTTTACTCTTCTCCTGGATCTTTCATTAAATCCTTTGGTACACTTGATAATGTCCCAGCGGTCCCTTAGGCTGTCTTCATTTTTCTTAATTCCTTTTTTCTTCTGTCCCTCAAACTGTATAATCTTCATTCACCTATCTTTGAGTATGCTGATTCTTTTTTTTTTTTTTGCATGCTCAAGTCTGATCTTTAGTTCCTCTTGTAAAGTTTTTATTTTAGTTCTTGTACTTTGAACTCCAAGATTTCTACTTAAAAAAATTTGTAACTATTTAATGACATTCTCTATTTTGTGAGACATCATTCTCATATTCCTTTTGGTTATTTATATATAGGTTTTTAAAGCTCTTCAAATATATTTAAATTAGCTGATTTTAAAAGTCTTTGACTAGTAAGTACAATATCTGAGCTTCTCTCAAGGATGGTGTCTATTGAGAGCCTTTTTCCTATGTATTTTTATCTTGCTTGTTTCTTTCCAAGTCTTATAACTTTTTGTTGAAAATTAGACATTACACAGGTTATAGTGTGTTATTTATGGAAATCAGATTCTCCAGTAGACTTTCCCAAAGTCTATCTCTCTGTCATTTGTGGCCATTGAATTTTCTACTCAACTTAGTGGTAAGCTTATAATTGGACAATGATTTTTGTTAAACACCTGGAACCAAGAAGTTTCTCAGTCTTTGTCAAAGGATTCTGTGTTTGTGTTGGGGCATGCCTTCAATAGTCAGCTGTAAAGTTGACAACTGTGTTTAGCCTTCATTTTCTGCTTGTATGAAACCTCAAGGTCAGTT
Organism: Homo sapiens; assembly: GCF_000001405.40. Lineage (NCBI taxonomy): Eukaryota > Metazoa > Chordata > Mammalia > Primates > Hominidae > Homo > Homo sapiens. Next base: position 36,855,105 of record NC_000008.11, read on the forward strand.
AGAGATGAGAGCTTTGGAACTTCTCAGGCCTTTCTGCTTATGCATACAGCTTTACACAGTTCTGGGCATCTTCATTGTCATTTAGATTTCCAGTAATATTCCAGAGTTTTTCAAAGTCCCTTATAAGTAAGAAGACATTTTATTCTTCAGTTTTCCTTTTATGCTTTCATTTGGTCTTCAATTTGCCCTGCTATCTGTTGCCTCAGGCACATGTGACGTTAATATATTTGATAACACTCCCTGGGGATAGGCTTGTAGCACTAGATACATGCAAATGAGGCTGAAAAAGAAAAGCCATTCAAGTAGGGTTATGCAGGGAACCACCAGACAAGTCAAAATAATGACTCTTCTTTGGAAATAAGGCTTTTGAAGAACTGTATTTCTGCTGTACTCCCTCTAGTGCCAAGAATATGGAGTATTATGTTTTGAAAGCTATCGATGAGCTGTGGAGCTGGAGATGAAACTAGTGTAAATTAAAATAACACAAATCTTATATCTCTTACTGCTATCTATTTATTTCTCTCGACTAAATGTTTTCAAGGCTCCTGTTGGTTAGTTTCCAGAGTTCTGAAAAAAAAATAATTCTCACAAGTTTTGCCAGTTTATTCTATTTTTATGGAGGGGCGGCCTATCTCGTGTCCTTCCTCTACCTTTTATTTTATTTTTTTTCTGGTATCTTGTCTTCATTTTTTAAAGATAGTTTTCCTGGGTATAAAATTCTTGGTTGGCAGTTTATTTCAGCACTTTTCAATGACATCTTATTGCCTTCTAACCTCCATTTTTTCTGATAAGAAGTCAGCTGTTTCACATGTAAACCACATTTTTCTCGTGCTGGTTTCAAGATTTTTTGTGATGTAGGGCACAATTTAGTCCACAACAGTCACATTTTGAGGTTCTGGGTAGACACATATTAATATTTGGGGAGACAGTCTCCAATTTATTAACCCCTCTAGTGAATAATTAACATCAGTTAATGTACTTTTCAACTATAAAGCTTCTATTTTGTTCTTCTTAAAATTTGTATTTGTTTATGGATAATGTTTCTTTAGGGAGATATTGTCATCATGCTTTTATTTCTTTAATCAGGATTTCCTTCATTTCTTTCAACATATTTAGAATATTGGCTCTTAATATTTTTTCTGCTAACTCTGACATGGACTCTTGCACAGAAAGTTTCTTTTGCCTGCTTTCCCCACCCTGTGTATAGCTCATGCTTTCCTGTTAATTTTCATGTCTCATGCTTTCCTGTTACTTTGCATGTCTCATATTTTGTGTTGAAAATGGATATTGTAGATAATTATAGCAGCTCTGAAAACCAAGGCTTGTTGTTGTCACTGGTTGTTTAGTTAGTTGGCTAGTGACTTGGCTGAACTGTTTTATAAAATAAATTTCCCCTAAGTTTGAAGCTTTTGATGTTGCTCATTGGAGAGTGCAGCCTTGGACTACAGTGGTTAACAACCATTGGGCTTATAGTGGTTTTAGCAGGGCTCATTTTAATGGTCTCTTTCCCTGATCTCTATGGTAAGCTCTCCGCTTCTGTTAGTATCACACCCAGTTCCTAGACTACACTAGCAGGCTGCCTATTATTGTTTTTTATTATGCCTGAGTTATCTATTGCTCCACAGTATTACGCAATTAAATTTGGGCCCCTTTGTAAGAGTGGTTTCTAAGACCAGTCTTTGCAGTTTGTTCTGTCCCTAAGAGAACGGTTATTAACTGTACTTTTTCTGGTTCACTATGGTAAATTCTGACTTATGGTTTATCTTGTTCTCATGGAGTTACTAGCCTCTAATTAATTGTTTACCACCAAAATCACTGTTGTCAAAAAGCACCCTTGGGCTTGAAATTCTTGATACTCTGTTCCAAGTAAAATCAATTCCTTTGGGCGGAGCTTCAGAGCTCTTTGTTCTTATGGCCTGCCTCTCCTCCTGGGCAAAATCTCTGAGCCATTGCTCCCGAGCTTGCAGGATGGTGGGTGGTGTTGGAAAAGAAGACCTCCTCTGTTGAAGTGACACACCTGTTTTATGAGTAGGACACTAGCACTGGTGGTAGCCTCTGGCTTTCTTTGTTTGCTTCTCCCACTGTGAAACCTCTGCCTTGGGGGTGAGCTGGAGTCAGGGAGATTAATGCTTCATTGTTTTCATCCTGTGATACCTAAACAGAGCCTCACCTATAAATGAGAGCTGTGAAGAGTAAGACAGTCTCTATCCTCTAGGCTACACTCACCTGAAACTTAGTTTCTGCAACACAGAGTGGGAAGGGGATGAGAAATACTGAGGCTGTGTCCCTCACAGGGACATAGCACAGCATTTGACTGGGAGCTGGAGGGAGGGGGAGCCCTGCATTCTTGAGCACACCTGTCCAGAATGAAGCTTTTATCACACCCAACTGGGTTTGGAGGAAAGGAAGCAGTCTGTGGTTCAAGTGCCAAAGATTCTTTCTGCCCTTACTAAGATTTAGTATATTTTATTGAATACAAGTTTTCTTTGTTTTGTTTTGTTTTTTGTTTGTTTGTTGTTTGTTTTTTGTTTTTTTGTTTTTGTTTTTGTTGTTGTTGTTGAGAAGGAGTCTTGCTCTGTTCCACAGGCTGGAGTGGAATGGCTTGATCTTGGCTCATTGCAAGCTCCACCTCCCGGGTTAAAGTGATTCTCCTGCCTCAGCCTCTTGAGTAGCTGGGATTACAGGCGCTTGCCACCACATGCAGCTAATTTTTGTATTTTTAGTACGGATGGGGTTTCACCAGGTTGGCCAGGCTGCTCTTGAACTCCTGACCTCAGGTGAGCTACCCGCCTCAGCCTCCCAAAGTGCTGGGATTACAGGCGTGAGCCACTGCACCCAGCCACAAGTTTTCTTCATTTGCTATATGTTCACAGAACAATTTCTAGAGATTTTCAATGTGTGTTTGTTTATGTTTTGATAATTTCACTAGTTAGGGCTGTTTCACTGAGGAGCCAGTTTATGAAGCTTCTGCTGCTGCTATTCCACACCCAAAACTAAAGGCTCTGTCTTAACATTATCTTCTGTGAATCTTTGTACTTCCCCTTGAAAGTCTAAGACAATTTCAAGGATGGCAAAAAAAAAAAAAAAAAAAAAAACTGTTCGTATGTAATTTCCTGAAATCCCTGTTATCTACATACTGAAATCCCTATTTCTACAGGGTAATTCAACTGAATGCCTGAATCTGAAGATTATTTTTTTTTAAAATGTCTTCAAGACTTTATTTTGGGACTGGAAATTTAAACATGGACTCCTTACATTCAGTAAAAATGTGAATCTTTTTTGAAGCAATGGATGAGTCTGACTAAATAGGAAGAAAGTCCCATTAGAGGAAGGGCCCATATAAAAGAACAAGATAATATACTAAAAAGTATAATCTCACTATACATGTCATCCTATTGTATGTAAATTTAGTATAGTTTCATGCAGTATATATAGGCCTTTAAACACAGTGTACAAACCAAACTTTCTGAAAAGAAATTACACATACAAGCACACACATGCATATGCTTCTGTCATTCTGCAAACAAAAATGTTTTATAAAGATAAATAATCATCCCTTTTTAGCTGACTTTTATGACTTTACTATAAATATTTTAAAACAGGAAGTTGCTCTAGTATAAATGCTAAAATATTTCTGTATAAAAAGGAGGATTCTGCCTTTATGTTTGTAGACATGCCAAATTTTACCCACTTCTATGACATGTATTTTATGATATCTAGGGATAAGTTAATGAGACTTTCAATTTTCAATCTAGTTTCTTAGCTTCAATGTAGTCATCATACTCTCCAGAATCTTTCATTACTCTTAAAATAGAATAATTTCTTTTTCCTACCCTATACTGATCCCCAATCACCAGTATTACCAAGTCTATTCCACTCCAGCTGGAACTCTATTAATCTGGTACTGAGATTCTAAAGCAACAAGCAGCAAATGATCAACTGTTACTGACTTCAATTTGCCAGATGATGGCAGCAGAGTACCATGAAATGCTCACAGGTCAATGGCTTGGTGTGTCAATTTGAATCTGGAGATCCTGGTTCTAACTAAAATGTGCCAAAAGAGAACATTATTTTAGAAAGAGGCTGCTTGACCACATAGTTTTAAATGTCATGATAACATATGGGCATTCTCTTAGAGAATTAACTTTCAAAAAGGGCTTAGGAACTTATCAATAAATGACAACATAGAAACCTTACACTGACTGAATTAGTACAATTATCAGGTTGAATATTTTATGGGTTTAGAGCCAGTTAAGAATATCCTCAGTCCACTCCCTTCAAACAGTTATCTCTTTAATGAATTCATTAAATTTCCTTGGTCCCACTACTTTCTCCCCGCTACTATACTCAATGAGAACCCAGAAGACTTGAGTTGTGATCACAGCTATTCCACTGATTACTGTGGTTGGCGAAAAACATGTTAGCTTTTGGGTTCTCAGTGTAATCATCTCCAAAGAGGGGAATTCTCAGTGTCTATGGCCCTTTTCAACTCTGGTGCTCTATAATTCTGAATCCCTCTTTTTTTGATTACTTCCATTTTTCCAAACTAGAACCACACTAGAGGTTCTCCAATTAAATTCATAATCAAATATTTTACAGAGGAAACATAGAGTGCTGGTTAAGAACATGAATTCTGGATTGGCCATTTACTAACTGTGTGACTTTAGGCAAATTATTGAAATTTTCAAGGTGCTTCAGAGTTTTTTGAAATGTTGACAATAACATTGCATATCTCAGAAGGTTAAATGAGAATATCAGTACATAAAGAATATATAAATTGGTTATATTAATATAAAAAGCATTAAGCCTAGTGGCTGGCCAATAGTAAGTTCTGCATATATGATAATTATTATGCCACCCATGGGAGCACAAACTCAAAAGGAATCTTTTTATTTTTTTTGATCAATGAAATACAGATAAAATAATAATTGAAAGAGAATTCCTAGTAGATTATACTTATTTTAACCCATTACCTGATTTTTTTTAAATTTGAGATGGAGTCTCTCTCTGTTGCCCAGGCTGGAGTGCAGTGGTGCGATCTCAGCTCACTGCAGTCTCCGCCTTCGAGGTTCAAGTGATTCTCCTGCCTCAGCCTCCTGAGTAGCTGGGACTACAGGTACCCGCCACCATGCCCAGCTAATTTTTTGTATTTTTAGTAGAGACAGGTTTTCACCATGTTAGCCAGGATGGTCTCAATCTCCTGACCTCTTGATCCACCCACCTCAGCCTCCCAAAATGCTGGGATTACAGGTGTGAGACACTGCGCCTGGCCCATCCCCTGATGATTTTTGGGTTCACAGCATAAACACCAGTAGGGCTAAGCCTTCAGAGTAGGAGGAATAATTGTCTTTCTGACCTTCTTCTTAATGGAATTAGATAAGTTTTTGGGCATGAAGTTTCTCAGCCTCAACTCTACAGTTCACTACCTGCTATTTCTTCATTGCAGTTTCTAACACCTAGGATTTAAGAATAGTAGTATTCAACCAGGGCAAGGAGGGGTGCATAAGAATCTTTACATGTGATAGAGTAGAGGGAATGGGCAATATGAAAATAGCCCTTAGGAAAGTTGTGCCCAAATTCCCCTAATCCCCATCCCTTGAGAACTGTTTTAGAGTCTGCATTAAAATGCTAATATTCTGCAATACAGTCAAATCTAATGGAAAGCAGAATTCTGAAAAGGAAATTGGAAAGAGGGTGCAAAAACAGTTAGGGACAGGAAAAAAAATGACAAGAAATGAGTTGAGTAGGTGGTCCAAATATGGATTTATTTTACTTTACAGTTTTCTTTAGGTTTGGCCCTGGGTCACTTTTTTTTTTTTTTATAAACATTCCAGACTATTAATTGACCTTTTTAAGGAGGAATGACCCCAGCCAACGTTTCCTAGGGAGGAGAACTCTAAACACATAAGGTAGAGATTTACCTACCCTAATGAATCTACCAGCTCATCTTCCCAGCTTAGCTTATTTAACAGCAATGAAGAACAGTCAGAAGTCCCCTGGTCTTAGGTTAGGTAGGAGAAAGAATAGGAGATGGTTTCTGCATACTTTCTTCTCTAAGAGTTCAGGACCACATGTCCACCAAATTTCAATAAAAAGAAAAGCAACTTGGTAACAAGTCTGTAAAGACCCTGCACAGATATATTGCACTCCTATATTTGTGTCACTTGCAATTATTCTTCTAATGGTACAGTTGAGTGTGGCTTTCCATGATTTCCAATCGTTAGCATTAATTCTGCCCCAGTTGAGGCCTTCTTTCTCATCCTAGTGACTACAATAGCTTTCTACTTGGTCTCCCTGGCTCTGGTCTCCTTTCATGCCAATCCATGATGTTTTTCTTAGCTATAACAATTTTTATGGCATTCTGATCATGAATGGATACATAAATAAATAAGGAATAGATAGGCGACTGTTACCCCACTTCTGCAAGACTAAGGCATGAGCTTGCTCTGTTGCCCTGTTGCTTTTTCGGCTTCTAAAACTAGTGGTTTTTATCTAGAATATGTAATATCACTTTTTAGGAATGTCACAATGAGTGGTAAAGTACTATATTTTATAAATAATTGCAACAATTTAGCTATTTAGTAAATTGGAGAAGATTCGGGATAATCTGAATAATATAGGCATTATTTTCACTCATTTGAACAATGATAAAACTTCTTGAGGGAGATATAAATAAGTGGAATTATTGCTATCCATATGGAAATCACATATGAGGCATTTCTTAAAATGAAGTCCTATCACGTATTCCAGAAAAGGAAAGATTTGCTTGTTGCTTTCAAGGGAATTGCTTTTTGAAAGAGAAAGGTAACCAAAATGTTGGCCATGTATTTAGAAGGACTTTCATTTTTTCTAGTCATTTACAGGTCTCAGATCCCATGGTTTTCTTTGTTTGTTTGTTTGTTTGTTTGTTTGTTTTTTGGTATCCAGTGCTTTATCTAGAAATCTGTAAGGTATCCATAGGGAACTCATGGTAAGTCATGACAAGACATTAACAGTCTAGCTAAAGTGTTAGGAAAAATCCATTTCAACTTTCCTCGCCTAAAATAGATTTAAAATAGTTAGCTATAGGTAGGTAGGTAGGTAGATAGATAGATAGATAATAGATAGATAGAAAAAATATAAATAAAATGATCAAACAGAATGAGATCAGAGAAACTTCATTGCTTATCTACTGCCTTGAGGAAGGGACTTTGTCTTATTTTTTTCTTAAATTTTTTCCTCAAATATTTGAAGCAATATTGAAACTGGGGATAAACTGTTGCAACTTCTTTGTCTGCCTTATCTTGCAACCTGGTAAATAAACAATTTTCAATTTCCTTTTTGAATGCCATTAGAATTATAGAATTTAGACCTGGAAGGAATCAGAAGACATAACTTGGGCCAGTTTGTCCTTGACCTTCAGGTGGTCAACACCAATCAGAAACATCAGCAATCCCCATACAAGCTGTTCTGTCCACCCCACACACATGCACCTTCTTCCATAATTATGAAAGCTTTCAAAATTATAAAAGTCATTAATGTGTTTTCAGATGAGGTTTTAAGAATGATTCAAGGAAAAATTCAAAGCTTTAGCAAAGATTTTGAGAGTTTCACAGAAAGCACTCACCCCTCCCACTTATCCTTCCCCCAACCCTCATTTTTTTAACAGCTGACACATGTTATTGGCTGGAGAGTTAGGCTTTGAGAAAAGGAGAGACGTCCTAAAAGTTCTATAATTCCTAGGCTAGTTCGGGCATGTTGTCTTAGACATTCCATAACCCAGTTTCCATCACAACCAGCCAGCCTTTAGAGACTGACAGTTGGTAACACAGCTAGTCCTTGCTCAGATTTTACTTCGGGTGTTCCCTTCCCGAGCCATTCCCCCCAGGGCAAAATGTAACCTTGAAATAAGGAAGCATCAGTCAAGTGAAGGCTTCTGAGGATTACAGGTAGGGTAAACTTAATTCCAAACCCATCTCTTAGCACACCTGGCTGATGCAATCACTGCCAATTTAAGTTGAGAAATCACATATCCAAAGGATGTCCTTCTTCTTCCAGAAGTGTGTTTTGACTTAGTTGATGTTTTTATGGATTAGAATGGTTCAGAAAATAATTACATCAAAAGAAAGAGGGATACCAAGACATTTTCATGGCTTTTTCTGTCTGCCACTGATCAAAATGAGGTGATAAGTGGGATTAAGGGCTTGTCCCACGTGAACTCCCCACTGTGGCTAGTCCAAGCACAGAAATAATGCTTATGTTGAGACAGTAGGAAAAGGTCATGTCTCCTTTCTCCACTTGGGTGGGCAGGGGAAGAGGAGTATCAGTGATGACTGCCCCTTGATGTAGTCCACCTCCTTAGGAACTTCTGCTCAGACAATCTCTCCATCTCTGATCACCAAGCAATCAGGTTCTGGCAAGCGGATCACACAGGCTCTTTGAAAATTGAAGAGAAGCATTTAATTTGCAAAGCATTGTTTAGAATATGTTTTTTAAAAATCACAACAGCAAGTGCAAATTCTTATTGTGTGACAATGCCTACCTAGCCCAGAGGGTTGGAAATGATTCTTGGGTTGAATCTGGGTTCCAGGATAAGAACTGCATGATTGTATATCAACATATGGGTTCAGGAAGAAGTAATGGCTCACCTGTCACATTTTTCCCTATTAAAGTGGCTTCATGGTGCTCATTGAATCTATTAATTTCAGCATTCTTGCATGTATCCTTATAATCACCCTTCAAAGTCATGGTAGTATCCCCATACTGAAGGAGAGAAAATGATTTCTTTTTGTGTTATTTCCAGATTTGGAAATACACAAAAGTTTTGATATGCATTTACTGTAAGATCGAGATTCTTCAAAAGTCAAAATTAATAATAAAGAAAGCCTCAAAGAAAACATAAAGCAAAAGGAGGTGATGTCCAGGCAGAATGAATTGCAAGCCTGGGCAGCATCTGCAGGAAGGAGACAGGATTTTTGTAGAGTGATGCTTTCTTAGCGTCCTAAGGTGCCTCTAGACATGCTGTAGCAAATGCACTTGGGTGAAATGGGAGGGGTGATGGATTAGAAAGGTGCAGCAGCTATTGAGTAGGTACTTATTTTAAACACACCATATGGAACTGAAATTCTCTCTCACTCCCTAATTCTGTAGAAGGAAAGCAAAGAGTTTGCTACAATTCATCCTCTTAGAACTAGGCTGTAGCTGAGACTCCCCAGCCTTTCCCTAGTCAAGGGTCTATAAATGGCTCAGCCAAGGGGAATATTCCAACAATCCCTTGTGAAGAGATGTGCCAACTCACTGAGATTTCTATCCTATTGCAGTGCCATCGGTAAAGAGAATGAAAAAATGTCTGAAGGGAATCTCCTCTCGTATATCAGGGCAGGATTCTCCGCCAAGGGTATCTGCAAGCACTTCGAGCATATCAAACTTCACCACCAGGTAAAAGCTGCAGAGAACCCTGGTCTCCTATAGTTTTTTTGAGAATCAGTGGGCCATATATATTGTATTTAAACCAGAATATTTGCTTTATAAACTCCTATACTGACCAATGGAATTGTTCCTCCCCAAAATGAGATCATCTCCACCTTGCCCATATCATTAAGCTAATCAAATACACCTCTTTCTTCCATTGCTCAAATCATCTGTACCCATAATAACCCAAAAGTTAGATACCCAACTTTCTTTCACACCACCTTTCAGGCACTTTAGAAATGTAAGTTAGAGCCAAATTTTAGCAGCTCCAAATAGCTTTTCTGTTGTTAATCAATCCCCTATTTCCAATACATTCAAGATGTGATTGTCTTAGTTTTTGCATCTGCAAAATATGGGCAACAAATCCCTCCTCCCTGCCCTTTTCCTTGCAGCCTTTTAGTACACTAAAACCTCCACTAACCAGAAAGAAGAGTTGGAGGAGGATGACCTGCTTAGTTGATTTTAATTAGAGGGGCAATTCAAAAGTTCTATTATTCCAAACTTTAATGAAAATGACTCTGTAATATCTTGACAACATTTCAGTTTATTAGGGATAATATACCAGGAAGATCTTTGATGATTAAAAACTGTGATTATCTAAGGGTAAATATATTATCAAAGAGTCGTTATACTGTGGCATTACATAATGTTATAAATATTTTGTACGTTTTTAATAGTGATTAAATGAGATTAGGTATTTAAAGCACTTTGCTGCTGCAGCCAGTATGGAAAACAATATGCAAGTTCTTCAAAAAATTAAGAATAAAACTACTATATGATCCAGCAATCCTACTTCTGGGCATTTATTCAAAGAAAACAAAATCAGTATTTCAAAGACAATTCTGTACTCCCATGTTCATTGCAGCAGTATTCGCAATAGCCAAGATACAGAAACAACCTAAGTGTTATTCAGAAAATGAATGGGATAGGGCTGGGCATAGCAGCTCATGCCTATAATCCCAGTGCTTTAGGAGGCTGAGCTGGGAGGATTGTTTGAGCCCAGGAGTTTAAGACCAGCCTGGGGCAATATAGAAAGACCCTGTCTCTGCAAAAATTAAAAAAAAAAAAAAAATGAGCCAGGCCTGGTGGCACACAACTGTAGTCCTAGCTACTTGGGCTATTGAGATGAGAAGATTGTTTGAGCTCGGGAGTTTGAGGTTACAGTGAGTTGTGTTCATACCACTGCACTCCAGCCTGAGTGACAGAGCAAGAGCTTGTCAAAAAAAAAAAAAAAAAAAAAAAAAGAATGGATAAAGGAAATGTCATACACACACACAGAATATTATTCACTCCTAATAAAGAAGGAAATTCCTCCATTTGCAGCAACACGGATGAACCTAATGCACATTATGCTAAGTGAAGTAAGCCAGACACAGAAAAAGAAATACTGCACGATATCGCTTATATGTGGACTCTAAAATAGCCAAACTCATAGGAACAGAGTGGAATGGTGGTTTTCAGAAGTGGTGGGTGGGGGAAATGGGGAGCTGTTGGTCAAAAGGTACCAAGGAATCACTTTGCTTGATTCCCGGCTGCTAGTATGTCCTCATTAAATGCTGCTTATTATTGCAATGATCAATTCTCATAGCGAGGAAGGTATTTAGAATTGGGCTGAGAGTGTAATAAGTGCAGAGCCTTCCAATGATGTAGATTTTGCAATAAATCTTTTACTTGTACTTGGTTTTGATACAATTTACCTATTTCTTTTAACACACACAGAGTCCTCTTCCGTTTACCTGAGGATTCTGGATTGTTGGGTCTGGTTAATGGAAATTTTCCTGTACCCTCCCAAAGGTGGGGTTGGAGTCAAACATCTGAGCCACCAATTTTCCCTTCCTTTTATGCACTTTCTAAGAGCAATATAAAAGTCCGGGAATTACAGTTTGTGCCCTTCCTGCCTTCCAATCCCAGATTTTATAAAGTGGATGAGATAGCCTATGGGAAAGCACTGAGAAGTAGTTGAAGGAAAGGTCTTGGGGCATTTCAGGGACCCAAATTTTGCCTGGCTATTTCCAACAACAAAACAGTCACAGATGAGCACTGGAATCTGCAGATGCTTTTTCTCCAAAAATCCTTGGTAAATAGGCATTTATTGAGTAGCCTGTACGTGCTAAGTAGGCACCATGCTTGATGCTTTTGTAAATGTAGAAATCATGTTTCAACTTCCATGCTGTCTAGATGGGTGAACAAGATGGATTCACATAAAATGAATCAGAGGCCAAAGAAAGAATAAGTGATAGTTTTTGGCAGCACCGTAAAGTGACTATAGTTAATAACAATATATAGCATATTTCAAAATTACTAGAAGAGAAGATGTAAAATGCTCCCAATGCAAAGAAAGGGTTCACCCGTGAGGTGATGGATATTCTAAATACCCTGACTTGATCATTACACATTCTACACACATATCAAAATATCACGTGTATCCCATAAATATGTACAAATATTATGCATCAGTACAAATATACAGAAAAGAGAGGTTAATTTTCTTTCCTAAAAAGTACAAGGGAAAGAAGTTGGAAAACTTTCACAATAAAAAATTTTTGCAGTTCAAAATAAACACATAATAAAAGCCAATCAGTTAATCAATCAGAAGCCAAATAAAGTGGTAGTCTGTCAAGTGCTACATTGATGGTTCTGGCAGAAGGTAGGGGAAGACGAGGTCAATGAGAGCTGGAAAGATTGTTCTAGAAAGCTTCCTGTTGGGGGTGGGATTTAGAAAGGTGGGAGACAGTGGGAATCTCAACTTCTGTGAATAGTGTAACATGGATAAAGCCTGGGGGGAATGTGGCATTTTCCATGCAGCAGCTAGCCAGCCTGACGAGAGGAGAGAATGCACAGTAGAGTGCCGTGGGAAAGTCTCAAATTTATCAAGAACACAGTCTTGGATTTTGGTATTGTGCATGCATGCATGTGTGTGTACACTATGTTTATGTTAATGCAAAGTTGTTATAAAAACATGATTCAAACTTGAAAATTGTTTGTGAAGACATAAAGACAACATATGTGATAACACAGAAAATGCTCCAATCATGTTTGTGCTTTTGTTTATTCTCTCACACGTCTTCTCTGTGATGGTAAAGGGTTGGCGAGCCATAGATAATCAAACGCCACAGAAAATTCTCAAATGTAATTTTACCCATTCAGTTTCACTGGCTTTTCTTTCTATTCTTTAGCACAGCTGTAAAAACAAAAATAATTTAACATATCAGAATTTTTCCCATTGGTTTTAATTCTCGTCTGTAATAAACAAGAAAATGGTTTAAAGCAGGCATCTAAAGGGAGAATGGATCCAGACAACCTGGTTCATCTGTAGACCCAGTCTGTCAGCCCTATTTCTGGTTGGGGATCCCTAAATATGCTTTTGACCCCAAGTAGACCAGAGATTGTGATAGTAACCCATGAAGATGATTGCTAAAGCTGATGATTAATTCCCTTGCACTTCTTAATTCAAAATCAAGGTAGGTTTGCATGAATTAAAGAGCTTTAAAGAAATAAACGAGAGCCACGCTTCAGAGTTTTTTAGATGGTGGTATATCCTTGAACAAATATGTTCCATTTGAGGGTGAGTCTCTGTGATATTTCATCAACAGAGTTGGTTAGTTCAGGTGACTTACGTACCGTGTTAATGGGTCAGTGATAGAGTACTCCCACTTAGTACCATAGAAAACAGTTTGTGTTTGTTTTGTGTTTATGTTGTAGGACAAAGGGAGTTCCAGCTAGCAAATTGGCAACATATGTCTAGAGGATCTATGTTTGCCATAACAACAATGAGTGGTAAAATAAACTGGATGGCTTAATAGAGACTAGTAGGCATTTTTGGAAAAAAAATGTAAAGTATGTGCTATGTGCTATTTGTGATCCATTTTTTTTATGCCTTAATAGTCTTATATTCACAAACCAAAAGCAACATATTATTATTTATAGTTTTGCTGACAATGAACTTGATATTTTTAAAGATGTAATCTTCAGGCCACCAGTGGGTTTTCCAGTAAGTTCAGAAACTACTATTTTCTATTCTTAGTACTTAAAGCATTACAGACAGCCCTAACTTATACAAAAGTTATTATCCAATATTTTATGGTATCCCTGATGTCTTTCTCTTCCCATAGAATAAGCAATGTTATAAACAGCAGTTATGTTGTCAGGCTAGCACACAAAAGACTGTTTAATAGATGGTAGTTAAATATATATTTGTTGAATGAATAAGTATACAAACATTAGCTCTATTTGCTTGAATTTTATGTCCTTAAATCAAGGGATCACATGATATAAGAGAAAGAAAGTATTTCCTGTTTCTTTTCAGGGAGATAAAGTTAGACCTGTGCAGTGTTTTATAGTAAGTGAAAATGAATCTCATTCATTTCTGGAGCTCCCTGGTCCTAGCTTCCAATTTCTTTACCTTGGCCATTCCACTTTGGGTGAGTTACGACAGTTTTGCCCATTCTACCTATTACACAATTATTTACTATTCTCTGCTTCTTCTCTATCAAAACTCTCTTCTTTAGTAAAACTGATTTTAATTAGATATTAGAAAGAAAAGTTTTAGATACAACTGATTTGTATGATGTTGTGACTAATAACACCATAACCACAATAAATTATCCAGCTTTCTAAAAAGTAGGTGCGAATAATCTCAAGTGAGTAGTGAAAGATATTTAATCGGTGAAACAAGGCAGAAATTTCCAAGCATTGTATAACAGACCTGGGCCAGGAGAGGAAAACGTTTTTAATAGAAATGCTTGTTTTGTTTGGCCCTATCACACTTTCCCTGGAAATTCTCCCTATTGGGTCTGCTTAAGTCAACTTATGGCCCATATTGAAATCTAAATACTTTTCCATATAACATCCTTTCTCACCATGTCTTAATGGTATCTATGAATGAGATCACATTTATAATATCAACTTCATCTCCATCCTCTTTATGTTCTTTTACAGATACCAGGGACCGTAAATGCTATTTTTTTCTCTCTTTGCCAATGTCCAAGTCAGCCTTAGTTCTTTCAAGGATAAGTGGTCCACAAATATTAGCCATGAGCAATAGCACCTATGGCAGACATGAGCTCCAGATCGCCATCTTCTTAGCTTATAAGCTTCAGTTTTCTCATCTGTAAAATGAGATGATATTAGAATCTAATTGAAATGTTGTGAGGATTGGTTGAGACAGGACTGATTCAATTCTTATGTAGTGCCTAATATACATAGTGAAAATACAGCAAGTGAAAAATGTTTCATGCTGTTGTTGTCATTGTATTTCCTGTCACCCTCTGCCGTCATGTCTCTGGTTCTTAGACTTCTACGTTTTTGCTACCACTTTCTTTCACATTTTAGTGGAGAGGTTACAGAGTTCAAGACCTCGCAAGATTTAATTCACTGTCTACAACCACCATCTATAGACCACCAGCCTGACAAGCATACCAGCAGGGTTTTCAGTGAAGATCTACGATGCAGTAGTTACCATTGGTAAGGTCACTTTGCCATGTCCAAGTCGGCCTATAGCTTGCCATTCTCCCTCCAGAACATTCTTTTCCATGGCAATTCCAGCTCCTTCCTTGGCTATTTTCTAGTGCCTTCCAGTAATCCTATGGCAGTCTTTCATTTCCAACCAAACTGTAGTCCATCCAGAAGGACTGCCAGGATAGGCTTTGCCAAGCTGGAAGCTTGCTAGTAAGTAGTGCACTGGCCATAAAGATGTAAGAGGTTCAATCCAACTGGGATAAGTTGTTTGTTTCTTTTCTGGCACATCTATTTCCAGCCCTACATAATTTATGCTCACGCATGACTCCTGAGACACCTGTCCCTATGACCTCTTATTTTCATGCCCCCTCTGCCATACATACCCTGTTGTCTCAGGAAAAGAAGCTGAGCCCTTCCTCCCTTTTTACTCTCAGTTCTGTACACTTTATCGAATTCTGTGTTCCAAACTATTCAGGCAAGAGAATCCCCATCTTTTAGCCTCAATGATGTCTGAACTCCTACTGAGAGCCAGCCTCTGAGTCCACCTAGTGGGGGCAGAAGATCGGATACAAATCACCGTACATGGCTCTTTTCATGTCATATCTGAGCTTTCTACAGAAACTGATCAGATGAGATTATCTGAGCAATTCCTTTTATCCCTTCTTATTTTATATTAAGCTTTTAAAACTACTTTCCCTCCAGACAAGCATAGGCTTTCCTATTTGAGTGTAATGTAGCCCATAACTAGTAAATCAAAAGCATTCTCTGGTTCTTTCATTCATATAAGCCTACTGAGTGATGCCTTTACTGTAGCATTTCAAATCATGTTCTGGAAATCTACATTCACTTAACACTATATGGCCAGTATTTCATCTTTCAGAGTTACCTTTCCCCAAGAGTCCCATTGGCACTTATGTTTCCCATTCTATGGTTTTCCACCTGAGATTTTAGAACCTTTAAAATATGCTTTCTCTCATTTTAATTGATGGTATAATTTGGGACCACCAGAATCCCTAGCAGGGCTATGTGTCTGCAATGAAGTTTAATAAATATCTTCATCAGGTCTCAATAGCAAGACCAAAGAAGACAGCAGGACTAAATATATTCTCATATAATTATAGGGATAATCTAGAGGTAGGATTGAAAATATACATACACATATACATATAAAAACTATACTTTTAATCACAATGAGCCTGAGTTCCAAAGACAGATGAAAGAGTTAGGGTGGCAGGGAATATAAGAATAAGAATTTTGAAAAGATGACTAGATATTTTCCTTCAGATCCTCTAAATACCTCTTTTCTAGTTCTTATTTTGTATTCATAGGTGAAAATCCCATTTTTGGGAAGCAATGTGCCACAATCCTAGCAAAGTACCATATATATATATATATACATAGAGAGAGAGAGAGAGCGAGCAATAATTCATCAGGTATGTATTGAATAATCTGATTCTTTAGATTAACAAACAAAATTTTATTGTTATTGCTTAAAAATAGCAGAAAAATAGCTTCAGGCTTCTTAAAAGCATCAGAATTGTACCATAGAAAAGTCAGCATCTCTCTTCGTTACTGTCATCTCCCTCATCCTGCCTAGCTTCACAGACTATAATAAAGGAGAGACAAGGCATTTTGTAAATATCTTTGTGAGTCTGTGGACAGGTCTTTTAAAAAACTAAAAACAAATTCTCCTGGAATTACGGGTATGGAAATTGATTTGGCTGGGTGCTAAGATGAGGAAGTGGCCCTCAGATCATTGCGATAAAAATTACTATGGGATGACTGATCATTTACTGAGTGCATATATTTATTTGCATTAGTTAACTACTATTTGCATGCTTTTATTCTTCATTTCATTTATAATCTCCTAAAAGGCAGGAATGAGACCTTGTCTGTTTAGGGTCATATATAAAAGACCAACTCTATAAGACAAAGTGAAGGTTATGCGAAGCTTAGTCACTGTTTCTAAGTAAAACTCTCTTCAAGGCCTTGAGACATGACTTGCATAGTTTCCAAGAAAAAAAAATGTGAAGTAGGCAAATCGCACTGATTTTCACTTTGTGTTATTTGCCCTCTGAGTAACACCTTATCATCATCTTTCTCAGGGGCTCACAGTCCCCAGGTATTTAAATGTCCTCATCAACATCTATTATTTAAAACTTCATTTGCAAAAACAGAAGAATAAAATATTAACCCTTCTGGGGCAGCTTCCCTTTCATCATGGATCAGGGACTTCAGCTAAGGAACAAAGCCCTAACTAACAAATTTCAGGTGTCAACGTATAGGGGAGGTATAATTTTAGGCAACATCCAATAAGAGTCTTCTATGTACATCCAATACCACATCTCGAAGCCTATCGCATGCTATGCTATGTTAGCTTTTTGGCTTCAGAAAGAGAGATAAAGGGGGACGCCGCCCCGCCCTGTAACTATGGTGGGGGCTCCAGCAGTAAACTGTAGATTGTCAGATCACAGCTCTGTGATGTTCATGCTCTGTGACCATAAGCAAGTCACTTACTGTCCTGTGGCTCAGATCCCCCATCCAGTAAAATAAATAATACAATCTCATAGAAATGATGAGAAGATTAAGTATAAGACTTTGAGAGAAGTTCCCAGCATTGAGTAGTAAGCCTTCAATAAATGCTAGCAATTATCACTACACAAGAGTCAGGAGTTTCCCATAAAATAATTGAAGTCAAGGTCTGGAGAGTCACCACAAAGCAGCTTTCTGCTAATATTAAAATTCTGCATTTGTGCTAACACCAACAGTTTGAGTAGGTAAGACAGAGGACTTAGAGATGAATGTTATTTCAATTAACATCTTGGGCTGGGTGCAGTAGCTCATGCCTGTAATCCCAGCACTTTGGGAGGCCAAGGTGGGTGAATCACCTGAGGTCAGGAGTTTGAGACCTGCCTGGCCAACATGGTGAAACCCCGTCACGCCTGTCATCCTAGCTACCCAGGAGGCTGAGGCAGGAAAATCACTTGAACCTGGGAGGTGGAGGTTGTAGTGAGCCAAGATTGCACCATTGCACTCCAGCCTGGGCAACAAGAGCGAAATTCCATCTCAAAAAATAAACTAACCAACCAAACAAACAAAAAACCCCAACAATTTACATCCTGTGGGGGTGGCAAAGTGGCAGCAGAACTCACCTTTAGTAATAAGAGAGGTAGACCCTGTCTCATTCTCCCCAGGAAGCAATGTGGTCCTTGCCTACTAAGAATAATTACTTTCTTTCTTTCCTTCCCCTGGCCCCAACCCCCACCCCTTTCTTTAAAGATATGAGAATGTAAGAATTCTCCACCTATATTAGACCCATGCTTGGCTCCTAAGACCACGCCAGTTTTGATAGTGAAAGTCAAAGACACAACCATAATTGTCCTCCTCAACTTAGCATCAAATATAATGGCTGTTTACCCAACACTATAAATTATTGGCTTACACAACACAATATATTATTGGCTTTTATACAATTATTTATACGTTTTAAAATAAACATCAGGAACAAGTGAGTGTGGAATCTGTAACAATCCCCATTTAATTGGGAAAATCTTTCTTGCTAAGAGAGGGTTAAGAAAAGGCACTTTTAACAAATTCTTCTCCTTGAACGCCCTTTTCTCTCCCTGCTCTCTGTTCCACAGCTGGCTGAGGACTGCAAGCACAAGGCAGGCAGAACTTCAGGGTTGCTGGGCAGCTTTACAAGTTGGCAGCTCTCTTAAGCACATGCGCAACGATCAGGACAATAAAATATTGTTCATTGCTTCTACCCCACAACCAATTAGGTCAGCTGTAAATATTGGAATTGCTTGGTAAACATGCTGGAAGATTGTGCTGACTTGTTAATATAAGTGAAAATGTAATTAGATTTATAACACTTTTTTTCCAAGTCATAATTTACAACAACAACAACAGGAGAAAAAAAATCTCTTGCAACCTGCTGAAATATCATTATTAAAATGCACATGAAAAGTCAATTATGCCAGAGGGAGGTATTTAAGAGAAGTGAGTTTCCATACCGTGGGATTACACCGTGGGGATTACATATTTCTTATTTATTTTTTTCCCTAGATCTTTTCTGCTGCCAAATGAAAAGGAACAGATATTTTACTTATTTCACTCTGAAATATTGCTGCAGATAGTGCTAAGAAGTAAACCAAATAATCTGACTCCCTGGAAACCTACTCAATTCTCTTCAAAGCCCCAGGAAAAGCCGAGTAGTCACCATTCTTTTTTATTTATAAGCCCATCTCGCTTTAAGCAATAGTCATGTTCCTTAAAACATGTGGAAATCATTTTTTTTCCTAAATGCTATTCTGTTTTACACTCTAAATGAGTAGATTATTATATAGAATTCTGTGGGGGCAGTCCTTATGTAAAGATAAGAAATAAGCCCTCATTTTCATTTTAAAATCTGGAGTTTCCCCTGCTCACAGGGTCATAGTGGGAACGCCACTCTACCCTCACTCAAGGATGGTACAGAGTGGCAGGACATTCATGTGATGTCCCAGGCACAGGTGCCACCACGTGCCCTCCCTGGGCAGGAGGTCTTGGTGGCATCATCCCTGAGCCGGGCTTCATCCCATGAGGAGTGTTTGGGGCTCTGTGGGTTAGGTGAGGACACAACCATTATTGTCCTCCTCAATTTAGCATCAAATATAAAGGCTGTTTACCCAACACTATAGATTATTAGCTTACCCAACACAATATATTATTGGCTTTCGTACAATTATTTATACCTTTTAAAATAAACATCAAGAACAAATGAGTATGGAGTGTGTAACAGTCCCGATTTAATTGGGAAAACCTTTCTTACCGAGAGAAGGTTAAGAAAAGGCACCTTTAACAGATTTTTCTCCTTGAACGTCCCTTTCCCTCCCTGCTCTCTGTTCCACCAGAGGGATTCTGTTCCTTCCTTAGAACCCCTCTGTTCCTCCCAGAGGGGTTCTAAGCCCACTTCCAATCATAACGCAGCCAGGTTGTTGCCCTTCTGCTTCCTGGTTTCCTCCTAATGAATGTAAGTGGTATTATATCTCATCTACATTTAAGGTACCAGTGGGGAAAAAGCTAGTTAAAAAAAATCATAAGGCCATGTATAAATGTGAAAGAAGCTGCCATTTTCTGTCCGTCTCAAACTTCTAAAATGTTCTGTTTAGATAATGGAAGAAATATTTTAATGCATTTTATTAGGATTGATAGTGCATATATTGCAGATAAATTACTCTTTAGGGAAAGATTTTGGTGTTGATACATAAGAATCAACCAAAATAAATCACATGTATGTGTGTGTATGTATATACACACATATGTATGACTTATTTATACATACCAATACATACATACATTACATATATAATTACAGATATATAATATATATTACAGATATATAATAGTGTTTTATATATGTTATTATATATAACATATATACATTACAGAGATATATATACACACACACACATTACAGATATATTATATATATACTGGAAGATCTACAATAGCTAAAAATAAGGAGTGGCAAAGTTTACAGACTTTGATTCAAAGTGGCCTTTTAATCCAGTGATAGGGCTTTGTAATTGAGAGCAATGCAAATGACCTTCCAAAATAAAAATGTCCAGTTTCTATTTACTTATTGCATGTAATAATTATGATTAATACCTTTATATTCACATTTTATTACAAGTAAAGAGCACATTAAAATTTCTAGTTCATAGAATAATATTTTTATGAAAAATATTTTCGTGCAGATTAGCTAGCTTTGCTTCAACTGAAATATTGTTTGATTTTATACTCAGTCAAGCCTGGTGCCTGGATTTTACACTGTTTAGGTATAAATATAAATATCCAGAGACCTTCTTTCTAAAAATCCCTGGTTTCAGCTGTTGCCCACAGCATAGATATCTGCTGCCAGGACCATGGGCAACGTGCTTTCTTTTTTCTCACTTGACTTCTGTTTTATTCCTTTGAGAAATTCTTTAATGGATCAGCCTTGGAAACCAGTTTTAAGAGACTTAGAGATAGCCCAGAGGCAAAAGACAATTTGAAGGGATTTTTAGGGCCAGGTCAAGTATCTGCTTGGCTTGTGAGTTTAGTCTTCCAGGAACAGTTCCAGTATCTCCTGCCCACAGCCACCGAGGTCCCACTCAAACTAATCGATTTCCATCATGCATCCCCTAGGCCGACACAGGACAAGTTCTGAGCTGAGCAAAAATACAAAATCTATGAACCCACTGGCATAAGGCTTTGACTTCTCTACATAGATTCTATCTGTGTTTCTTTACAGCTAATTGGGAAAGATTTGGGTGAATGCGTTAAAAAAGAAAACAGACAAGGAACCATCCTGGGTGGCTTTTACATTTTTCTGTTTTTCAAAGTCAAAGAGCTATGTCAGAGGACTCTCAGTCTTTAGGGAATCAGGAATAAGATCACAGAAGAAACATGTTTGTATAATTACACAAGCAGATCATCTCTGTCAACCCTGATTCTATCCCTCCTTCCAACAGTCTTTCAAGGTCTATCTTCCCATCTAGAACCATGTTCTTTCTTGGAGGTAGGGCAGGGTAGGCATTCCTAATGAGGTGCTCTGTCACCAGACATTCTTATCCCCACCTCCAGATCTGTGGCGCTGCCTCAAGTTCTCCTCCTCCTCCCACTTCTTCCTCCTTTCCTCTCCTTCAGTTCACCTTGCAGCCACTACATTTGGTTCTGGTATTTTTTCAAGCCAAGAAATAAGAGTAGAGAAGAGATGAAACAGTACTTTTCAAGGTAGGTGTGTATGTAGGTATGGATATAAAAATGTCAGGGGATAAGAGGCTTCTTCAAACCCTTGTCTAATAATATACGCCCTGGCTGGCCTGTTTCCACCCTGAGAATCACAGCACACACACAAGGCCAGATGTTGGTGATGGGAGCACTGAAGCAGAAAGGAGATGAGGAGACAAGAGAAGAAACGGAGAAGTAGGAAGAGCAACTGGATTCTGGAAAAATAATTTACTATACCAAATTAGAGAATGCAATTATAAAATCAACACTTTTCCCAAGCACCTGATTTCTCTCTAACTCTCTGTTACCTGCACTTAGAAGCACACTCTAAAATAAGCAAAAATGAAGGGCAAAGCAGACGATCCAGTGAACCCAGCAGGGGCTGCAGATTCCTCACATCTGGGCTAGCAGTTGGGGTAAGGATTCATAGAATCAAGTGAGGAAGATGTGAGAAGGGTTTCTCTCCTCAATTCAGTCAAGCCTCTTGCTTTCTCTATTTTATTCCTAAGGATTTCTTAAATCTCTAGTTTTTCCTCTGTTTTTTTTTTTTTTGAGATGGAGTTTCACTCTTGTCGCCCAGGCTAGAGTGCAATGGCATGGTCTTGGCTCACTGCAACCTCTGCCTCCTGGGTTCAAGCAATTCTCGTGCCTCAGCCTCCCAAGTAGCTGAGATTACAGGCGCCCACCACCACACCCAGCTGATTTTTGTATTTTTAGTAGAGATGGAGTTTCACCATGTTGGCCAGGCTGGTCTCAAACTTCTGATCTCAGGTGATCCTCCTGCCTCGGCCTCCCAAAGTGCTGGGATTACAGGCATGAGCCACCACACCTGGCCTAGTTTTTCCATTTTTAATTCTAATCCCAAATCAAGCTACTGTCTTCTCTTCCTAGACAAACACTGAAATATACTCTGGTGTGGTCTTTCCATATCTACACTTGTCCCTTCTTCTCTATTTTTATATCACAGCTTGAGGGATGCATAAAAAATGAAAATGTGAAATACTGCTTCCCTGGAATGGTTTCTCCATGCCCTTAAGAATGAGATCAAAATCCTTAACAATGCCCGTTATCATATAGCTCCTATCTCTCAAAAGCCCTCTAAACTCGAACTATATTCTACCCTCTCACTTGTCCAAATATGCATTATACTTCTTATCTGCCTTGGTCCTGTGTGTATACATAGAATGTTCTTCTGTCTTCCCATCTTTGCCTAATAAATTCTCACTGCATTCCAAGAATATTCCAAAACTCAACTCTAAATACCCCAGATTACCAAGATAAAAAGGACTTTGTATTTTATTAACATCCCAACAATATCTAGCTTCTCATTATAAAGAATGATCTCTTTTCAAACAAAAATATGTCTCTTATGTGGTATTTTAAAAAGCTGATTTAGCAATAAAAGTATTTAAAATAATGCCCAATTAGTTGCAAGTAAGAGAAACCAATTAAAAATAAAGACAAGAAAATTTCTGATAAGGAATTTCAGATCAGAAAAACTCTAAGGGAGAAAGTGATGTTGGCCTTCAGGTGAGACTGGAACCAGGAATGGGAAATCTGTGTGCCCCACCCAAGGAGGCTGCTCTGTCAGCTGCACTCTACCACGGGTCCATGTGAGCTGTGGTGTAGACCTCACCCTCCATACAAAGGCTCTCTTTACCTCTGTAAAGCAGCAGATGGTTGTCCCTGTGCTGAAGTCATATCCCTGCTCACAAACTAGGTGACTAGCTTCTCAGTTTCCCAGTTTCTCATGACAAGAAGAGAGTATCCAACTGACTCAGCTCAAGTCAGCTTTCTGTGTTATATCAGGAAATGGAGACATTGGGAACAAACTTGACCATTGGGTAGGGGATGAAATAGTTCTCAAAGAAGTAAAGGAGTGCAGATATGGACTTGGAAGAAACTCCAAAGGATTTATTCCAAATAAGCACAAGAACAATAGTCATAGTAAATAAATACTTTTAAGCATTATCACATCAATTAGGACATATGTGTATATTTTATATATATAAAATATAATTATACATATATATCTGCCCTAATTGATAGGATAATGCTGAAAAGTATTTACATATTTTATATAAAATATATATTTATATTGTATATGTATATAAATATATAATACATTTTAATACATTATATAATATATGTTTTATATATATTATATATGAACAATTTTATATATAGGAAAATTCAGACTGGCTTTCCTCTCAGGTGAAATTTACTTAGCAACTATGATAGCAAATCATCGGGACTTTGCTGAAGTCACTTTCTCAGATCTTCTGGAAGGTCTACATTGAGTGGGCACCGTAAAAGATTGGTTTATGGCTTGGGTATTTCTTGCATTTTAATAAGGCTTGGAAACTTAGACGTTATTCACTGCAGCTGCCAATCAAGTACTTGTGCAATTCAGGCATATATGTATGTGTGTGTGTGTGTGTGTGTATATATATATATATATATATATATATACACACACATATATGAAATATATGAGATATATAAAAATATATTTTTAGGTTATATATATACCCATATATGCTGTAATTTTATATAAAATTACATGTTTGCCATACCTACTAGGTACTCAGTGGTATAGCACACACTTGTGGTATAAATCTAACCTTGAGAAATGTATGTCTGGTATGCAAGAAAAATTAGCTATCAATTAATTGCAGAATTGATTGAATAAATTAATGCAGAGCATATTTCCATCTAATATTTGTTGAGTGCCTTTGATATGCGTTGTGCTTTCATGAATTTATTAATGAGAAAGCTGTGTTGAGGGATGGGTCAGGTATTGTGCTAGAGATCAGAAAATTGGGGAAATTAATAAGGAAGGCTTCCTGCAGGAGGCAGGTCTTGAGCTGCATTTAAAATGCCGAATGCTTCAACAGCTGGCATTCTGTGATCTGTAGGAATAAGAAAAAAATTAGTACAAAGCAAAGCAAACCTGATTGGCTTTCCCTCAGGTGAAATTTACCTGGCAACTGTAATAGTAAATCACTAGGACTTTGCTCAAGTCACTTTCTCAGATCTTCTGGAAGGCCTGCCTCGAGTGGGCACTGTAAAAGATTGGTTTATGGTTCGGGTATTTGTTACATTTTAATAAGGCTTGGAAACTTAGATGTTATTCACTCCAACCGCCAATCAAGTACTTGCGTAAAAGCAAGACAAACATAACAATAAATGCTAAGCACTCCAGCGTACAGCAACTCTGGCAGGATGTACTGCAGGCTTTATGAATGTATGAGAGTGAATATACAGAAGCTTGGGAAAAGGTCATTGGTATTTTTGGAGCAATAAATCAAGTATGGAAAGATTTGCATTTTGGCTGTATAACATGCAGGACTGGATTAGAGGGAGAGAATACTTTGAAGTAATATTTCTCTGCTGACTTGTTTTATTAGCTTCTTTTAAACATGTTACATTATTGCTTATAGAATTTCATTTACTCGGATTGGCAGCTTGATAAATACGTCTATTGGCGATGATTTGGATTGCTCTGGGCATTAATATTATTAAAACCTGTCACAAGGAAATGTCTGAAAGATGACTTACTGTAAAGATTGCAGCATGAAATAAATCATCCAGTGGTATTTGTTACCATTTATGGCCTCTTGGAGCTGAGTCAATCCCTTTTTATGTTGCATTATTTTTCAAGTTTTTATAGCCTTACATTATATATTGCTGTCAGAAATGAACAGATGGGGTGTCGAACACAGGCTTTCTGAATAATTCCCACCCTCCAGTTATTGGTATGAAGGACAAGTGCAAAACTGCGTTCTCAAGCAAAAAGGAGAGAGAAAGAGGTGGGGAAGTTGCTGTTGAGGAAAGGGATCCCTTTGTCAGATGCTTTAGGCCAATCCCACCAGCTGGTTGGAATCCCTGACTGGCAGTCACCCTGTTTGGGTTTCAAGCAAGAGATGAGGTGGCTGTATCTGGCACCAGCAGCCAAAAACTGCAGTTTTCAAATGCATGTTTTTCCTGAGTGCCTCTTGCTGAGGCATCCACCTCCACATTTGGAGGTAAATGTGTCATATTACTTTTTTCCTAAAAAGCTGAGAAAATAAAAACCTGGTAGAACAAAAAGAAAGATGCACAGAAAGAATTGAATATTCTTTGAGTGAGTGACTAATACTGCAAACATCCTGTTGTTGGGCTTGGGGATGGGACATGAAGGATTCTGAGTAATGTGGATTGCTTTGCAGGGCCCTGGGCATCAATATAAAAAAAAATAAAAGGAGCACCCTGGAAGTTCTCAGCATCTCACAGAGGAGGGAGGAACATGGTGCTCCAAGACTTCCTACACACTGAAGGGCAATGTGCCCTTAGGGGTCATTAGCTGCCGCCACTGACAAGACCGGGCAGCCACTAAACCTTTCGGGAGCCCTTCTACAAAGCTCTGAGGCTTTGCAACCATTGGAGGAGGAGAGAAAGTTAACTCACTAAAAGGCCAGCCAACTGTTTTTTTGTTTGTTTGTTTTTGTTTTTGAGACAGCATCTTGCTCTGTCATCTAGGCTGGAGTGCAGTGGCACCATCATAGCAGACTTGAGCAATCCTCCCACCTCAGCCTCTGGGGTAACTAGTACTACAGTCATGAGCCACCATGCCCAGCTAATTTTTTAAATTTTTGGTAGGGATAGGGTCTCACTCTGTTGCCCACTCTGATTTCAAACTCCTGACCTCAAGTGATCCTCCCACCTTCACTTCCCAAAGCACTGGAGTTAACAGACGTGAGCCATTTCATCTGGCCAAGCCAACCAACTTTTTAAGAGGAGGGGGAAACATGAAATTTTCCTCACCTAGTCTCCACACACACTATGACGTCCATTCTGAGTAGTTGTACAAAGTACTGGCATATTATAGAGGAACAGAAAATAGACACAAACCTGAGTGTCTGGAATTCAAATTCATTGCTCACCATCTTGAGAATTTGAGTGAGTCACTTAATTTCTCTTCATCATAAAATGTGGATAAAAATATTTTTTCCTGCCTACCTCATGGTGTTGCTGGGAAAAGTCAAATCACACACACACACACACACACACACACACACACACACACACACACACATTCAAGTTTACTGGCCCCTACATTTGTCAAAGATAGGTATTTGAGTTACCATGTTATAGCCAGATTCTTACCTTCTCTCCTATAAAGCTCTGCATCTTCACAAGTTTATCAATCTCTGTTACTCATCTCCTCATCCCCAGATCCCTAAATGTTCAGCCCTTTCTCCACCATCTCTTAAAAGTGCTACCTTACTAGGAGCGATTTGCAGACAGTCATCTACAGCCTCTCCAAAAAGAGACCCATTCTCTCTTACCACACCTCTTGACTCCCTTGTCTCAATCATTTCTTCTTTTATGTCATTTCCGAAAGCACCTTTCATATGAGTTTCTATTTGTCTCATTCATGTGAGGATGTCATTTGGATAAGCCCATTTAAAAGTCCATATTTACCAATCACACCTGAAACCAGCAGGGCTGTGGAGGAATGTTTCTTTCCAGGCAAAGTTCACAGCGTTGCTCCTTTTCATTTGAGATCTCATTCTTGAGTAGCACAGAAAGTTTTCTGTCCTTAACCCAGAGACAGAGTGTGTAAAAGGGTGAATTTCAGATAGTTGAGTTTATACAGGCAGTCAATTAGTTATGTATGCAGAGCTAGAATTTCTGTATTCCTGTGAGAGATACCTCTTGCCCCTTCTCTGCCTCTTTTTTCTCATTGCGTCTACAAAAGGACATTTGCATAAACCCCATCGTCCTCACCAAATTGGCAGCACTGAGCCCCCATAGGCTGATACATAAACATTTCACTATTTTTTTTTTTGAGGTGGAGTTTTGCTCTTGTTGCCCAGGCTGGAGTACAGTGGCACGATCTTGGCTCACTGCAACCTCCTCCTCCCAGGTTCAAGCGATTCTCCTGCCTTAGCCTCCTGAGTAGCTGGGATTACAGGCATGCGCCACCACACCCAGCTAATTTTATGTTTTTAGTAGAGATGGGGTTTCTCCATGTTGGTCAGGCTGGTCTCGAACTCCTGACCTCAGGTGATCCTCCCACCTCGGCCTCCCAAACTGCTGGGATTACAGGCGTGAGCCACCAGGCCCACCCGCCACATTTGTTTAACTGTTAAATATTGCATCATTCTATAAAATATGCATTTCTCTTTTTTCTTTCTTCTCCTTCCCTTCCTTTTCTATCCATCTCTTTTTTGCCTTCCTTATCTTTTGCATTTCATTTACTTTTACAAAGATATATTGAATGAGTCATCAAAGTTCTTAGCATCTTCTGAATAAGCATCATGATGTCTGTGTTTCCACATAGTAATTTTCTTGTCTCATGAGAGGTTAAAATTCACCAGGCTGAACAATCAGTGAATTACCTTTTCTTTCCTCTGGACATTTAGCATGAACCAGCCATCAATGTTCTCTCACCATGCTGAGAAAGTTGATGCTCACCAATTTCCTCTTCAGTTGGTGACCTATCATGCTTTAAAGAAGAGACACGTGGCACTAGGCTTGATGTCTGGCTCACTTAGTAACTGGCAGTCATATATTCTTTCCAGGCTAAATCCCCTATCTGTGAAATTAGAGAGAAAATGAGACATAATCATCTAAGCTTTGAACTTTATCATTTACTCCTGTTCCCGCTGTCATATCTAGAAACAACCTCAGGGTAACTAATTTCTCCTTGTTGTGCTTTGCCTTTTCTGGGAGGAAAGACTTCCACTGGCTTGGCAACATGGTTCATGCCTGTAATCCCAGCACTTGGGAAGGCAGAGGTGGGAGGATCACTTGAGCCCAGGAGTTCAAGACCAGCCTGGGCAACATGGTGAAACCCTGTCTCTACAAAAAAAGAAAACCACAAAAATTAGCCAGGTGTGATGGCTCATGCCTGTAGTCCCAGCTACTTGGGAGGCTGATGTGGGAGGATCATTTGAGCCCAGGAGGTCGAGGCTGCAGTGAGCTGAGATGATGTCACTGCACTCCAGCCTGGATTGCAGAGCCAGACCCTGTCTCAAAAAAAAGACTTCTGCTGATTATAGTTGCCAAATATCTGTGTCCAATCAGTTGCAAAATACTACCTCATGCAGAGTTCATAAATCCTCTTCCTTCTCCTAGTTTAGCTTTCATTTTAAAAAGTTATCATAAACTCACTAAAACCATTAATTCATGTGTTAAACTATCTGAAAGGTAGGGATGCTTCTTCAGTGTGTTGGGTGTGGGGTTGGGAAGACTTGCAACTTTGACCCAGAGTGACCTGAGATAACGAAGTTTCATAGTAATGGCTAATTACTGTTACCCACCTCTTTATTATTAATTCCACAATTCCGGCACATAAAATAACTTAATCATTTTCAGAATTTGCATGACTAATGGAGTGAGTTCTGATAGAATAAGGATAAGTTTCATAATTAGGTTTTGCTGGGAACTTGTGCAAACCAGTCTATTTATAATTTGGTCAGCTCCTGATTTTTAATGAGGACATTGAGAGGGACTAAAGCCTCTGGCAGCATTCACTTCATATTTTAATTACCCACAGTAATTCTGACAATTACACATATGTCATAAATCACATCATAATGACCCGTGAAGCAAATGTATTTAATTACTGAAAGGGGAGTTTTCAGGTTAAATGCGTGGCAGGGTATGCCGTGATGTGAGCCACATTTGAAAACCAGTAGCCGGGCGCGGTGGCTCATGCCTGTAATCCCAGCACTTTGGGAGTCTGAGGTGGGTGGATCACCTGAGGTCAGGAGTTCCAGACCAGTCTGGCCAACATGGTGAAACCATGTCTCTACTAAAAGTACAAAAATTAGCCAGGTATGGTGGTGCACACCTGTACTCCCAGCTACTCTGGAGGCTGAGGCAGTAGAATCGCTTGAACCCAGGAGGTGGAGGTTGCAGTGAGCCAAGATTGAGCCACTGGACTTCTGGGTAACAGAGCCTGGGTAACAGAGTGAGGCTTCATCTCAAAAAAATAAAAAATAAAAATAAAAACCAGGAAAAAAAAAAGAAAGAAAACCAAGCCTCTTGATTCTGTGGCCTAGGAGAAGCAGTCTTAGTGAATAAGGAAAGCTGTGGTTGAATTTCCAGTTTTAACTCTGGCTTGTAAAGATCTTTGAAGTCATCACTCCTGTCCTTACAATAACAAAAAAACTAAACAAACTGAAAATTGGAGACTTTTCTTGGCCCATCAGTGAAACTGAGGTTATAGGGCAAAATCCAGAAATGTGGAGAATCGCAGCTGAGATCTGCTCACTGGGGGAAGCACTGAAGCTGTAAACTAGTAGGAATATTTACATGATAACTGGGATAAATTACTAGAGGCTGAGTGTGGATAAGGTATAGAATGAGAAACTCCTGGGGGCACACTTTGGAGGGTTTTGCCTTCAGAAATCCTACCAGGCTCTAGGAATTTTCCAATGAAAGGCCTAGAAAAAGTCCCTCAGAGACTGGCAGGGTGAGAGAAAAAGTAACCATTGTGAAATAACAACCAGTGGCCGGATACGATGGCTCACGCCTATAATCCTAGCACTTTGGGAGGCCGAGGCGGGCAGATCCCCTGAGGTCAGGAGTTGAAGACCAGCCCGACCAACATGATGAAACCCCGTCTTTAGTAAAAATACAAAAATTAGCAGGGCATGTTGGTGGGTGCCCATAATTCCAGCTACTGGGGAGGCTGAAGCAGGAGAATCGCTTAAAGCCAGGAGAAGGAGGTTGCAGTGTGTGAGATCGCACCACTGCACTCCAGCCTGGGCAACAGAGCAAAACTCTGTCTCAAATTAAAAAAATAAAAAAAACTGAAGTCAGGAGTTCGAGACCAGCCTGGCCAACATGGCGAAACCACATCTCTACTAAAAATACAAAAATTAACTGGTCATGGTGGTGGGCGCTTGTAATCCCAGCTATTCTGGAGGCCGAGGCAGGAGAATCTCTTGAACCCAGGAGGTGGAGGTTGTGGTGAGCCAAGATTGTGCCATTGCACCCCAGCTTGGGAGACAGAGCAAGACTCTGTCTAAAAAAAAAGAAAAAGGAAAAAAGAAATACAATCAGAGCATTCTCCATTACAAGGACCTGCTCTCCAGGGAAAAAATACTTTCCCAGGGCTTTGCCTCAGCTGAGGGAATGGCATGTCTCCTACTCTACCCCTGTATCACCTGAAGAAGAAAGGAGAAACATGGGGAGTTAAGATCCATGCTGATGGTCACAGCCTCCAAAAACAGACCCACGAAAAATCTGAGACTTCATCATACAATCATATAATCTTCCCGTATCCCACACATTACCACCACACCAATAGGGCTTCAGTATCACAAAAGTGAATTATAGTTGAAAGAGGTGCAAGGAACAGATTATTCAAGAAGGAGTTCTTAGGAAAACCCAAAGACAACAAAGTAGACAAAAGCAATGACACTAGAGGAATTTAGAGCCTCTGAAAACTGCAGCTACAGCAAACAAACAGTGCAATTCCTAGCTAGATTAACATAAAACCTCACACTGAACACCTATTTACCTCAGTTCTTATTATCCAATATAACATATCCTATTGTAAAACAAAATTGCAAAGAATGCAAAAAGCCAAAAACAAAACAAAACTCTCTCTGAGATGTTCAATTTAAAACCACACCATTTATAAATTCGGAAAGGAGACTTTATTTCTTGTAAAAGGTTACAGCCTGTAAGGTGGCCATCCCACAAGCCGGGAAGTGTGCCTCCAGAAAAAAACAGAAACAGGAATTTCAAAGGAGAAGGGGTTGAGGTAGGAGATTTATGTTGAACAGGTTGGCAAAACAAACGTATTCAACAGGTTACAGGAAGAGCTATGGATATGCATGCAACATAAGACCCATGTTTACCTTGGGGTGGAGACTTAATATTTTTTTAATGTCAGCTTTAGGGGTACAAGTGGTTTTTTGGTTATATGGATGAATTGCATCGTGGTGAAGTCTGAAATTTTAGTGTACCTGTCACCAAAGCAGTATGCATTGTACCCAATATGTAGTTTTTTATCCCTCATCCTCCTCCCAATGTCCCCCTTCTGAATCTTCAGTATCCCTTATACCACTCTGTATGCCTTTGCATACCCATAGCTTAGCTCCCACTTAGAAGTCAGAACATACAGTATTTGGTTTTCCATTACTGAGTTACTTCACTTAGAATAATGGACTCTACTTTCATCCAAGTTGTGACAAAATACATTATTTTGTTTTTTTTATGGCTGTGTAGTATTCCATGGTGTATATATACCACGTTTTCTTTATCCACTCATCAGTTGATAAGCACATAGGTTGTTTCCATATCTTTACAATTGTGAATTATGCTGCAATAAACATATGTGTGCAGGGGTCTTTTTGACATAATTACTTATATTGCCTTTGGGTAGATACCCAGCAGTGGGATTGCTGAATTGAATGGTAGATCTGCTTGTGGTTCTCTAAGAAATCTCCACACTGTTTTCCATACAGATTGTACTAATTTACATTCCCACCAACCGTGTAGAAGCATTCCCTTTTTGCCACATCCACTGTTTTTTGACTTTTAATAATGGCTATTCTGGCTGGAGTAAAGGTGATATCTCATTGTGGTTTTAATTTGCATTTATCTGATGATTAGTTGAGCATTTTTCTGAAAACGTTGAGCATTTTTTCACATGTTTATTGGCCATTTGTTTTTTTTTGTTTTTTTTTTTTTTTTTGGAGAAATGAGACATTTAAATGTATCACAACTAGGCCCTAAACATCAAAATGCCTTTTCAGGGCATGAAGGCATGTAAGAGTGTATCTTCTGGAAACCGGCCAGAACCAATCCATGGTTGATGGTCTTCTTATCTGTAGAAAGTGCTGAAATCAGTCTCTTGTCCAATAAAAGCTGTAGTTATGGCTGGTAGAACAGAGATTAGTTAGTCAGAATGTGGTGGTGAACTACAAATTGTTTTAATATTGCTCATCTTGAGGTCAGTGCTTGTTTAGCTGCTAGAGAAACAAACAAAAAGCTTTGTGGCAGTTAGAATGTCATTTATTTCTTAGGTGTAGGGTACATGACTTAACCCTTGCCTAGAATGGCCTTAAGTTCCATTTGTAATTTGGTATCTTATTGCCACAAAGTGTCTGTTCTGTCAGTCTTATAATCTCTATTTTAACATTAATACTAGTCAGTAGTTATGTTGAAACAATAGAAGGGACGGGGGTATCATGAGGCTCATCTAATCTCCTCTCCTGTCATGGCTGGGAACTCAGTTTTTAAAGATTTTTCTGGGTTGCCCTTGTCCAAGAGGGAGTCTGTTCAGTTGGTCGGGGAAAGGGGGATTTAGAATTTTATTTTTATTTTATAGAGGAGAAAAACCAAGTAACAGAAACAAACTAAGAGATGATGCCAATTTGGAATTATCAGAATTTGAAATAAGTATGATTAATATGTTAAAGACTCTGATAGAAAACATAGACAACATGGAACAACGAATGGACAATGTAAGCAGAGAGGTAGAAATCCTAAGAAATAATCAAAGGAAATACTAGAAATCAAAACCACAGTAACAGAAATAGAAAATGCCTTGATTGGCTCACCAGTAGACTGGACAGTGTGAAAAGGAGAGTAGCTTTTCCTGCCACTCCTCCCTCCCCCACAACACCACTCTGGCTGCACCGTGCTCTGAACTCCAGGCTTCTGCTAAGCTAGTGCCACCTTCATCTCCCTTCAGCCCCATCACGATTATCTTCCAGGACCTCATCAGCCACAATGAGATGTTCTCTGACATTTACAAGATCTGGGAGATCACAAATGGGCTGTGCCTGGAAGTGGAGCAGAAGATGCTCAGTAAGACAACAGGGAACACTGATGACTCACTCATTGGCAGAAATTCCTCCTCTGAAAGTACTGAGGATGAAGTTACTGAAAGCACGATAATCACTAGTGTTGATATTGTTACAAACCATCACTTGCAGGAAAGCATCTTCACAAAAGAAGCCTACAAGAAGTATATCAAAGATTACATGAAATCAATCAACGAAAAACTTGAAGAACAGAGACCAGAAAGAGTGAAACTTTTTATAACAGGAATGAAGAACAAATCAAGCACATCTTTGCTAATTTTAAAAACTACTAGTTCCATTTTTTTTTCTTTTTGAGATAGGGTCTCGCTCTGTCACCCAGGCTGGAGTGCAGTGGCACAATCACAGCTCACTGCAATTTCTGCCTCCTTTGTTCAAGTGATTCTCCTGCCTCAGTCTCTTCAGTAGCTGAGATTACAGGCATACACCACCATGCCCAGCTAATTATTGTATTTTTAGTAGAGACAGGGTTTCACCATGTTGGCCAGGCTGATCTCGAACTCCTGACCTCAAGTGATCCACCTGCTTTGGCCTTCCAAAGTGCTTGGATTACAGGTATGAGCCATATGCCCAGCAAAACTACCAGTTCTTTATTGGTGAAAACCTAAATCCACCTGGCATGGTTGCTCTGCTGAACTACCGTAAGGATGGTCAGTATGACCCCATATATGATTTTTTAAGGAATGGTTTAGAAATTAAAAGATGTTAAGAAATTTGGTAATTACTTTGGATCTATCACCTGTCATCATAACTGGCTGCCACTTGTCATCAACACAACACCAGAGATTAAGACAAATGAGACTGATGTCATCTTGAGCTTTTTAATTGTTTTGACTCTGACTTATTTGGTGTGGAGGCATCACTTTTAAGGAAAAAAAAACTTGTCATGTAGATTGTCTAAAAATAAAATGCATTTAAACTAAGAAAGAGAGGGAATAAGTACTCTTGAGGATACATCTTCAGAAATTTTCCAAACTGATATAAAAGGGCATAAAGAAGAATACAAAATAAGAACAATATCAAAAGAAAGTGGGACAAATTTAAAATGTGAATATATGCATAACTGGAATATGAGGAGGAGAAAGAAAAATGGAGAAGAAGAAATGTTTGAAGTAATAGTAGCTGAGACCTTTCTAAAATTAATAATGCCAACCCACAGACCTGGAAAGCTCAGAAAACAGGTAGGATACATAACAAAATATATACAACTATGCATATCATATTCAAACTGCTAAGAAAAAAAAGAGAAAATTGCAAAAGAACCCAAATGAAAAGAAGTCATCTTGCCCATGGAGAAACACGGAAAATAATTATAGTTGTCTTTTTGTCAGAAACCATAAGTAAGAACAGAGTGAAGTGAATTAAAGTATTGAAAGAAAAAACCCCATCAACCTAAAATCCTATTTGCAGTAAAATTTTTCTTCAAAATTGAAGGAAACAGGCAGACTTCCTCAAACAAATTTTCTTCAAAATTGAAGGAAACAGGCAGACTTCCTCAAACAAAAACTGAGGCAGTTTATCACCAGCAGGCTTACCCTAGAAGAAATGTCAAAAGATGGTAAGAAAGCCTTCAGGCAGAAGGAAAATTATATAGATCAGAAACTGAGATCTATATAAAGAATATTCAAGACAGAATAAATGAATTAATTTTTTTTATTTTTAATTGACTTAAAATATAACTGTTTAAGGTATTAATAGTAAAATTGTATGAGGTGACCAATATACCTAGATACTTGAAATGAATGACAGCAGCATCATAAGAGATGGAAAGGATGAGTTGGAAATACTCTGCAATAAGCTACATGCACTATACATTAGGCAGTGTAGTGTTTTTCAAAGAGAAACTTAAATCAGTTAAAAATATATATTGCAAATTTGAGGTCAACTCCTAATTTAAAAAAATATATATAAGTGTTGTGTTGTGCTACAAAAAGAGATAAAATGAAATCATATAAAATGCTCAATCAAAACCAGAGAAGACAGGAAAGAAAGAACAAATGTAACAAATTAGAAAACAGTTACAAATGTGGTAGACATTAATCCAACCATATCAACAATCTTTTCAATATGAGTGGCATAAATACAATTAAAAGACAGCTATTGTTAGAGTTGATAAAGAAACAAGATTCAACATGTGCTATATATAAGAAATCTACTTTTAATATAAATATTTGGACAGATTAAAAATAAAATAATGAAGAAAGATAAATCATGCTAACACTTATTACCTTTTTTCTTGATGTCTATTGTGTTTATTATTAGTATAGCCACTACAGTTCTCCTTTAATTACTATTTTCATGCCGTTATTTTCCATCCTTTTACTTTCAACCTATTTTTGCTTTGAATCTAAATTGTGTCTCTTGTAAATGAAATACATATTTTATGAATATTATTACAACCTCTGTATTTTTATTAGTGTAATCTATTTATACCTAAATTGATTATGAATAATGAAGCATTTAAGTCTGCTATTTGGTATTTTTTATATATGTCTCTTGTCTGTTTTTAATCTATTCCACCATTACTGCCTTATTTTATTGTTAAATAGATATTTTCTATTGTACCATTTTAATTCTCTTGTGATTTCTTTTAGAGTATTTTTATTTTATTAGTGGTTGCCTTGGAGATTACAATTAACACCTTATAGCAATATAGTTCATATTAATACTGTCTTATTTTCACTAGTACATAACTATTTTACTTCTATGTAGCTCCATTTCTTTGCCCAACTTTATGCTATGATTATCATACAAATTACATCTTTATAATATTATAGGTTCATCAACACAATCCTATAACTGCTTTGCAAACTTGTATTTTAAGTCAGACAAGATAATACAAAAGGATGGATGGATGGATGCTTGGAAGAATGGATGGATGGATGGACTGATGCATAGAGAGATAATACTATCTTTCCTATTTACCTATGTAATTAATTTTACTGACACTCTGTTTCTTAATGTGGATGCAAGTTAATGTTTGTCATCCTTTCATTTCAGCCTAAAGGAATTGTAATACTCTTTAGTATCGTTTGTAATAAAAGTTTGCAAACAACAATTCTGGCCATTTTTCTTCATCTGAAAATGTCTCCATTTCTTCATCATTTTTGAATAATACTTTGTTGGATATAGAATTCTTAACTGATAAGCCTTTTTTTTGAGAACTTTATATATGTTCTTCCACTGCCTTCTGGCTTTCATGGTTTCTGATGAGAAATTAGCTGTTAATCTTATTAAGGATCCCTTGTAGATGCTGAGTTGCTTTTTACTTGCTGCTTTCAAGATTCCTCTTTGCCCTTGGCTCTGAACAATTTGATTATGGTATATCCAGGTCTGAATCTCTTTGAGATTACTCTACTTTAAACTTCCTTTAGCTGCTTAGATATGTAAGTTAATGTTTTCATTAAATATGTAAAATTTGTGTCCATTATCTAAGTACTCTTTCTTCTTTCTCTCTCTCCCCCATTTCTGAAACTCCCATTTTGTGTATGTTGATACACTTGATGATGTCCCACAGTTTTCTGAAGCTTCTGTGTATATTTCTTCAATAGGTTTTTATTTCTATTTTTCTGACTGCATTATCTCCATTGACTTATATTCAAGCTCATTTATTCCTTCTTCTGCCAACTCAGATCTGCTGCTGAGCTCCTTCACTAAAATTTTCTTTTCAGTTATTGTACTTCTTAACTCCAGAATTTCCATTTGTTTTTTTCTTATAATCTATCTCCTCACTGATATTTTGTATTCAGTGCTATATTGTTCTCATACTTTTCTTTAGTTCTTTAAAAATGGTTTCAGTTAGTCCTTTAAATATATTTATAATGGCTCTTATAAAATCTTTGCCTAGAAAGTCTGGGCTTCCTTCCGGACAGTTTCTATTGGTGTTCCCACCCCCCACCCCCCACCAGGTATGGTCCATACTTACTGTGTCTTTGTGTCTCATAATTTTTTGTTGAAAGCCAGGCATTTTAAATAATATTATATGACAACTCTACAAACTATTTTGCTATGGTTTATTGTATATTGACACTTAAATCTCTACTCAGCTTTATGATCAGCTAATGATTGCACTGAGATTTCCTTAAATGCCTTGAACTGATAAGTCTTCTTATATTTGCCAAGGGATTCTGTGTGCATGTTGAGGTAATTCCTTTGACACTTTAGCAGTTTACATCTTTGCCTAAGCCTTCATTTTTGGTTTGTGCAGTCTCAAGATCAGCCAGAAGAGATTAGGAATACCTCAGGTTTTTTTTCCCCTGGGTGTATTTACAACTCTGCACATGCACATGGTTTTATTTTTATTCAGTTTCCTACAGTGAATGTTTCAAAACCTTTTAATACCCTCTATAGAAGTCTGTTATTTTCTTTTGTTTTATTTGAGACAGAGTCTTGCTTTGTCACCCAGGACAGCATGCAGTGGCATGATCTCAGCTCACTGCAACATCTGCCTCCTGGGATCAAGCAATTCTCCTGACTCAGCCTCTCAAGTAGCTGTTATTACAGGTGTGAGCCACCATGCCTAGCTACTTTTTGTTTTTTTTTGTTTTTTTTTTGTAAAGATGAGGTTTCGCCATGTTGCCCAGGTTAGTCTTGAACTCCTGGCCTCTGGTGATCCACCTGCTTCAGCCTCCCAAAGTGCTGGGATTACAGGCATGAGCCACCACATCTGGCCCTCTCTATAGACTTCTAATTCTCCAGCTTTTTCTTTTGAAGATTTTTATGGGTCTTTTTTTTTTTTGCGACATTGTTAACTATAACTCAGATATTTGCAATTTAAAAAAATTACTGCTGATTATTTTTTTAAAATGCCTCCGGAAAAATTCCACTGAGAAAACTCCCAGGCCAAATAAAGATAAGCCCTGTGAGTGTGCACTTCCAGGGAGCTGCTAGAAAGCTCAAATAGTAACATATTCTGTGAATAAGGATATTTAACAGCTTCAGATCTATTTTTTCTCTCTGGTGGCTGCTAGACTGCTGGTTTTCAGAGCTACTGTTATTGTAAGGCTTCTGATCTTGATGGCTACTGTTGAACTAAAGATAGTGGAATGGGAATAGCACTTCTCAAAAATGCCATGAAGCTTATTGTTCTTACCAAGATCTCACCATTTTTCTTAAACAAATACTCCTCATATTGTTTCAAGTCTCCAGTTTATTTCCAGAACTCTGAAGATGTTGATTTTGATAATTTTTTTGTCAATATTCTCATTGCTTGTGTAGAATAGTGAATATTCAAAGGCCCTAACTCTGCCATTCTGGAAGAATGTCCCTTGTAGTTACTTTTTATAGTTATTTTTCATCTTCCTATTAAACTTGTAATGGTCCCTTAACCTGGTTTAAGACCATCTCTTTGCAGCAACGCCTTCCTTCATCTCTAACTTGACACTTTTAATCTGCAAGCCAAAAATCCAAAAATGTTAGAAATATAGATAATTCATGAAAAAATTTTCGATTAACAAATGCCACTGAGTATTTGTGATATCTTTGGTCTATGCAAATGCTATTTTAAAATGATGTCAGGCTGCTTTCTAGATTAGAAGTCAAAATCCACTTCACTACCTGTTTTTATATGGTTTGCCATACAAAAGCATTGTGCTTAATTTCAATGAAAGTATACTGTGGTAAAAGACTACAATATATGTTGATATTATCAAACTTGGCACTTATCACAATATTCTCAATTCATGGTAAAGCCATGGTTAGAAAAATTATAAAATTTTAAAAGAACATCTTAGCACAGCAGAATTTGTAATCAAAGTTTGTTTCTGAGTGACTCACTTGTTAGCCAAGCAAGAGAAGTCATTTACTAATGGTGAATCAATTAAATTGTGTTTGATTGCAGCAGATGAAAAAATGTATCCAGACAAAATAAAACTACCTAGTACTATTAACCTTTCAGCAAAAATCACTGCTGGAAGAATTGAAGACATCAGAAGCAATATCAATATCACTTAAAAATGAGGAAAATAGTTGTGAGTGGTTTCTCTCAGCTTTTAATATGTTAACATATGTTACTGATACAGCTTAGTTATTATTTATTCAAGGAGTCAAGGCAGAGTCTGAAGTACCTAAATGGCCTCTGTGAATAGTCTGCATGGCACAACTACCTGTGAAAATATATTCAAAGAAGTTGAGAAAATATTAATTCAGTATAATCTGAAGCGGAATCTGCTAAGATGTATTACAGATGATACAAAAATACATGTAGACCAGAAACAGTCCTAGTTAGACAAATTTACAAAGTTCGTAAAATGTAAAATGCATAAAGACTATAGTCCTTATTGTGTTATCCATCAGAAAGTATTTTGTGAATAATATATTAATTTATCATGAGTTATTGAACCAGAAGTGTCAATGGTGAATTTTATTAGCTCTCATGAACTTTGCCATTGTTAGTTCCATAAAGTTTTGTAAGAAATAAAATCTGAATATCCTGACTTACCCTACTACACATCAGTTTAAGAACTTAACAATAGTAAAGTTTTTTGTGATTTTTTTTTTTTGGAAACAGAATCTCACTCTGTCACCCAGACAGAGTGGGTGCAGTGGCACAATCTCAGCTCACTGCCCCCCCAGTTCAAGTGAGTCTTCTGCCTCAGACTTCCAAGTAACTGGGATTACAGGCACTGACCACCACGCCCAGCTAATTTTTATATTTTTAGTAGAGATGGGGTTTCACCATGTTGTCCAGGCTGGTCTCAAACACCTGGCCTTAAGTAATCTGCCCCCCTCAGCCTCCCAAAGTGCTGGGATTGCAAGCATGAGCCACTGTACCTGGCCTTTTGTGTTATTTTAAAAACCTGGATCAAGATTAAAATGTTTCTGAATAAGAAGAACTGTGCTGTCAACCACTATTTCCGAACACTAAATGACTTCAAAACTTATTATTCACTGCAGGTTTCATCATCTCTATTAACAAATTTAAACTTGAAAGTCAAAGCAGAGCTAACATGTGAAACTTATACTATCATAATTACAATGACAATTATCAATCTTTGAATCACAATTAATGTCATTCTTCTTTATATACTTCCCATGCTGTCAAAAGTTAAAATAAAAAATGAGATTACTATTTCCACACAAATTTTCTGTAGATATATTTTCTGATCTCAGTTTCAGCATTGTCATTTTAGACCTTGATGCAAGTGCTAAAAAAATTCTATATTTCAAAGTTTACTTAACAATGCAACTGAGAAGTTTCTACCTAAACTTTCATTGCAAGTGATTAATCTGCAACATAATGACATACTAAAAGGCAAATATCAAAAGAAGAATCTAATAAAATTCTATAAATGCCTTCTAAGCAATAAATATACTCAATTATTATAGAATCTTATGCTCTTGGAGCACTATTGGTATTTGATAGTACCTATCTGTGTGAAAAGACTTTTTCAAAGATAAAATATGTTAAATTTTGTTGTTGTTAACATTAACATATGAACATTTGCAATTAATTTTGATTATAGAGAATATTAACTATGAATGCCAATTTTTAAAAATCCCTTAAAAATTATTTTTTTATTAGTAGACCTATAATTTAAGAAATTTAAATTACTAAACTATTATATTTTAAATATCATCAATGAATATTTATAAAAACTTATTTTCTTTCTTGTTATGTAAGTACCTACATGATATCGATTTAGCCTCTTGGCCTGAAGAGCTTAAAATATTATATCTAGCCCTTTGCAAAATAAAATTTGTCAACTCTGTTCTAGATAGTTAAGATGAACAGTATCACATCAGATGTCTGGAAACAATAGTCAAAGATTAGATTTATGATAATTTGATAAGAGCAATAATTTTCATTCCAAATTATTAATAAATGTTTTGAGTTTAGATTAATAGGTTGTTGGAAAATTCAGAAAAGTAGGGGTAAATAATACTTTTAAAGAGAAATTGACTCAATTATATAATCTCAATTTTCCATGGAAACAAAAAGTAATAGTACAGCAGATAAAGGAATCAAATAATAGAATGCGATGATCTTTAAGACATCTAAAATTTGGTGTGTTTACTGTTGGACTTTTACCCCTGGAACTCTGAGAAAGAAGGTCCGTTCCTTTGAGGTGATCAAATAGAAGAGGTTGGAGGAAGATTTCAGAGAACATGCAGTTTATTTTCTTTTTCACACAGTAAAAAGAGCTTAGACATGATTGGGAATCTATTTCAATGGAGCTTTTGATATGAAAAAGAAAGAGATTATAGGAAAACATTTCTTCTTGCAAAATAATCAAGAAACTGATCACCAGGAAGTGAGATATTATTTATATTTGTATTAAGATAGTTTCATACAGATGCCAATTTATTCTAGTCTATAAAAGCCAAGGTTGATTACCTAAAAAACTTTCACAGTACACAATTTTTCATCTTCCATTTACTCCACAAGATCAGTAAAGAGAGATGCATGTGCTTCTGCCTGAGTTATAACTAGTGGTGAACCATGGGGTGATTTTGTTCTTGCTATGGGACAATAGCAAAAAGAGTCTGAGTCAAAACTCACTTATCAGCATGCACAGTGGTTCCACTGTGCAGACATTTGATTATACATAAGACAGAATTTTATTGCCAAAAGCTGTGTGTGTGTGTGTTTGGTGGTGATTTTCAAATTGTAGAACAATTTCCATAAAATTTATAGAATCATTCTCTCTCTCTCCCTCTCTCTCTCCCTCTATTGTAGAAAAATTCCCATAAAATTTATAGAATCATTCTCTCTCTTTTTCTCTGTCTATCTTTTTTCTCTCCCCCCATAAATGGCTGCAACTAAGTACAAAACATTTACAAGGAAATAAATGACTTCCAGTATTTCCCTCTGGAGCTTTAGAATAAGAAGTGGAACATCTAAATAGTTTCTTGATGCAACAGGTCTTAGCTTCAAGGAATCCAAATATGAATGTCACCAAGAGCCACACATCAGGAAAGCTGAGGAATTAATGACCTTTAGAAACTCCATTTCAAATTAGAGGTGAACAGAGCAGGGTGAATATCCTCCTTCTTACCCCTTTTCATTTTCATTCACCTTTAATTTAAAAAACTAAAGCACAGGAAACATCTAAGCATGAGTGCCCCTGCCTTATGGAGGCTATCTCACCCTGCACTTCTACGGCCCACTAAAAAATTCTGACGCTTACCTTTCATCCCTAGTCACAGACCTACACTAATCACATCTTCTTGTTAAAGAACACTGTCCATAACCTTTTCCCTCCCACAAGAGACTTCTAATTTTAACTTTTCATCTTTAATCAAGGCATGCCTCCTTTTAAAAATAGCCATTGTGTAACACACAGATGGGGAGGACTCCATGTCGTGAGTGATCCCAAATGGCCTCCATCTCCATTATCTCCATTGCTTCTTGATAGGTCGCTGGTACTAAGTAAAATGTTGTAACACTCAGGATGCCTGTATTCACAGGCTTTCCTCCAGTGATGGCTTCCAGATGTGAGGAAATTTTTAAAGTTTGTGGTCCTCAATGCATCATTGGGTCCTTCCAATGTTTTCAAAAATCCATAATCACCAGCACACTATGTTGACTCCATTTCAACATTCAGCCACAGGGATTTCAGAGAAACTAAGCAATATGGATAAGAAGACTTCACAAATAACTTCCTATTTCTAGAGAAAAGACATTAAAATATTCATATACCCTGCAATTATTTTAATTTCCTCTGCAGTGTTTGATACCTGCCCCCTGTATCCCTCTCTCACATACATAAACACGTGCACCTCACACCAGTAACATTTTGATGGGTGCTATTGTTTCCAGTCCCAATTCCTTTTGGGGGTTATTAATGTTAATAATTTTCCAGGCCAAGCCTCCCAACCCACTGCATAAGGAAAGCATTTATGTCATGTTGAACCCTGACCTGAACTCAATCCCATAAAACCTTGGGAAGTGGATCAATACAATGAAAAGGGAGGTAGTTTTCAGATATCTCATGCTCCGATTCCCCATCTCCATACCCCACCAAAAAGGAAAAAAGAAAAAAAAAATAGTCTTGTGTCTGAAATTTGCATTTGTTTCAGTAATGCGTTTTAGGATTGAAAGTGTCAGAGTAACTGACTTCATTGTTCAGGTCCTTGTCCAATACACAAAGAAAACCTTATGCCAACAACTGTCTATGGGAGGGAAGTATTTTTTATTTAGATCAACTTCTACACTTACTATGCAAGTTGATATTTAGAAAGTGTTGGAGAGTGTGGGAAAGAGCACCTAAAACTACAACCTTATGCTGAAAAAAATTGGCTGAAGAAATTGCTATCATGAGGATTGAGACTTGCCCTGAGCTGAGGGCACAGACTCTGACTTTTATTAAAGGTACCTGCTGCTCTGGGTCATGTCTCATCTGTACTAACATTGTAGAAAATTCCAAATGCAATTTCCATGAAATATAAAGGGATTTAAATGAGGGTTCATCTGCAGAATGGGTGAGAAAGAGGGAAATTGTCTTTTTATCTTTCTCTTTTCATCTGGTAACAATTTATACTCAGAGATGCCTATACAAATTCATAGAAAAAGCGCTGCAGAAAAGCTGTCAGTTTTTACTCATCAGAAATAAAGCAAAGCTTAACAGAGAGAAGTTCAAATATGGGCTTAGATGTGGGTTTATCTAATAGAAACTCTATCCTAGTCTTGCCTCACCTGGGCTGGGGCCACTCTGATCTTGGGTCTAACTTCTAAGCTAGAAGATAGAAAAAAAAAATGCCTTCGTGGAGATTTTAGATTGTAAACATTGAAAACAGAGGCCATGAGTTTGACAGAGCC
The DNA here is from genome assembly GCF_000001405.40 of Homo sapiens. Classification (NCBI taxonomy): domain Eukaryota; kingdom Metazoa; phylum Chordata; class Mammalia; order Primates; family Hominidae; genus Homo; species Homo sapiens. The sequence continues at coordinate 36,899,361 of NC_000008.11, forward strand.
CATCTGTAAAGCAGCATTTAAAGGCAAACAGAACACTCTGCTCACAGCTGATCTTGTTTACCTTAGAACACAGTTTACATTCTCCTACGTAAACTGAAATAAGATTATACTGAATAGAATGATATCCTGAATTTTCATATACCTCCTTTTAAAAACACCATTTACAGATGTTTTTTAAATCATACCTATTATCTCTACTATTAAAGTTTATAATTTAATAATGACTTCATGAAGACTCTGTGTATGCAAAGAATCAGGAGAGACCAGGAAGCAGAGAGAGAGGTTGAAGAATACATAGCCTGTTTATCTTAAAACATTTCAGGGCTATTGGCCACCTAGCTGTCTTCTCTGTCTTCTCTTCCATTAAACATCAGCAGAACTCTTCAATAAACACAGAGGTGTAGAAAGTTTTCTGCACAACATGGAAGGCTTTCTAGGCATGATATTTCAAGTGTTTTATTCTTTCTTTCCTCCTCTTCCTCCCAGAGAGCTTTTCAAATTAGCACAAACAAGTATCGCCATTTGGGCAACAGAGTGACCAGTTTTAACCCTGAAAGTCTCCATGTCCTGGGAAACCCAAGCAAAGCAGAATGGCCGGTAGACAGTGTGTTTATTTTCCTCTTCCCAGATGGTTTCCTAAGGTTTTCCCAGATGGCAACCAAGGGGGCTTGGTGCTTTGGAAGTAACCAGGCTGCTGTCAACGTATGTCACATCCCATGAGATTTCATGGCAGGTCTTTTTAAAATTTTACCCGGTAAAGGAGTAACAGCAAGGATTAAGTGGCTAAGCTGGATGCAAGACACAGAGCCTGGTGCCTATTTCACTCCTCATGGAAAAGGAAGGAATCGCAGAGGCCTTTCTAACAGGGAGGGTGAATTATGTCCCCAGTTGCTTGGTCCTGAAAGTTTCTTGGCGCTCACAGGATCTCTTTTCAGCTTGCTTATACACAGGTTTCTGGGGAAATGAACTATATAAAATTATCAATTTTTTAAACCTTAAATTTCCCTCCAAGGTAAAATAAAACGCCTCATAAAGAATAAACAGCAATGAGATGAAATCCAGAAAAATTAAATCATAATATGGCCATAAAGATTAGGCTCAGTTTTTAATATTTGACTACAATATGTGTATAGGTGTGGGAGGGGGTATGTGAGTAGGATCAGGTGGGAAGCACTGATTATGTAACCTGCCCTTACATTCCCCAATTTTAGGTGATTTTTTTTCCCCATAACATACAGAAGTCATCAGAATTGACAATAAGTGAGTATTTCCAAGTCAGTTGTAAACTGAATAGCCTTGCTATTTATAAAGTCATTGGAGAGAGGGCAGATGTAGCCTTTGATATACAAAAATCTCAGAACCATCAAAGGCATCTTGGGACACAGGATTTTTTTCTTGATTTTTGGCTAGAACTTGACTATTATGCTCAAGAGACAGTCACAATGGAGTTTTCAAAAGATTGAACCAAGAAAGCCACTCAAACTGCTGGACACACAAATGCTTTTCCCTCCTTCTATATATGCTAGAACTTCATGAAAGTTGTTATTTTTGTAAAACTCAAATCTTGCCCCAAAAATATATTGCTCTGCATCCAGGCCAGAAAACTCTCTTAAGAATTTACAAGCCATCTGTGGGGTTTTAAGGAAATTTCAAGTAGAATGGTCATAAGCCAGGATTTCCTAACACAGCCGAAAGTGAGGTCTACAAAAGAAAAAAAAAAGGGAATTGTAGAGGCTTTTTGAACTTTCTAATAAATATTGTGAACAGTGGAAGATCTCATTTTTTGGCAGATCACCTTCAAGAATCATCTGAGTCAAATCTGTAAGTTGGAGAAAATAATGATGACAAATTTACATTCTTGGAAACCATGCCTCCTGAACTAGCACAGTGAAACCTAGTCCACCTTCTTAATAGAAGTTTTCTTACATGGTTTGGTCTCTCTCTCATCAGGTGCCATGACTGGCAACCAAAGGCACAGGGTTTATTTATTTTTTCCTTTAACTGATAGGATTTATACAGGATAAGTTGCTAGGAACATGGGAGAATAGAAGTTCTATTCAGAATGGTCGCAGAAAACAGAGCTGCCTTTCCCTGCTGGAAGACGTTCAAGTGACACGTTCTGCTCATGAGGCAACACGTTCTGCTCATGAGACACAGTCTTCATGCATATCAAAGCAACCCAAAGAAAAGCAGTCATCAGAAAGGAATGCTTATTTGCGTGCTGCTCTACACAGCCACAAGTGGATAGGCTGCAAAAACTGTTCTTATCCAGCAGCTTCCAAAGCTGAAAGCTGGAGATGGGACCCTGAGAACATTTCAAGGTTCATTGCTTCCTGGATGCTCCCAGACAGAAATACAACACGCTGTTGCTTGGGCAGTAAGAAGCAAGACTTGTGACCAGGGAACCAACCCCACTATTATCCCAAACACATCCTGCTGAAGGCCACCCCACACAACTCCCACCACATTTCTTGCCAGTCTCTCCTACAAAGCCCCCTCCACCTTGGTCAGGCTTTGACAGGTCTTTTTTGACCTGAATGGTACCCCGTGGCTACCTTTTCCTGCTATAGCATAACCTTTATGTTCTATTCTTTGCTTCCATGTTCTAAGACTGCTAGTGCTGAACATTCCCATAGATGATTTATTAGTCTCTTTAGTAGAGTATGTTTCTATGAGGATCATGACATTTGCAAAGCATATGGCAGAACGGAGCTTTAGTTAAGGGATGGTGATGTAAATTGCATTCGGTTTTGCTTTGGCAAGGACACCAGATGGATGCCTTTATGATGAAGTGGGTTTCCTCCAGCATTTTTTAAATATCGGTCTCCAACAGGTGTTTCCTTTAAGGCATATCTGTTTTTCATAACATTAGAATGAAGAAAAATGTTGTCTGTGACAGCTTGTATACATATACCACACTTTTATTATGATAAAAATGTACAGTGATTGATTCCCTATTCTGAGTCATGTTAAAATGTGCTTGGGAGAAGATCATCTTAAATTTGCCAATAGGGCATTTAACTACCAGACCAAAGACTCTTCATTTATCATGAGGGTGGAGAGGGTGGAGAAGGAGGGGAAGTAGAGACAAGCTGAAGAAAGTGACCAGAAGGAAAGTAGTAGTAGCAGCTGTAGACTTGAGTGCTGAGGGCAGACAGCAGGGAACCACCTAAAAGGTAACATAGCTATTTCCAAATTGTTCTCAAAGAGTCCCTGAAAGACAGTCACTACCAACTTGGTCATGATATGTAAACACATGTTCTGAGGATCCTAGGGAGAGTGTCTAGGAAGCGACTCTTAGATAGAAAGAGGTTCTACGGATGAATTATATCATTCATCAATGCTCCAAATCCTGATGAAAATCAAGACCAGACTCAGGTATTAGCTGTGCTTGCTGGTGAGTCCCATTAACAAGCTTGGCATAAGGCTGCCATCAGGGTCCTGTCTGGTATGATTAAGAGAGCCGGTGGGGCTTTTGGAACTTGGTGTTGGAGCACATGGCTTATAGATAGATATTTAAGTTGCCAAAAGACATGTTAATTTGAATGAACAGGGTAACCCATTTTGGTCAAGCTGACCTTGAAGCTTATATGTTACATTGTCTAGCTAGGCAAATGATTAGAATTCACTAAACCCACTAAGTTTATAGGTAGTTCTTAAGTGCAAGAGGAGATTAAGGATTGCATCAAGACCTTGGCCACTCTTATTAGGAATTACCCTCTCTGACTTTCCAAACCTGTTTCTAGTATCCCGTTCCCCCTACCCTGGCTTCTCCTTCTAGGTCTTCTCTGTCCTATTACTTTAAGTTTGACACTTCAATCTAAGTTGGAGTAAGTTCTTTTGTCTGAAAAAAAAATAAGATGTAAGTTATCAATTTAGAAGCTAGCCTGCTTGAGGAAAGCAAAATTGCTTGTCATTATGTTGAGGTCTGAGTTTGGGGGTGAGGCATTGAATAATAAACTGTATTAATTCACAAGGAAACCCCCTAACCCTGCAGCATGAAGGGGAATAGATTGTATTTCTCCCAAGATGTAGAGTAAAATCGCATGGGAGAACATTGTTATCAGTTACATCTGAGATGAGCAGGACTGAATCTGTAATGTGACACACAGTACAGTATATTCCAAAAGGCTGTAGGGGACAATAACAGATACTTTTAAATAAATAAATAAAATAAGTAAGTGTGTAAGTAAATAGTAAAAGCTTTTGTGGTCAGATAAGTTGTGAAACACTGGATTATACAATTTTTAAAGGATTTCTATATTGCAGAATTCCTTTTATATGCTGTTGTCAGAATCTTTCACAGGCCAAAGTGCACTGTGACTATATTAGTTTGTTCTCACACTGCTAATACTTGAGACTGAGTAATTTATAAAGGAAAGAGGTTTGGTTGACTCAGTTTAGCATGGCTGGGGAGGCCTCAAGAAGCTTACCATCGTGGTGGAAGGGGAAGCAAAGAAGTCCTTCTTCACATGATGGCAGGAAGGAGAAGTGCAAAGTGAATTGGGGGAAGCCCCTTATAAAACCATCAGATCTCCTGAGAACTCACTCACTATCACCAGACCAGCACGAGGGTAACCATCCCCATTATTCAATTACCTCCCACTGGGTCCCTCCCATGACACATGGGGATTATGAGAACTACCGTTCAAGATGAGATTTGGGTGGGGACACAGCCAGACCATATCAGTGGCTGTCAAAGAGGGGCCATTCCTCTCAAACTTTGGTTACTCCTAGGATGTCTCCAGTTACTAATGTACCATGGAACATGTGTTTTGCAAAAGGAATTGGTGTTAGAATGAGATGGACTTATGCCCTGGTAACAGCTATGAAATCTCAGTGGCTGCACAAGAAAGGTTTATTTGTTGTTCACATTACATGTCCAGCACAGGCCAAGCAGGCCAGGGCACTCAGCTCAAGGTGCCCACTGGAGCAGCTAGGCTAGAAGAGACCCTGAGAACTTCACCTGAGAGCTTCTCATTGCCTGGCCTGTCTCTTCTCACATTTCATTGGACAGAGCTAGTCACATGGCCCCACCTACCTATCCCTACACTCAGGAAGGAAAGCAGAACTGGATATGGTGAGGTTGGTAACCTCAACTTCAACAGTCTATTCAAATGCCAGTTTTGCACTTTGTTGGCTCTTTGACTTTTATCCATAAAATAAGGGTGGGTAGTCTTTAAAGCTTCTGGCAGAGACAGAAATGCTCACTGAACATTTCAAGTTACTTCCCATGTTCCCCAGGCCTCTTAAAGTCAGTAGGAGCCATGTGACTAATTTTGGCCAATGAGATGTGAGGAGAAATGAAGTGAGTCACCCTGAGCCAAGGCAGTTAGAGGCCTAGGCTTGGTTCTCCAGTTCCTTTCTCCTCTCCTGCCTGGTGACTGAGGAGGATGCATGTTCCAGATGTTGAGGCCATAAGATGGTAGAGCCTCTGTCCCCCAGGCTCCGGATGGCTGTGTGGAGGAGAGACACCTTTTCATCTGAGTAACATATATAGTGTAGGTGAGAAGAAGTAAGCTGTGTTGTGTCAGGCCCTGGGGATGTTGAGGTTGTTTCTGCAGTGTTAAGCCTAGATTTTTCCTGGCTGATACAGGTCTTTCTAATCCTCGATTTTCTGTAATTTGACAAGGGTTTTCTTATTCTCTCACAAGCAAATATGCATTCCTTAGGATGAAAGTGGGATTTTTCAAAAGAACATCCAACTCTGTCAGGGATTGAATACATTATGAAACAAGCTTGTGTCTAACTGCAGTGTGGGGTGACCATGGGGATGACATTGCCAAGACTTAGATCAAGATCAGAGCAAAGTCTAGGCAAATGCAGACCAGTGATGAAAGCTTTAAAGAATGCAAAAAGTATTTACTAAATCAGGATGTTTCAACAGGGACCCATTCAGAAAAATACATGGAAAGGAGACAGGAGGAAAATAGGCTAAGGAGAGAAATATCACCCATGATTGAATCTCTCACAGCTGTTTAAATTCTATATTCAGGTGCCCAAAACACTGCTCATGATATCTGCCAATGGATAACAGTATCATACAGTATCAAAATTAAAAGCAGAAATAACTATCTTCAAGGTACATATAATCTAAGGCAAAAAAAAAAAAAAATCCTGATGTGGCTTTTGCCCAAAATGCTTAGAGTGTCTTCAACTATGATACAGTCTGGGCTCTTTGTGCTCTTCAGACCTAAGCCTTTATTCTAGAGTCTTACAGACCTGAGGTCATTCTACTTATGCTATTCTCCTCTTTGAGCTCAAGGCTCTAATGAGTTTTACATCTCGGCTTTGTTACAGAGGAGCTCCAAATAGTCTCAAACTAACTCTCCATTCTTCCTATTTAGGACTCTTCAACATGATGTAGAACAAGATTCTGACCAGCTTGATAGCAGTGGGATGTTTCACTGGTGCAAACCAACCTCTTTGGACAAGGTGACTCTGGTAGGTGATCTTGCATCATCAAATCTCAAATAAGATAAAGCATTTCGTAGGGTAAGTGATGTTCTTGTTAGTCATAAGCACCTGTCACTTCCCTTTGTAAACTGTGAATTTGTCAAAAAAAGAAAAAAACCCACATCCCTCACCAGCCATAAGAATAATATGCAAAGTAACACATGAGGCATTTGACAAAGCCTACATGAGTAATATGCTGGAATTTCAAACAATTATATGTCTTCAACTATTTCCTCTCTCCTTTGACAGTTTAGCTGACTCAGTTATTCAGAATAATGTTCTCCTGAAGTTTTGCTGTTTTCCTAGTAAATCTAATTAATTTAAATGCACCAGGGAAACCTACTGTTTACAAGGACTCTGCAGTCTTTTTTTTTTTTTTAAGTAAATAAGCACTTTTCTAATGTATTGGTTTTGAAATTCGGATTTTTCTGTAGTGGTTTTTCTTAAAGCTGGCTCTACTTAGATTTAACACATTAGCCACAAATATGCCTCCTAAACACTCCGTACAACCGGGGTGAATCTTTGTAGATATTACAGTCATGTCCTTGTCTCTCTTCTCAAAGAGACAAACTAACTCAACTCACAGAAATGCCTGCAACTAAGATGGAAAAAGTCTTGTATCCTAACCCAGGGTCTGGCACCTGCTTTCTAGATGCCCACCTACTGTAATTTTCTGGAGTTGGAAACTCAAGTATAATCTTAGTGGTTTACCTTACAAGTAGTAGCTGATAAATTTAACTAATAAAAATGATTGCTTGCATGCTGTATGAACCCTATATATATTTTTTCATATATGACTAATTGATACTTATATATATTTTCTTGCTTTCCAAAAGTAGTTTAGTTCACTTTTTTTGATAGATGCACAAATGCATACATACACATCTTTGTGGCTCAGTGCCAGTGTCCTGACAGAATATATTTCAACTTTTGTAAAAGCATGATCCATCATTTGATCAGAAACACGAAACTGTCAGAGCTGTCATACCAACTGGAAGACTATTAGGGTTGCTGAAACTCACCATTTTAGCAATTATGTCTTATTCTGAACTGTACGAAATAAACATCCGTTGAGCAGGAAGCCAAACATATTTTCAGTGGGAGGCAAATCTTTAGAAAGGTCAGGAAGTTGGTTGCAGATTGAGACATTTGAGACCAAACGATGGAAATAGCAGAAGTTTTATTAGATCATATTTATTAAGAATGCAGACAGGTTGCCATGATTGATATTTCCCTTATGATACTTGATATGGAATATAGTTCAGAATACCAACCAGGTCTTTTGTTAAGTTTAGGATGCCTTCTAGCTTTAAAATTGCTAAGGAATTTGAAATGTGAGCCTCTAGGAAAGAAATATCTGGATTGCAAAATTCGGGGTATCTTTAAACTTGGTTTCATTTGCAAAAGGGTCAAGTAGAAATGATCAATTTAAGTTATTTTGAACAAATAGGACATCCTCCCCTTCTTCCAATAGTCACCATCTTTCTTAATCAGGAGACAGTTTAGTGCCACAGTTTCTTGGAGAAATTGCCTCTCTAGCTGTGCCCATTAATGCACTTGGCCATGTATCTTGTTTCTAATTGTTTAGTTCTACTCAGAAAAGCAATTGTTGGACTTTAGACATGTTACATTAAATACCGTTAGAGGCTTCATTATTCAAGTTAAAACTAATCGGATTAGCTAGAGACAATTATTTAATAGATTTGGTTAAGATTCATATCACTCTAGGAAGGCTCTCCAGACAAGTAGCTTTATTTCCCCTCGCAGGGAGATCTCTCTTGGAAGGAGGGTACAGTACAGTATTTCCCAGTATATGCTAATTTGGTAAACTTTAATTGTTGAAATGTCAGATGTTACTTATTTATCCTGTTAGACTTCATCAATGCCTGTTTCATAGAAGATTGCCATTTAACCCAGCAAAGGACTGGCATAAAGAAGAATGATATATCCATTTGAAGTATTCTGAGTCTTTGTGTGTCTAGGAATGCAGGGAATGCTCATGCTGCAAATTAAACTTACTCTGTACCAGCTTCTAAATGTCCTCCTTTGAAAATATAGAAATTCAATAACTTTTAGATTTGATTGATAGTTATTGAACAACTTTTAGTGAGTTAAGAAATAAACATTTTGAATATATTATGTCCTACAACAAAATTAACTCTTTGGTTTTTTTTTCCATTTTAAACATAAAGAAATTGAGAACCAGAGAGGTTAAGTAATTTGCTCAGTCATATAGCTAACAATAGTACCAGAATACAAAATCATGTCTTCTGACTCCGAGTCCAGGGTTTTTTCTGTTACATCCCAGTGCTGTTAAGAGGAGACATTAGCCATACTCTGAAAGAAACCACACATAGGCTTACAATAAGTTTCCCACAGGAATATCATTCTTTAAAAGTTACATTTATTGTTTTTATGAGTCTCTATGACTGTGGGAGAAACTTAAGTATATTCCATGCATATTCTTTTGTTTTCAACTTGGAGACACAGGGGCATTGTTAACAATTGGCAATGCTGATAGTAGTATGAGACATATTCAAATGTTTGAGATCAAATGAAATTTTTTTTATTATACTTTAAGTTCTATGGTACATGTGCACAATGTGCAGGTTTGTTACATATGTACATATGTGCCATGTTGGTGTGCTGCACCCATTAACTTGTCATTTACATTAGGTATATCTCCTAATGCTATCCCTCCCCCCTCCCCCCACCCCACGACATGGATGAACCTGGAGACCATCATTCTGAGAAAACTATCGCAAGGACAGACAATCAAACACCGCATATTCTCACTCATAGGTGGGAACTGAACAATGAGAACACTTGGACACAGGATGGGGAAATTAAATTTTTATAATATTTCTTTTTCTTGTATGCACTTTGCGTGATGAATTTCCTTGATGCAGGAGTCTATAGAATCAGTTCAGTATATTCAATTGAACCATATGAAATTGCCATTGTTCAACCATTTTTGACCCATAAAAAGGTAAATTCATGTGGTTCAAACTAATGAATGAAAACCCACTTAATACTGCAATATGTTATACAGCTTGCTGTAATTTTCAGGACTCACTAGAAGACATAATTTAGCATTGAATCTGGAATGTCTTAGGCTTTCACTGAATTTTACTATGGCACATACAAGGCTAAAAATGTGAAATAAAAATCAAGAAATACTTTCTCCATTTGGTCTAATGATTTCACACCCTGAGGAATGATGCTAATCTGAGTTTTAGTTGATGCATTCCAAGCTAATAGAAAACTAGAAAGAAAGTGAAATAAAAAGAAATTCCACAAAAAAGTAAAAGGTGTAATTGCACCACTTGTGCATGAGTTCTGTTTTTTATAAACAATTTGCAAAATTCTATTCACCTTATGAAAGTAGAGCTGTGGATGTACCTAGAAGAATTGGGAGGAGAAGAGGGGGCCTACTTGGAGGGATTCTCATCTTGCTTATGAAAATGACCAGACTGTGGCATCCTTATCCTTAGAAACGAACTGGCAAGTCAAAGTATAAGTTTCGGAACCATATTGTAGCATGTGTATTTGGAGATGCCCACTCAGCCCCGATGGGGCTTCGGAACTTTGTAATGCCCTTGAGAGCCAGCAACTATACCAGGAAGGAGCTGAAGGACATAGTGTTCATTGGGTCTCTGGACTATCTACAGAGAGAATGGCGATTTCTCTGGAATTTTCCCCAGATATACATTCTGCCTGTAAGTATCATATAAGGAAAAGTTAATATTTATAAGGATTTCAATATTAATAGGACTAGAATTAATAATGATAATATTGCAGTTCTACAGTCCTTGCCAGATGCCAGAAACTGTTCTAAATATTTTACCTATATTAATTCACTTAATCTCAAAACCACCCTATGGGGTAGATATTAAATTTATTGAACTTTAAGCACCGGAAGAGTAAGTAACTTGACCAAGATTGTACAGCCAGTAAGTAACTAACAAAATTAAGATTTAAATCCAGATGTTGTGGCTCTTGAGTTAATGCTCGAATCACCATGTTTTACGGTCTTTGTACAAATAAGAGTTTCTCTGCATTTCTGAGTCAGATTATAATTTAATGGCTACACCTAAGCTAATACTGGCCAGCATTTGTGCTCTAGCTTTTTCATCTTTTCTGGAGACATTTTATATGGACCATATAATGCCACATGGTCCCTGATAGCTGTATGGAGAGGAGGGATTTTACTTATGTGGTATGGCGGTTGCAACTATATTTTTCCTGAACTTGCATAGATCTATGTCCCACTCTATGCCACCATTTCACTGGTTGAGGAGTCCATTATGTACACTGTGAAATGCACCAAAGCATTTCATTTTCATGAGATACGCACCAAAGCATTTTCATAATGCTGGCAATATATTTGCAAGTAATGGCAAAAACCGTGGTTACTTTTGCACCAACCTAATGTAAGGAATATTTTTCAAATTTCAAAAATAATTATCTCAAGAAGCAAATTGCATTTGCTTTTTTAAAAAGCCACTGTAAGTTTCCCTGTACTACCGCTCCTGCTTAAGTCCATTGAAAGGAAGAAAATAAGAGCAAATCTGATCCAGCTAGTGTTAGGAATTACCACTATATTAGACTCCAACCTACCGGAAGACAGTACCAGATTGATCTCTGTTTTTCCACCAAAGAAAGAAGCGACTGCCACTTTGCTAGTTAACCCAGAGAGTATAAGTAGGGCCAGCTGTTTGTACTAGCAATATTGTGAGGATGCACATTTTGCCTCTAGATCCATAACCTCTCTTTTCTCTGAATTTTTTTCCTCATCACTGTTACCCTGACCCTACTCTCTTCTTCCACCTGAGTCAGTGGCACGGACTTACGTTCCTCCCTCCCCACTCTCCTCTGTCTCATCCAAACTTGCTTTCAGGAAAGAATCTATGAAATGTATTCACACTAAAATATTAATGTTTGATAAGGTTAAATGTGTCAGATATGAGGTAACTAAGTTTTAAAATCAAGTCAGCAAAGGTTGGAGCTCAAAGCTCAAAAATTACATCACTCACAAAGAGCCACCACCATGAGCCATGATATAACATCCCTCCATCCGACCAGTGCCTCCTCTCTCTTTTCCTCTCATTAGGGATGTGCACTTTATTCTGGAGACCTCCATGCGGCCAACATAGAGCAATGCTCCATGTGTGCTGTCTTGTCCCCCCCACCCCAGCCATCAAGCAACCAGACTTTGGTAGACACAGAAGCCATCATGGCAACCCTCACCATCGGATCCTTGCAAATTGACTCCTCCTCTGACCCGTCACCCTCAGTGTCAGGTGAGAACAGCACCCCTGAAAAGAAGAAACTAGGACGTATGGAAAAAAAGAGATAATTAACTCCTCTTTGAAGTATTTTAATTATGGGGAGCAGGAGGGTGGGCCAGATGTCCTCTGAGGTCCCTTCCAATCCTGAGAATCCCATAGTAGAAATAGCCCACAGTTCAGTGCCCTGGAATTCTAAGTCAAATGGATGATGGTGTGCATCTTCTAAATGGAATGCACTTAACGCAGTTTTTTTAATTTTTAAGGAAAAAATAACATAATTTTGAAGTGTTATCATTTTTGTTGTTATGATCAGTGAACATAGCATGTGGTATATTATTTTAATTAATGAGGTACCACTATAGTTATTATTATGATGAAATTCTCATTGGATCTTATAGATCTAATGCAATCAAGGTCAAATTGTTAGTTTTGTGGTTGAGAGAATGAACCATGATTCTCTTTTACTTTTTGAGATGATTTCAGTATATGAATTTTAGAAGACTAAGATCTTTTCTAACAGCTATAGACTAAAACTGTCATACTTCAACTTCAGACTAGAAGGAGATGGTGAGGGAGATGCAAGGGTCTTTCCAGGATGGGGATCATGTCTCTTTTCCCTTTGTGTTTCTCTCAGTGCCTATTGCAATTACTGTCATTCGGTTGATGTTTAACAAATACTTGTTGAATTGCAGCAAATGAGCTGTGACACCTGAGGAGCTTCCACACATTTCTCTATGCTCAAAATGTGCCTATGGTCAATTCCCATGACAGAATTGTGATTTTCCTTCTCCCTCAAAAAGGGAAAAAGCTTATACATTAGTCTATTTCTAAAAATTGACTACCATCCCCTCAATCTAATCTAAAAGTACTATTACTGAAGAATTTTCTGTATCTAAAACAGATTTCCAATTCTAGAAATAAAAGTAAGTCATGACTGGAATCCCCTGGATCAAGCTATGTTCCTTGGGGACAATTGATTCTCTGTATCAAGATCAGGTACTCAATCCTTGGGCCATGCAGCCTCTGACCACAGCTGTCCCACTTTGCATGGCACTTGAAGAGGTTAGCATTTAAGGCATTGCAAGGCTTTTCATGATAATGGCTGTCGATAACAATGTTCGTGATTGAAACTGGGAAACCAAAAATCTCTCTCTGACTCCTAGACACTGTTGCTATGCAAGAAAATATAAGGTTATTGGCACAAAGGAATAAAACAGTAATCTAATCTTTGGAGGGCAAACTGAGTCAGCTATTAGACAGACCTTCACTAAGCAACCAATCCTGACCCAGAGACTAGGGTTTCAGGGTGTTTTCCAAAGCAGAGCTAATAACAAGGCACTTCATGAATATCAAAGTGCCATGAACAGCCAGACTTAGGAGGGGTGAGCCCTACCTCTGCTGAGCAAATCTGAATATTCATAAAAGTGCTGTTTTGTTCTGCCATAGGAATCCTTAGCTTAGCAATTAGGGTCACTCCTTGGATTCACTCATCATTTGTGTGTGTGTGTGTGTGTGTGCATGTGCATGCTTGTAACTGTCCATAATTGGACAAAGAAGAAGTATTCATTTTAAAAGCAGTATAGGCAGGGCGCGGTGGCTCACGCCTGTAATCCCAGCACTTTGGGAGGCCGAGGTGGGGGGATCACAAGGTCAGGAGATTGAGATCATTTTGGTCAACACGGTGAAACCATCTCTACTGAAAATACAAAAATTAGCTTGGTGTGGTGGCGCACGCCTGTAATCCCAGCTACTCGGGAGGCTGAGGCATGAAAATCCCTTGAACTCAAGAGGCAGAAGCTGTAGTGAGCTAAGATCGTGCCACTGCACTCCAGTCTGGTGACAGAGCAAAAAAAAAAAAAAAAAAAAAAAAAAGCTTATAAATCCATATACAAATGAAAATGCATGCACAATATAAGCCCAGGATAACTGACAACACCATAAGTCATTTAGTTGATGGTCTAGGTGAATAGTTCTTCCTGTTATTACTATTATTGAAATTTCACCTCCTTTATGGACTAGACAAAACGTAAACCTATGATTATAATTTTAGTTTCCTTTATATCTAGTGATTTTCCTACTTTATTCATTCAATCAACAAAAAAATATTGATTTTTTATGATATGTTGGGTACTCTGTTACAGGCAAGAAGTTTGCCCTTAAAGAAGGAGCTGACTGGTTTTGGGGGAATGAGGTTGAGGAAAGAAGGAAAAAAAATTGGAAAGGCAAAGAGAAAAGGAAGGAATGTCAAAAAAATTGGAAAGGCAAAGAGAAAAGGAAGGAATGCCAAAGTATTTGAATCATTATGAGTATGAGTGTGCTTACTTGAAAAGATGAAAGAAAAGGTTAGAGAAGAATGTGCTAAGTTGGGTTTGTTTGAATGGGATCATACCCATTTGTGTGACGGGGAAATATAGATGCAGATAGGCTCTAAGGACACACCTAATGAAGGCATCAGGTCTGCTTATCTGGCACTGTCACATCAGTGAGGTCACATTTTTTTTTTTTTTTTTTTGAGACGGAGTCTTACTCTGTCACCCAGGCTGGAGTGCGGTGGTGCGATCTTGGCTCACTGCAAGCTCCGCCTCCCAGGTTCATGCCATTCTTCTGGCTCAGCCTCCCAAGTAGCTGGGACTACAGGCACCCGCCACCATGCCTGGCTAATTTTTTGTATTTTTAGTAGAGACGGGGTTTCACCGTGTTAGCCAGGATAGTCTCGATCTCCTGACCTTGTGATCCGTCTGCCTCGGCCTCCCAAAGTGCTGGGATTACAGGCTTGAGCCACCACGCCTGGCCATGAGGTCACATTTTAAGAACATTTTGAGGCAACCTGTGAATAGCAAAGGGCTATTACCCAGAATCTTCCCCAGTTACTCTGGCATCATAAGTCTCTATCTGGAGTTTGTATTAATATTATAGAAATTCCCAATCTTCACAGAAGCCTGTTTGGCTTTCTTAATCATTCTTCTCATTCCATAATAATACTCCTCTTCCACCAAGCATTAAGAGGTAGAACCAGGAATACACACCCCCAAGAACTGAAATTATAAAGGATCATGAGATTCTACCAGGAGGCAGAAAGCATCGTCCACAATCAGCACTAAAATAAGATTTGCTGCTAGGCAGTTTTCTATCCCTTTCACTAGGGGATAGAGTGGTTCTCAACCAGTGGCAATTTATCTCCTGAGGTCACCTTATGATGGCTGGAGGCAGTTTTGATTTTCACCACTGTGGGAATGCTATCACCACTAGTGGGTAGAAGTCAAAGATGCTGCTAAACGTCTTTCAATACACAGGACGGCCTCACACAATTAGAAAATGTCAGCAGTACCAAGGTGGAGAAACTCCGCCCTAACCTATCTGGTGAGGCCTTTGAGGGATCAGTGGGCTTTTCCACATCTTTGTAGTAATGATAAACATAAATGCGAAGCCAAGCTAGGACCATCAAGGCTATTCACTGCAGAAATTCACCAACGGAAATTGGATGAGGCGGGGGGTTTTGGGGGAGCAGCAGAGTGAGGAATCTCTGAAGAATCAGTGAGAATGCCAGGCCTCCTGGACATCTCCATGGGAAATTTTAGGTTTTTCTGTAATACTCTAATTACTGCCCTGTCACATCACAAGGAGAACAGGTTGGCAAACCTAGGTACTGAACTAAATAATCTGTGGCATAATCTAAACATATAACAGTAATTAAGCCTGACAACTTAATATGCTACTGAAATTTAAATGTACCGAAGTAATCTACAATTAAGCAATCTTTTGTAATAGCACCCTGCCAGGCTGGAAGATTTCAGGTATAATACTGTGTACTATTAGGTAACAAAAATATTGACATTAGTAAAATGTACCCAGGCTATGATCTGACACATTCAAATTAACCATTGCTCGAAAAGGAGATGGAGTTAAGGTGGAAATTCAGATGCTGTCCTTCAGCCGGCATCAGAAGCAGATTTTCATACAGCTGCTTCAGCTGATGTGATTGTGTCTGTACCCGATTAGAACACTAGATTCTAAAAGTCAGGATATTTCAAGTCCTTTATTAGCAAAGAACTGGAATCAGAAAGTGGGGTTCAAAGGGGGATTTACCCATAGAGAGGTTTCCCCTTTGAAGAAAACTGATTTCAATATGTTATTGAAAATTCCAGTCAAACCTTGTATATTGTAATAGGGCTACAACTTAAGTAGGTACCCTGAAAAGGGTATGGGCTTTGAAGTTGGTGCTGATCAGGCTGTGAAGCCACTTCCATTATTTACAAGCCTTGTGATCTTGGGCATGGTATGTAAATCCTGGCTGCAGTTTTCTCATCATCAAAGATGATCTCACTATGGGTAACTCACAGAGTACATGTAACAATTATATAATTCTTATCTCTTTACAGTGTCCATTGCTTACAGCAGCCAGAGCTCTTTTACACATATTCATCGGATAATCTCATTTCCTTACTTTAAATTCTACAATGTTGACTCATGGCAATTAAAGGAAAATCTAGGATCTTGCAAGCCAGCAAGGAACTTGGATTCTCCCCTCCTTCACCCTGTTCACACTGGCTATTTCCCACCATGGGTTCTTTATCACAACCCTTCTGCCAGGATGACTTTTCCTTTTTCCTCAGATTCTGTCTCAATGTCAGAGAAGCCCCCCTTTGGGACCTTATCTAAAGTCATGTCTCCAAACTCAATGACTATCCTCTAAAGTTTGGGGTTTTCTCAAACTCATCAATATCTGAAAATATTTTGTATTTGCAACATGTGGTATGTAACTGGGGCGAGGACTGTACATAGTTCTATCATGGAGTAGATATTTTAAAATATTTAAAAAGGAAGAAAGGGAGGGAGGAGGAAAAGAGGAGGAAGGAAGAAAAGGGAAGAAGGAAAAAAGGAAGGAAGAAAAGAAAGAATGGAAAAAGAGAAAAGAATGAAGGAAAGGAAGAAGGGAAAAAGGAAGGGAGAAGAGGGAAAGGGACGAGAGAAAAAAGAACAGGAGGAGAAGAAGGGAAGGAAGGAAGGAAGGAAAGGTGGGAGGGAAGGGAAAGGAAGGGAAAAGAAGGGAGGGGAAAGGAAAGAAGGTAGGAAAGAAGGAAGGAAGGAAGGAAAGGGGAGAGGGAAGGGAAGGAAAGGGAAGGCAAAGAAAGGAAGGAAGGAAGAAACAAAGGAAGGAAAGGAAGGAAGGAAGGAAACAAAAGGAAGAAAGAAAGGAAAGGGGTGAGGGAAGGGAAGGAAAGGGAAGGGAAAGGAAAGGAAGAAAAGAAGGAAGGAAGGAAGGAAGACAGGGAGGAAATGAGGAAGGGGAGAAAGAAAGGAAGGAAAGAGGAAAGGAAAGAAATTAGAAAGGAAAAAGGGAACGAAAGGAGGGAAGGGAATAGAAGAGAAGGGAGAAGAAAAGGAGGGAAAGAGGACACATGAAACAGATAAGGCATCTTAATCTGAGAATAAAATAGAACTTTAATTCCCCCAAGTCTTCCTGCATTATGGAAATTTCAGAGATATTTTTAAGGAAAAACAATTTAAGGTATTTAGATCCCATCAAGAGTAAGAATTATCAGTGAATTATGATCTCTAGCCATCTGTGTAAACCTTCCTCTTTAATAGCTGTGCGAATCCAGTTAGCCCTCTGAGCTTCCATTTCCTCACCAAAAACTGAAAAATTTTGCGAAATTCTGGAGGTCACTGATGGTTCTAGACATAAACCAAATATCTTGGGTTCTTCATGAGGAGCTTCAGTTTTTATCCTACATTCATTACTCAGAAATTTAGTAGAAATCAGAAATATATTCAGCTCTACTCTGCATTAACAAGAAGTGGCTCTTTTCCATCTCAGTAGTGAGGTGGAAAAGGTGTGAAATATTGTAGTACATAGCATTCCCTCTGGAAACAAACCTCTCTTTGGATTTCCCCTTTTCCTTCCTGGTCTCCACCTCAGTGGCTCCATTCCCTGTCATCTTCCCATTGTCTGTTTTTCAGGGGGCCTTAGCACAGAGCTCAACTGCATTCATTCCACTTTTCAGCCCTACCAATTACCCCACTCAGGGAGCAAAGGACCTTCCAAAGATTTCACTCTCTTCTAAGCAGCAGGGAATCTTAATTACAAGTAGATCTTGAAGGTTTACAATATTTTTTTCCTCTTACATCCTCAGAAAACTTTAAGAAAGTAAACAACAGTTGTAAGCACAACTTACAATGCCATTATGGTGTGTTTTTCTTTTTCTTTTTCATGGCACCCTATTTTCCCATTTTCCCCACCAACTTCTTTTTTTTTTTTTAAGCTAGGATCTCGGTCTGTCACCCAAGTTGGAGTGCAATAGCGTGATGGCGGCTCACCGTAAGCTCTGAACTCCTGGGCTCAAGCGACCCTCTCACCTCAGCCTCCTAGGTAGCTGGGATTTCAGCTCTGCACTGCTACACCCAGCTAATTTTTTTTTTTTAATTTTTGTAGAGAACAGGTCTCTCTATGTTGCCCAGGATTGTCCTGAACTCCTAGACTCAAGCAGTCCTCACATGTCAGCCTCCCAAAGTGTTGAGATTATAGGTGTGAGCCACTGCACCCAACCTTCTATTCCATTTCTTTCCTCTTACATTTTTAGTTTAAGTTGGAGACTAAACCTCTGATGTCATACTTCTTTTTGAAACTCACCACATGATAAAGCTGTATCAGGCCAGTGCTGTGCATGCCCTGTTTTGGGGTCGAGTCTCACAGAGGTTACTGCAGTGCCTTATCTCCGAAGACAGGAGGGAAATGTGTCTACAACCTGAGCACAGAGGTCAAGGGCTCTCTGAGTGACATCCCAGCTCAGGCTTTAAGAAACCCCACAGCCTTCCATATGGAGACAGGCAGGCAGCCAGTTCTGCAGAGACAACAGCAGTGCCTCAGCCCAGTGAGGAGCTCAAAGAGGCAGAGAATACCTGGAGCCAGCAGCCACTTGCAATGTGTCCTAAAGCACTCATGGGGACAGCACCACCCATATATTTGCAGTTTCCGAAAAATACTACAGGCAAATTGATGTGGTTTGAGCTACTGCCTGACTGAATTGTTACCTAGCACAGCCACTCAGTGGAGAGTAAGCATATCTTAATTGTGACATCAATAAGCAACTACTGGGAGAGCTTTGCCTTTTTTGTAAGTCATTTGAAGTGCCATTGAGAAAGAATAGACATAGCCAGGCACGATGGCTCATAGCTGTAATCCCAGCACTTCAGGAAGCAAAGAAAGGAGGATTACTTGAGGCTGGGAGTTTGCAAGCAGCCTGGGCAACATAGCAAGACCCCATCTCTGCAAAGATAAAAATAAAAAAAAAAATAAATTAGCTGGGTATGGAGGCATGTGCCAGAAGTCCTAGCTACTCAGGAGGCTGAGGCAGCAGGATCACTTGAGCTCAGGAGTTGGAGCCTGCAGTGAGCTCTGATGGCACCACTGTACTCCAATCTCGGTGATGGAGCAAGACCCTGTTTCAAAAAAGGAAAAAAGAAAAAAGAAAAGAAGAAAGACCCCCCCACCACACACACACACATACACACTCCCCTCCCCACATTTATCTAAAGGAGATGCTGAGGAGACCCACATAACAATTTTTTGTCTAAACATAGTAAAGGATTTGGGATTTATACATGAAAGTAACTTTGCTAAGATAAAGCACCAAGTTACATTATATTCTTCTACATTTTTGACAAGTTTTGTAAGGCATTGTGTTTGCATTTATCACCTCTTTTCTTCTTTGCAGAGGAGACTCCAGGTTACACAAATGGACATAATGAGAAATCAAACTGCCGAAAAGTCCCTATCCTTACTGAACTGAGTAAGTGGTGTTTCGAGGGGAAAATTCAATGGAGAAATTTTTGTGATATATAATTTATGTTCCAAGGATCTTTTTAGAATGCACAATCACAGGACTCAGGAACCAGAATGGGGCTCAGAGCTTTAAGTGCTTGCCCGGATGTTACACTGGGCTTTGATCCAACTGGGGACATCGGTATATCTGGTGTCAGGGTTCAGAAATGACATCTGCCTTCTCCACTCTTTTAGTTACCAGCAGAGGGAGGGGGACCAGCAACTAGCTTAGTCTTATTCAGAGGGAGGGGCCATCGATATGAAGACTGCTAGAAAGAATCTCCCTGTACTGACTAGTCAAACCCATCACAGGACTTCGGGTCAGATGCCTTCCTTTCCAGCAGTGACACCAGGGCTGGGGCCAGGGTAAGGCAGGAGAGGCATGTGGGGTACAGACTTAGAGGAGGTGCTCACCCTTGGTGTCTCCAAATTTTGTGTCCCATGTATTTCCCCCCGTCACCTTAATCCAAGCCCTGAGTGATACTTTCCTAAAATAGGCAAAAAAAAAAAAAAAAAACTCTCGAAGAATTAACAGAATATGCTGTTATCTGTCACCAACACCTGTACAAAACTTCCCTAGGCACGAGGAGCTGTGGGAACAGAAGACAAGGGAGGGAAGGCAAGGAAGGGTGCCCAAGTGCCTTTGGTGGGGTGCATTGCTGGGGCACCAGGGGACGCATTGCGTCTGTATTCAACTATACTGAGTATAGTCGAAGGGAAAAGGAGAAAATCCCAGGCAAGAGGAGAACGGTGCCACTAGCGCAGATTGAACCAATTCAGAGATGATCTCTAAAAACTGGTCCTGGCTGTGACTTGACCTGATTTTACTAACCAGAAAAATGCATAATGGGCATTTTATGAGCAAGATTACCAAAACCACTGGGATTTATCCCAAATTAGGTGAACATCTAGAAATCTTAGTCCTGCAAACAAAGCAGGGGAACTTAGAGAGGAATCAGTAGGTGTCACTGCCACTTGAGCTGGGAGTGACAGTGTAGCAGGTGAGAGGTGAGGCACTGCCTCATTGCTACCTAGCTTTCCTGACCATTTTGTGGAGCAGAGGCTGTTGAAGTTCAGCTCTGAAGATCCTAGACCCCTGGATCCTAGTACCTGCCTGCCTATTTGGAACCACCTTGAAGCTGTCTGCTGCAGTTTTTAATTATATTTTACTTTTTTCCTCCCCTTTGAACCATCTCTAACTCCTGAGCTGTACACAGTTGGTTCTCTGTATCTGTGAGGCATTGGTTCCATAACTCACTCACTCTCCACTCCTCCCCTGGCTCTACTTCCTGCAGACACCAAAATCCATGATGCTCAAGTCCTTTATATAAAATGGTGTAGTACTGTCAACCCTCAGTATCCATGGGTTTCCATTCAAGAATTCAATTAGTTGAATTCTTGAATGCAAAACATGTGGAAATGGAGGGCCAACTGTATACACCAAACGAATTAATTCAAAGAAGAGTGTAAGTTAGAGTGGTTGCGAAGAAATCAGCCAGTTTCTCACTGACCCAGAGGTGCATCTGATCACTCTCCAGGGACTTACAGTCTTTGTTTCTGGCACCATGTAGCCCTTGTCAAGTTAGCCTAACAACCTACCTGCCAGCTTGTCCAGGTTCTTGTTGTCTGGCTGGCTGGAAAGGGTCATGTTGATGTGGGAGTTGCAGGTCTGTACCACTTTGGTACAGAATGGATGGGGATCTGAAGGAAATGGCCAGGAAAGCTGAGGCCACTAGTTTAGGATGATACAGCAGAATTTGGACAAAGGCTCATGGGATATTTGTGTGTGTGTGTGCGTGCGCGCACGTGCGCATGTGTGTGTGTGGAGGGCTCACAATGCAGGGAGAGAAATGTAGAAGTGCACAGGAGATGTGGATTGATATTAGTCATACCTTGCTCATCTTTTATGAAAATAAAGCTGTTCTCAGAAGAAAATGATTCATTAATATCACTTCATTCATTAATGTCACTTCCCCTAAACATACTGAGGAATAATTTAAGGCATTAGGGGATAATCCAGTCATAGCAAGCAATGGATTCTGAGTTGCTTGTCCAGCAGATTTGTTTGGATTGGTCATTTCAAGAACTGTAATGTCAAGAACTGTGGAGAGTCTAAGGCTATCCTATTTGCAAACCAACAAGTGCACCTACCCCAGTCTCATGGATGCTGGCAGAAGATATAAGACTCCTGGATCAGAGACCAAAACAAAACAAAACAAAACCAATCAGTTTATTACTCAGAGCAATAACAGCAGCCACAGTATCCTCATTTTTGTGTTGGTTGCTCAAGCCCTGCTTTCCACCAGGTGACATGAAGAGGGCCAAGTGACACCTGTACCCACAGTGGATTGCTCTTTAGGATAGGAACCTGAGCTCAGGAAACCAGAGTCTTTTAAAACAGGCAGTAAGCATGCCTTCCCTTTGCTCCTATGGGAGACACCATCTCTATCTTCCAATGCTGTTCTTAAGACAAACGTTCTTGAAAGAAGATTCTAGAAACAAACTTTGGGAGGCTGAGGCGGGTGGATCATTTGAAGTCAAGAGTTTGAGACCAGCCTGGCCAACATGGTGAAGCCCTATCTCTACTAAAAATACAAAAATTAGCCGGACATGGTGGTACATGCCTGTAATTCCAGCTACTTGGGAGGCTGAGGCATGAGAATTGCTTGAACCCAGAAGGCAGAGGTTGCAGTGACTGCACCACTGGGCAGCCTGGGCGATGAAGTGAGGAAAAAAAAAAAAAAAAAAAAAGAAGAGTCTAGGAACAAAGGCAGCCTGTGCATCTCTTCTCACGGACCACAGTGACCAGCGGTATTCACCTCAGAGGCTGCCTACCAGGGTCTGAGTTGGAGCCTGGGGCCAGTATAGACATGCTGATGGATAATTTGGCTACTGCTGTACTGGCCTCAGTTAGGATGATTCCCTAAGCCCTTGCCACACAGAGTGCCATCCATGAATCGGCAACCTCAGCAGCATCTGGGAACTGGCTGGGCACGTAGACTCTCAGCCCTCACCCTAGATCCAGTGAATCAGAATCTGCATTGCAACCAAATCCCCAAATGATTCATATGTGCATTACATTTTGAAAGGCACTGGGCTTAAGTGACTCTAGGAACCCAAGTAAATACCAAGTCATCTATCTCATAGTATTTTGAGAAATAAAAGACTTTAACTGGGGTGACCATGTGTTCCTATTTATTCCTATGATTCCAGGGCAATTTTCGAGCATGCTCCCTTTTGCTCCCCCAAAATATCCTGGTTTGAAAGATAAATTATACAAGGATGACAATCAGAACACTTCTTGAGAAACTGAGCCTGTGCTCCAGCAATGTCCCCTTGATGGTGAATGTACCCAATAGAACTATGTACTTTGTGGGAAGGAAGATATTTGGAAAGGAAAGAAAAAAAAAATGTACTGAAAAAGGGGTTGATCCCACAGAGACCCCAAAGTAGACATCAGATCTTTTGATCAAGTGGTCGCCCCTTGGCCTGCATGGATGGCACTTCTTATATTCTTAACCTGATCTGCTTGTCTTTCCTTTTTGCCTCTTGCCTTGCAGAAAATCCTTCCAACATTCACTTTATTGAACAGCTTGGTGGACTGGAAGGGTCCCTCCAAGAAACAAATCTGCATCTCAGCACTGCCTTTTCTACGGGCACTGTTTTTTCCGGCAGCTTCTTGGATTCTCTGCTGGCCACGGTAAGAAAAGCTAAGCCATGGAGCCCCCAAAACCAAGCCCTCTGCAGAGAAGTGAACAGGTAGTATAAGGCTGAGTAGATGATAACACCTCACAGTTCTAAGTTCTCTTTGATTTTCAAAAACAAGCTTGTTCCCATACATTAATTTATCTTTTCTCATAACTACTTGGTGTGGGAAGCAACATTTTCACATTTTCAAGATTAAAAACTTGAGGCCCTTGCAGCCAGAACCCCTGATGCCAGGAAGAGTGAGTGTCGGCCTCTCAGCTTCTAAGGCATCGCTGCAGACCAGGTCCCTTGGCATCAGAGCTCAGGAGATACCACTTTCCCTTCTCTCTGAAATCCTCCAAACAGCTCATGTGGAAATTGGCCATAAAGGGATCCCAGTTTCAAGGAAGAAGCTCTGGCCTTTGCTGGTGAGTTTTGCTCAGAGCTAAGTCAAATCTCCCTCCATGTTCCTCCTCTCATGGGGGGCATTCTTGACTACATGGTTATTCTTTAGTTTTCAGCACCTCTTTAGCCACCTGGCAGACCTTTTCCATCCATTAGGATTCCCCTGGGTGGAATTAATTCATTGTACAAATGCCCACTGAACACCTACTCTGCACAGGGCACTGTTGGGGTGCTGGGGAATCTGCAGTGTGAGAATGACAAAAGCCTTATCCACATGGGGCCTGCTGAGTGGAGGGGATTGACATGTGCATGATAAATAAGTAACACAGAGGGATGCCAATTAAAGGGCTAAGGAGATGTGAGATAGGAAATGTGAAATTTGGGGAAGGAATTGCAAGATTCAATAACATTGCCTTCTCAGGGAAGGCGATGTTGAGAAGGCAGCATGTGACCCCAGCTCTGGGGGAGAGGAGAGAACACAGCATTCAGAAGCAGTGAGGTGGGAGTTGTTAGAAATAGATAATTGGTGCTGCGAAGAAAAGTCAGCATGGAGACAAAAGACCTCTCAGCAAGGCAATCTTTACTTTCTGCAGAAAGGGTGTTCAGTGGCAGATGGAACAATGGCAAGAGCACACTTGAACAAAGGAAAAGCAGACATATTTATCCCTTATGCATTTGGGTCATCCTTACTGCTGGGTCCTGCATCCATTGGCTGGAGCTGGAACTCACAGTCTTAAACTTATACCCAATTTGCTAATAACCTAAAACTTTTCTAAATAGGTAAGTGCAAGAAAGAATGAAGAAGGAGAGGAGGTTGCTTACGAAAGGTTTAAGGAAGCAATAACATTTCCACATAAAGAAGGTGCATAAGCTATGAGTTAAGACTTGCCTGGGTCTGTCCAGGCATGCCTGAGTAAGCCAAAGCAAATAACTGGGCAAAAGTGTAAGAACTAATAGTTGACAGGAGGCTTTAGAGTAAGGAGCTATTATTCCTGGTGTCTATTATTTTATTTTTAAACCAAGATGAGCTTTGAAGAGGAACTTTTCTGCTTTCTACAGAGTACACCCCAGGGTGTTAAAGGAATTTCAAATTGACTGAGACTCATGAGATCAGTGTGTAGCCATTTGTGAATGACTTGCAAAAACTCTTCCAAAGGAAAGCCACATAACCCACTGCCTCCCACACTCCTCCTACCCGGGATTTTCAAGGGAAGAGCTGCAAAATGGCTGGATGTCAATATGCAGATGCTTAAATGCAGAAGAATCTGAGCACAGTTGATGAACTTGCTGCCTCCTGGAGGTCCACAGTGAGAGGCATCATGCCTGAATTTCAGGAATGCTTCAAGGCACAGTTTGCAAGTTTAAGGGAGCACGGCTGGGCATATCCACTCCCTCCCTGACATCAATGCCATTCGGCATGAGATTGTGTTGCCCTGGGCTCTGCCTCTTTAAGCCGTGGTAGGGGTCTCATACACCCCATCAAGCTCTTAGAGAGAGAATACCACTTCAGTGGTAGTTTAACATTAAACAAATTGGTAAAGTGCAAGGCTCCTAAAGAGTTAAGCAGCTCAGCCTTCACTGAGCTAGGGAGGTACTAGAGGAAGTCAAGTCAGGTTACTTTTCTGAGAAGGTGGCTCTGTCAGAGAAAGTGTTATATCACTGTCTGTCACTGATATGTCAATTAACTCACCTGGAATTAATGACTGGAGTGTCAGGCAGGAGGTGACTCTCGATGAACTTGACCTGTCTGCAGATACATTTCAGATGGGTTTCAGGTCCCAGTTCTCTTCAGAGATCCTTAGATGTCAGGCAGCTTCATGCCTTAAATTAAAATTGAGACTCAATTAAACACCACTGGCTCACACAGGCAGGAATAGAGCCACAGATTTTATTTAGAGTTGATCAGAAGGGCAGGATGGACAGGGAAGGGCTGGAAGAGTAAGGACAACAACGAATGAACACACAATCACAAGCCAGTATGAGGAACACAGATTTGGTCATGAGCCTGATTCCTCCCACCACTCAGCACCTGATCATGACATTGGCCTTGGGTGGTCTAAAGAGTGCAGGTTCTTCCCAGGCTGCCTTCAGATATTGGGTCAATGGGCTTCACTTGGTGGAAGAGGAAGATTCTTGCTGGAAAACAAAATGTGCTATATAGAGAATAAAGGCCACATAGTGTGACCTAAAAGTGAGGTCATTGCATGAGATCACAACACACAGTGGATCATCAGCTTCGCCTTCAGAACTCTTGATAAGTACTTATTTTAGGACTGGCATTTGCTCAACTGAATTTGGGCAGGGACGGCAATGGAGCATCAGGGAAGAAAGCGTCTTCTATGTCAAGGGTGCTGACTGAATCTTGAACCTCTAAATCTCTACCTAGCAGTTTTCTGCCCCAGCTCATGAATCTTTAATGTTGTACGCCACAGCAAAATGAACACACTGTAACACTATTTAATGATGAGCTGAACTGGGCCATTGGAAATAATTGTGAATGCTGATAATTTTTGTTTTCCTTCTCGTTTCCCTTCTCCCTGCACCTGATTCTACTGGTTCTATGTGCCCTTATCAGTGTGGGGGTGGCTTCCCATCACCAAAGAAAGACCCAAGGATCAAGACTGAGCCTCCAATCTCATTGTCTCCTTTATTCCGGGGACCATTTGATTTTGGGTGGACTCTGGATCTTACCACCTGGTCACATGGAAATACCCTCGGAGAGGAAGAGAACATTTACCACCTTCCAATAACAACATCTAGAGTCACTACCGCAGCTCCTGAATACGTTCTCAAACACTTCATTTATTCTCCGTATGTGCTGGAGCATCTCCTGGCTGAGGGTTGGTAGGAAGGCAATGACCTCGATCTCCCCATTAACTTAGAAAGGCAGTTGTGGGTCCTGGAGCTATGACCCCTACAGACCCCCAAGGCAGACATTGCTGATGACCACAGTTCTCGTCCCCCAGATCATACCTTTTCCTACATAGATCTCTAGGCAATTTATTTAGATGAGTTTTCTTGTTGAGATAATATCAAGAATCATAGCTATTGATCTTAAGAAGAGTAACATCTCACAAGCATTTACCCAGAGCCAAGGAATTCACTAAGTGCATTACCTCCATTACCTGGTTTAATTATCCTGTCAAATACGGAAGCTTAGCTGGGTAAATAATCTGCCAAAGGCTGCATCATTTACCAGTAACAAGTTGGTTTTCAGATCCAAGTGTATGTGATCCTAGAGTCATTCCTCGCTGCCGCAATCAACTGCCCCTCCAGAAATCTATTTCTGTAATGATCAGTGTTCTTGCAACACAGGGATTTTCAAGTTTATTTTAGAGGGCTCCTTCCCTGACAATGTTCTGTGCAGAAAGAAGGAGATGTGCCCACCCTGCCTTGCCCACCCACATCTCTCCCCTCCATCAGAGCAATTCCACTTTCATCTGTGGTATATTAGAGGCGCCTGCATAAGATTCAATTGCACAAGAGACGTCTGTTGTTAAGAGGATTTTGGAACTCATTCCCTTGAAGTTAGGATGAAGGACCAACAGAGAGGCATAACATAAACAGAATCCTATTCTTCTCTATTCTGAGACAGTTTTCCAATTTCCAGCCAGAAGTCTGGTGCGGGAGGCAGGAGTCAGTCATTTTGCCCAATTTTGCATGTCCCTTTTATCCATAATATCCCTCCACAAAGACTGTCTTCTGGGTTTGACACTTCCAACCTGCAGCCCAGCTTAATGCACTGAGAGATCTGCGTCCCACTGCAACATAAGAGGTTACAGAGGTTACAATTAGACTCTAAACGTTGGGTTCCTTGATACCCACACTATACAGAAGGTCAAGGCTAAGAGCAGATGCATTCAGGACAGGCTCCCTGAATGTATCTGCTAATGCTTCAGCAGTTTCTGAAACAAGATGAGAACACCAGCCATTACTTCAATCCCAGTGAACTATATTTTCAACTGGATATTAAGGGCCCTCTTCCTTCCCATGTATACTCAGACACCTCCATAGTGCTCTTCCACCTTTCTCTCTCCACCGCCCCTAATAAACACCAAGAATAAATGTGCGAATCCCAAGAAGGCAACAAAGCCCACAGTCATGTGCTGTGAACTTGTCACTGCTTAGAAATACTAAGGTTTTGTTTAAATTTTCAGGCAATTTTAAAAATTCTATCCCTTGTTAGACCTGTGCTGGTTTTTTCAATGTAGAATAATAGGTTTTTCCCTCCAAACCTTCTGATACAGTTGACATTAAAATGGCTTCAAGTGTTCCTGGTATACTACCCTAAACTCCTGACCCAGCTGAAGAAATATTCCTATAGGATATAATTCAGATTTGCCTTTAATCCTCTCTCAGTTCAATGCTGTAAACATTCAAATATGGTGGGGCAGCCAGGCCCATATGCAGGGTTCCTATCTGGTTCTGCAACAAAAGACTTTCAAAACTAGATTTGAACTTGGGGAGCACTTTCCCTTACTTCTAAGGAAATTCAAGCCCACACAAATTACATGACATTCTTAGGGTCACTTGGCTTGTTAGTTGCAGTTTTCCTACCCTATAATCTCACTCTGAGATTAGAAGTATTTCCCAAAGAATGTTTGATCTTAAGGTCTTTGAGAATTCTCAGAATGAAAAGCAGCATTTGGCTAGGATGTTAGCATCTATACCATTAGGTAATACTCTAGGTTATGACAGGAACCACAACATTCACGGTAGCTGAAAGTTAAAACATTATGGGCAGCAACATTTTCTAACATTGAAAGTCCAAGTTCCAGTAAATAAGATGATATTAGAAACATTGACCAAATTTGAAAGTCCAAAATATTTCAAGTGCCCTTCAACTTGCAGATTTTCTTGTGAAAGACAAGAGGGATGGAGAGAGAGAACAAGAGGGAGAGAGAGAACTAGAGGGAGGGAGGGAGGAAGGGAGGGAGGGAAGGACGAAGGGAGAGAGGAAAGAAAGATGGAAGGAAGGAAGGGAGGGAGGGAGGGAAGGAGGGAGGGACGGAGGGAGGGAAAGGGAAGGGAAGATAGAAAGAAAGAGATATTGAGAAAGGTCTGTGGCAGAGAACCCCAAATAGTAAGAATAGGAGATGAGCTCACAGAACATGGGTGACATGTAAATCCCATTATTTTTCTCAATATAAAATTATAATCCTTTTGATGATGCCAGAACTGAAGAAATGATATATTCAAAAGCTAAGCCTCTCTCAGTTAAATATGTAAAGCACATGTTTTCCTAGAGCTATTGATACCAGGATAACCCTAGAATTTACACCTTTTCTTTAATCAGTGGAGAATTATTCTAATGGCATTATGTTCGATCACTCTACACTATGGCCACATGTTCTTAAACAGATTGTGGTTCAACCTGGATTTATGTCCTCCACTCTCCCGCTCCCAGCCCAGATATCGGGGACTTTATTCCATAAGCACCCTCCCAGGTGGTAGTGGGATGTAACAAAGAAGAAACATAAGGAGGAAGACATCACTCAGGAAATTCCTTTAGTCTGGGGACTAGGGCTAAGTCATCTTTTAACCTAAAAAATACTGTAAAAGTTATTTTTATTATCTTCTAATTCATATAGATTATATTATTTCTTGTCAACTTATCCCAATCACGCCTACATTTTACCAGCAATATTTATTTGTTAAAAATTACCTATCCATTGAAGTCAATATTCTTACAGCCTTCAAACACCTGCCTTGTTCAGTGCACCACTGAGGATATGAGTCTTATGCAGACACAGCCTATCTTCTGAAGGAGCACATCATCTTCAGGAAGTATTGCTCAGTCTGATCTGAGGACAACCAGTGTCAGAACCACTCAGAGTGCCCTTTAAATTCTGATTCCCATTCCTGTCCATATATTCTGATCCAGGAGATCTGGGATCCCAGAAATCTACACTCATTAATATCACTTCAGATGATCCAGATACATGAGAAGCAATGATAAAGAAAACAGAATTTAGCAATGTGTGCAGTATATTTTACTTAATCCTGCAAGCAATGCTAAAAGGTAAGTATTGCCATGTCAACTTTAAAGATTATAAAACTGTTGCTGAAAAAACAATCAGCCAGACACAGTGGCTCATGCCTGTAATCCCAGCACTTTGGGAGGCCAAGGTAGGTGGATCTCTTGAGGTCAGGAGTTTGAGATCAGCATGGCCAACATGGCAAAACCATGTTTCTACTAAAAATACTAAAAAATTACCCAGGTGTGGTGGTGCACAACTGTAATACCAGCTACTTGGGAGGCTGAGGCAGGAGAATTGCTCGAATCCAGGAGGCAGAGGTTGCAGTGAGCCGAGATTGTGCCACTGCACTCTAGCCTAGACAACAAACAGAGTGAGACCCTGTCTCAAAAAAAAAAAAAAAAAAAAGAACAAAAAACAAACAAACAAAAAAAAACCATGAATTGCTCAAAGGCACCCAGCTAGGATATGACAGTCCAAGATTCAAACTCAAGTGTGTTTCATACAAGCAACTAACTGTAAAAAACTGTAAAATATAGAAGAATGAAATTAAGTAAAACCCAGTGCCCATGGAATCCCAAAGAAAGAGAAATTTCATTCTGCTTAGAAGACCCAGGAAAGAGTCACAAAGCTGATGAACCAGAGTTTCAGAAGCAAAGGCATGAAGCAGTAAAAGAACCGCTTAAGCAACTGTAGATAGATTAACGTGCCCCAGAGGGGACAGGTCATGGAGGAAACAAGCCTGGGAAGGGGGACTGCATCAGATCCTGAAAGTTTTGAAGGCCACGGTGGAGACAGAGGGCCTGGTTTCGTGTCAGGATACTAAAAGGTTGAGGAGGTGGAGGTCACGATCTGATTTGTGTTTCTGGGAATTGCTGTGGAAGCATTGTAAACAATGGGTTGCAGATGAGAAGAAAATCAAGGCAGAACAAGAAGTAAAGAGGTTCCTATGATAATCCAGATTTCAGAAGATGGATCCCTGAATTTGAAAGTAGAGAAAATAAATGGCAAATGAATAACAATTGAAGTTATTCCTGATATTTATTATAAAAACAAAATGATTGCATTTAGATAATATATAAAATAGAAATTCTCATTTTTAATAAAGCAAAAGTCTAATTTAGATAAAATGAAGGATGAAAAATTAAAAATATATATTCAATAAATTTGAGAAAACCTAGTGGGTAATATATTCCAATGACCTTTCCATGTATGTTAATGCCTGGTCCACAATGAATGTGGTAGCAATCCTGGAGAAAGAGACTTTATTAAAATGGCTGGGATTATTCAGACTCAAGCTCATTTCAAAATAAGAAGTTTGCCATATCTTCCTCTGGTTTCATTTGGATGTCAAAGATTCTGAAACCCTATCCATTTAATTATTAAACACCTATAATTTCTAAAGTATAATGAGAGCTATGGGAAATCCAAATACTAATAAGACCTATGTCAATATATGTCCCTAAGTAGGTCACAAACAAAAGGATTATAAGTAAATCCACATCCACAAGGCTCAAGTATAGATGACAATAATATCATTAGTTCCCCACTGGAAAATCTACAGAACGTCTCAGTAAATATATGTATTTTTAAATATACATCGATGATGATTAGGGTATCTGTGACCTGACATGTATACCCCCTCTGGTCATTTTGGGAAGAGGGGAATGCCTGGTGTCAGTATCATTATCCATTTTCTTCTTCATCCGAAGTGTAATCTCCAAGGAACAGGAACTGGGTCAGTATTGTTTTCTCTGCACTTGGCCTAACCTGGCACAGTACCCAAACTGCCATCCTTCAGCTGCATTAGATAATAATAATGAGAAACACTGTTCTACACCATCAGGTCCATGTTAAACAGCAATGCCCACTAAATCTCCAAGCCTTTACCCCTCCACAGTTCACATATTGGCTCTTCTGACTTTGCATGTGGCTTGTCCTTGTTTTCCAGGCCTTCTACAATTATCATGTCCTGGAATTGCTTCAGATGCTGGTGACAGGAGGAGTAAGTTCTCAGCTGGAACAACATTTAGATAAGGATAAAGTCTATGGTGTGGCAGATAGCTGCACGTCGCTCTTGTCTGGAAGAAACCGGTGTAAGCTGGGGCTTCTGTCCTTACACGAAACCATTTTATCAGACGTTAATGTGAGTCTACTCTTCTCAGAATTCAGTTTTTCACTTCTTTACCTCTCTGAGCTTCTGAAAATGGTCCAGGCTATTTGGGTTCATAGATGTCCCATAGCACAGAAATGATAACAATAAAAATAACAAAAAAAGAATACAAGTTTATATTATTCATAGAGTATTTTACAAATCACAGTGTGTTAATATGTTATATTTATTTTTATAATAATTATGGGAAGTAGATAAAGAAGTTGTTATTATCCCCATCTTCTAGATAAATAACCTGAATCTACAGGGAGCATCGGAGAGGCCTGGCAACTTTGTACCTTGACAAGAGTATTCATAATAATTATAACAGCTAATGTTTATTGAGTATTTTCTCTGTGCTTGTCTTTTTTAGTATTTTTTCCACTTAATCTGCCCATGGATTTATATGGTAGGCATTATTATTAATTCTATTTAACAGATCAAGAAACTGGAGCTCAGAGAAGCAAGGACTTGCCAGAGACCACATTGTCAATCAGTGTCAGAGCAGGGACCCAGCTACAGCAGTTTGACCCTGGGCCTGCCTACTCTCCCTATACTTAAAATGCTAAAGAAATCTGATAAGGTCAGCTGAAATCAGGCAGAAGACTTCTGTACGTGGGTCTAAGAATCTGGCTGCACTGGCCAGTGGAAAATGCTTGCATTTTCTTAGCTGAGGGAGCTGGTAAACAGTAGATTACAGCAAGGGATAAGATAATAATTCTGGAAAATTCTAACAGGGCATCCAGGCATTTGGGAATCAGAGTAGGGTCTAGCCAAGAAATGAGAAATCTACTTGTCATTGTGGTGCCTTCTGGTTTGGTTTTAATTGGCATTGCATTCAGTTATCCAGTGTTACTGTTAGGGGCAGGCTGTTCCAAGGAAACATCTCTTGTTGATTCAGAGGACATTAGCAAAACCCCCAGGTAGAACAGTATACCTGGTGCATGTCAATGTGTGCTGCCAAAAGGGGCAGGACCCATGTTCTGTGCATTAGCATTTCAGGTGTAAACCACATTCCAGAAGCTCCCTCTTTGTAGTCTGGTCCTTTGCATTTCCGTAGTCCCGGATTGCTCACCTACAGGTGGACTTGTAAGTGTATATAAGCCCAGGAAACTGTTGCTAGCAACTTCCTGTTGGCATCAAAGAGGATGGTAGACTTGTCCCCACTCCTCTCCCTCCTCTCTCCATTTATGCCATGTTCCTCCCTTTGTTCTTTATCCTGAGGAATTACAGAACTGTATGGATTGATCCCTTTTGATCTTGCTGAGCCCATTTGCTGCTGCAGGGGCTTGAAATTGTTGTCTATTCATAATGATCTTGTTGGCTATAGCCCGAGAATAAGGTCCAGATGAGTATTTGGGACTGTGATCTGTTTTACAGTAGGGTAAGATGACTCCTCAAGAGTTCATTTAACATCCCAACTCATTATATATCTCAAAAGCTGCATTTTCCAACCTGTGGCTCATTGTTAATTCATAGTAGTTACCAGAATGGCAATGGTAATAAGGACAAGCACAACAACATGTCACACCACACCCACCAGAAGCTCTTGAAAGAGCCAGAATGATAAAAACCATCACTGGGATTAGAGTTTCAGAACTAATCATACTCTTAATTACCTATCGCCCTGGCAGTGCCACCACAAAGATATTAGGAAATGGCTTTCCAAGCTTCTACTACCAGATAAAGCAAACGACACTCCAGTGAGTGCTTATAATTGCTTGATCAAAGTGCCCAGCAGACATATTTTTGTCTCTTCTCTCCCCAGCCAAGAAACACCTTTGGACAACTGTTCTGTGGCTCATTAGATCTTTTTGGAATCCTGTGTGTTGGCTTATACCGAATAATTGATGAAGAGGAGCTCAACCCAGAAAACAAAAGGGGAGTGTGCTAGATTGGAAAGCACCATCCACCCATTCAAGCATAAGAACCAAAGCTACTTTATTCAATGTGAAAGAGAATTCCAGAGCTCAGGGTCCACAGTTGCAAGGAAGGGTGCATGGGAAATAAAAAACTATGTAAGAATAAGGAGGGATTGGTATAAACAAGGGGGACCTGAATAATTAGGGTCCTATTAATATTGGCTATATAAGAAGAATGGAGTCTCTGTCCCCCAGTGAAAATTGAAACACGGAGCTAGATTTTAAATCAGCTCCATGTTTCAATTTTGTAACTTACTCCTCATCCATGTCTGTACAACTTTCTAAAGCTGAATTCCACTATCTACATTTGAAAGATGTACTTGTTTTCTGCTGGACTCATTGGGTAAATATTGATTGAGACCTACTTTGCTAGCCATGGTGCTTTTTACATATAAATCATGGGGGTGATATGTTCGGCTTTCAATTTAAAGAAAGACCACTCTGACAGCCCTGAGGAAGATAGAAATGCATGTGGAGGGGAAAGGGAAAGAGAGGTTACAGTCTAGAGACAACACAATTGTGTATGCCCAGACTAAGATCCTCACAGTGGGAATGGAAAGGATTCAGAAGGGAAGAAGAAACAGAAAGGAATAGAGTGGAAATAGATGGATGGAACTTGTTCCAGGAGAAAGGAGAAGGAAGCCAAATTACTCAAAGTGGAGTGGTCTTGAATAGAAAAATAACAGCAACAATTTTTTTGGCCCACAGGAGAAAAGGAGGAAAAGAAGAGATGCCAAGGCAGATCTAGCTCTAGGTGAGGGCTGTGTTTATGGGAATTTTTATTTTGCACTAGGATTTCTCAGTGCACAGTCATTGCTGAGAGAAAGATGGAAGAAATAGTATCAGGAGTTGAGAAAGGAGTCAATGTTTAGATTAGCTGCTGAGAGGAGTGGAAGAGGAGGCTTACTGTGGATTTGTGAAGCAATCCTGGACCATACAGTGAAAGAAGAAAGATTGGAAATCCCAATGCATTGAATAGTAGATGTACTCAGAGTTAAGGGAGTGAGAGAGAAAGTATGATGAGAAGTTGTAGTCAGCTGTGTGATTTATTGAAATGTAACATTTTAGAGGTGGAACAATGTTAGGAATTAAAACAGCTAGGACACGGCCAGGAAAGTGATTTGGAAGTAAAGATCATTGGGTACTGGAAGTCATAGCAATACGTCTGAATGCTGGAGTTGTAAACCACATAGACACTGTAGGCATGTAAAAAGATGGCTGCACTAGAGTTTGAAAGAAAGAGCATGTCAAGTGCTAAAGGGCAAAATAAGCATCGAGGTCTACAGACGACTCTGATGGATGGGGAAGGAAGGTGCCATGGCTTTATAGTACCCACCACCAAGACAATGGGGGAGGAGTGATGTTCTGGAAATAGCTCTCTCTCTCCCTCTCTACCTGAACTCCACCCCTCCCCCAAACACCTCTGTACAGCTCTTGCAACATGATAACTGGGAAAATATACAGCTTATATTAATACTTGATCTCAGGGGAAAAATTGATATTTTTGTTTTAAACAGAATATGTGATCTTGTTCAGCTGATGTTTTTAAAAATAGAATTGAGGCTACAGAGGACTCAGTGGGAAAAATACAAGTGGGTAGGTTATTCAGTGAAGGAAATTCAATGGTGCCTTGAGATCTATGCTAGGAAAGAGTTGATCATTTGAGGCACTAGTGAGGCAATGCAGGATGAAAGCCATACAAGGCTACCCTGCCTCAATGTTCCCACATAAGCACTGCTGCACTCATTACTTCAACTCACATTTTTGGGCATTTGCTATGTACCTGATGCTGTGTTAACAGTTCTGGATATTCTTTAGGGTTCATTAACGTTCACTATTTGCTTGCCAGTCAGGGTTTCAAATGAAACTGTTTTTTTCTAATGCTTTTCTCCATTGGCCAGGCTACATTCTGTGGGAAAGTCGGTGGCATAAGCATTAGGTTAGAGTAGGTCTAAGTCAGGATGAAAATACCTGAAATATATGTCATCTTTCTGTTGACAAAGCTTGGCTACGTGGTCAATATTGTGCCAGCTGAATTCATGAGTATAGTGTCTTTTAAAATCAAATAGACCTGGAGTAAGGCCATTAGACATCAACCAATCCAAATCACCGTCTTCCCCCTCTTCCCACTGGAACAAAAGATGAGCGCAGCAAGGCCCAGAGAAGGAGGACACCATGCCCAGAGTCAGAAGTGGTTGGGTTCAGAGGCAGGGATGAAAGCCAGCCCCCTCATTCCTACTCTAGAACCTCTCCTCTTGCACTGTGCTACAGGAGTAAGTACTAAATAGCTATTTACTATTAATCAGAAACCCATGAAGCAAAACAAAACAAAAACGTTTCCTCTTTGGGCCCAGCAAAATGACCTCTTTATTTGGGTCACTGCCTGTTGCCACACTGGCCAGCTGCAGAACCTCAGCATTTATCTTTGACTTGTCTTACAGGTTTGTGATCACCCGGCCAGCCAATGAGTTCAAGCTGCTGCCTTCAGATCTTGTGTTTTGTGCCATACCCTTCAGCACTGCTTGTTATAAAAGGAATGAAGAGTTCTCATTGCAAAAGTCATATGAAATTGTAAATAAAGCATCACAGACAACAGAGACACATTCAGACACAAATTGTCCTCCCACCATTGATTCAGTTACTGAGACATTGTATTCACCAGTCTATTCTTACCAGCCGAGAACTAACTCCCTCTCTTTTCCTAAGCAAATAGCATGGAATCAGAGTAGAACAAACAGTATTATATCATCTCAGATACCTTTAGGTGACAATGCAAAAGAAAATGAAAGGAAAACTTCAGATGAGGTTTATGATGAGGATCCCTTTGCATATTCAGAGCCACTATAGACCTGCCCATATTCTTCACGTGCTCTTAACTTGCTGCTTACAAATCATCTCCTGAGATGCTAACTTTGAACAAAGAAAATAAGAATGGAAGCATGCCATTTTTCTGCCCATTGCTTAGTGGTTCATGAAGGCCACACTGTTTTGGGTGAGACAAAAGTCTAATGCCACTGGATCTTGTGTGATAAATAAAGAAATATATGATCAATGCTTCTGTAAGGAAAGTTCATTGCTCCTGAGTAGAAAACATGTTAATTTGAGCTGCATTAAAGAAGTCCTCCAGTACTTGCTGGATTCCCCAGGTCAGGAAATACAGGTAATCAAGATAAAAATGAGAATTACTCAGACATAGGAAGGAAGTAAAGAGACCCCCTTCAGTCAAGAATCTTACATTTTCTTTTATCCCAGAACAGGCAAATAGTAAACTAGTATATATTTCCCTCTTTCCCTCCCCATCGTATTTTTCGTTATTCCATTGTATTTTTATTTCATTTCTTTTTATAGGAGTTGAGAAGCACCAGATGAGGAGATGTGACTGGAATTGGAAAACAATTTGTCTATAAGACCTGGGCATATGCCTGGAACATAGTAGAGGTTTCATAAAAATGAATGTTAGAGTACCCTGGGATAGGGTGCCTGAGTGAAATAAGATAGATTAAAGTATGTAACCTTCCAAATTATCTAATTCAAGAACAGAGATATCATTGCATAAAAGGTCTGAAACATTTCGCTATTCCATATTCCAAAGCAAACCAATCCACTGCTCTATAAACTTTATCTTACAATTAAGTCATTTCACCTAGAGGTTACTGTTTACATTGTAAACAAAAGTTCAGCATATCTAGGATGTATCCACTCCCAATTGGTTGTCTTACAATGATGAACTTTGTAAACAAGCTCCTTGCATTATCAATACAACAAAGGTAGAAGGGGGGTGGAGGGAGAAAGAAAATAATTAACCATTTCTCTTAAATTGTTTTACATAACATTTATTGTTATGTAAATTGTTTACATAACATTTATAATATCCTTGACATTTTTAACAATATCTTTGCTGGTTTGGTTTTATTGCTTCTGTTTTACAGGGCAAGAAACTATGTCACAAATAGTGTTGCCAGATCAAATAAACATGCCCAGTTAAATATAAATTTCTGATAAAAGAATAAATAATATTTTTACTATAAGTATGTCCAAATTATTCCATTCAGCTAGTAAGTGATTGAATCAACATCCAAACCTGGTTTATTTCACTCCAGCACTTGTAGACATTATACTTTGAAATACACTAATAAAGAAAATAAAACAAACTAAAGAAACACAAAAATATCCATCGAGAGGAAATAAAATTTTGCATCAGTTAAGCTTTGGTTGTAAAGAAATCAACTCAATCTATGTGGAAAATAGAGTGATTGTAAGGAAATTTGTCAGGAACCAAGGAAATTTAAAAATTTTTTTTGAAGTCTCCCAAAGTCATTTTCATCCTTCCTCCTTTTCAGGTAGACTTTGCTTTTCCATATATATGGCAAGATATATCTTTCTGCAATTCCAAATTTATAGGTAGAGTTCTAGGCATATCAAAGCTTTAACTGACTGTCTCTAAATCCCAATCCTAATTTTTAAAAGTATTTGATGGGCTCAGCTTTGGCCACTCCATTCCAACTATTAACGGCTGAGGATCAGGGTGCCTCTGAATGAAGGACTGTGCTCAGGGGAGGGAGGAGGGTCCATGGCCTGGGATGAAGTGACACCAAAACCTATTGCAAAGACAGTATTAGTCCCTTTTCCCCATTCCCCTGGCCAGTCTGTACACATAGCAGGTTTAGTAGAGACAAAATGTTCCCGAGAAAGAAATTATGGATTGGCTCTATGGATATTCAAAATCCAGTATTTTAAGGAAATGAGTACTGGAAATCTGGCTAAGGAAATATCTGTTGCAACTACAGCCAGTGTATGAGCATTCATATTGTCAGTATTGATAAATGAAGTTGGCAGAGTATCCCTAAATTTATGTGCCAAGTGATTCTATAGCTCCAGAACCCAACTCTTCACCTGTAAGTGACAACATTTTAATAATACAAATCATAAACACCAAGTTCTTTGGCAATATGGTGGATATTTAATCCATAATAATTGTTTGATTCTTGTTAATAGAAGAACTGATATGAAGACAAGGGAAAACATACAAGGAATTTAGTTCACAAACAATATGGGGACCAGAAGTTCTTAAGTTTTTTGACACTTTAATACTTTCAAAATTGGATGACAGCTACAGACTTCCTCCCCAGAAAAATTTACATATGCATATATTTCACAAAATTCCTCATGTAAGTGGGAAGAAGGACATGGATCACACTATAGTCTATTTATTATCTTTCAAAATCCCTGATACAGACTTTTTATAATCAGCAGAGTGGTCACCAGATAGAACATAGGAGAGGGGAGTCAAGAGACCTGAGTACATGCTTTGGATATCTCATTAAAGATTTTTTGTTTGTTTGTTTGTTTGTTTGTTTGTTTGTAATATTGGGCAAGGTCTTAAAACCTTCCTCAGCTTATTTTACTGTTTGCAAAAGGATAAAGTTGAACTAGAAGATGCTGAGCATTACTTCCATCTTCGTTTATTCAACACATTTTTTTTCACTTCGTACTATGTATCAGGCACTGTGCTAGATGCCAAGGATAGAGCAGTAACCAAGACAAAGTTGCTTTCTCCATGAAGCATACATTCTAGTTGAAGGAGGCAGAAAATAAGAAAGAAATCTAGCATTGTTAGAGCATAGTGAATAAACCAGAGGAAACGTTACATGAGATGAGACTGGAAAGATAGGCAGGACCTAATTAATAAAGACTCTATAGACAAAAAAGATTACATTTGATTCTAAGTGTGATGAGAAGCTCTTTAACAATTTTAAATACTGGAGTGAGTGATGCGATTTACTGCTGATCCATGAGCAACACGAGTTTGAACTGCATGGTATACAGCTATTCATCCTCTCTTGAGACAGCAAGACCAATCCCTTCTCTTCTTACTCCTCCTCAACCTACTCAATGTGAAGATGACACCTCCTCAACCTACTCAATGTGAAGATGACAAGGAAGAGAAGTTTATGATGATCCACTCTCACTCAGTAGTAAATGTATTTTCTCTTCCTTATTATTTTCTTAATAATATTTTCTTTGCTTTAGCTTACTTTATTTTAAGAATTCAGTACATAATAGATATAACATACAAAAATGTGTGTTAATCAACTGTTTATGTTATTGGTAAGGCTTCTAGTCCAGAGTAGGCTATTAGTAGTTAAGTTTGAAGGGAGTCAATATTTATATGTGAATTTTTGACTGTGTGGCAGGTTGGGGCTCCTAACCCCTGTATTGTTCAAGGGTCAACTGTATATTTTTCAAAGATTACTGTGGCACTTAGGGTTTCAGAAGTATAACTAACTGAATTCAAATGGATTTTCTCTCTGCTAGAAACACTCAGAAATGCTAGGTAAACTATAATAAATTTTAAATATATATATAGCAGTTCCTTTTTTTTTTTTTGAGATGGCATCTCGCTCTGTCACTCAGGCTGGAGTGGAGTGCAGTGTCATAATCTCGGCTCACTGCAACCTCTGCCTCCCAGTTTCAAGTGATTCTCCTGCCTCAGCCTCCTGAGTATCTGAGACTACAGGCACCTGCCACCACACCCAGCTAATTTTTGTATTTTTAATAGACGGTGTTTCACTATGTTGGCCAGGGTGGTCTCGAACTCCTGACTTCAAGTGATCTGCCCACTTCAGCCTCCCAAAGTGCTGAAATTACATTGTAGGAATTACAGGCATGAGCCACCACACCTGGTCTATAGTAGTTATTTAAAAAGAAAGAAAACTCCCAGGCAGAAGTAGGAGGGAAGTCATAGCCAGAGAGGGTGTCTGTGAGAGATACAGGACTAATATGTAGGACTGTTTAGTCAGTGGCTGGGATTATGATGTCATGGGGGAGCCATAAGATGAGATGGGAACTGAGAACCAATATAACTTTAAGCTGGGAAGGACCAGCCCATGTGAGCAAGAAGCAATAGATAGCCTCCTTCCACTGGCCAAAAGAGGACCAAGAACATTTATCTTTGCTTAGGAATCTGGGTATGAAAAACACCTATCATGAGAAATTGAAGCCCCAAGCTCATATAATGTGCTGATGTAATATTCAAATTTATGCCATGTGTGGCAGAAATTTGAAACTGAAAATGTAATAAAGAAACATCCAGTTCCAAACGAGTAACACTCTTGAAATGACATGAAAAAACAAGAAAACATGACACTACCAAGGAAACAAAATAATTATCTAGGAACAGATCACAAATAAAAGGAAATATACAAAATGCTACAAAAGGAAATCAAAATGATAATCTTAAAGACATGTGGTAAAACACAAGAGAATAAAGGTAGGCAATTTGATGAATCAGGAAAAATACCCATGATCTAAATGAGAAACTCAACAGAGATAAATACCATAAGAAAGAACCAAACAGAAATCTTAGTGCAGAAGAACTTAATGAATAAAATAAAAATGTCCAGAGCTTCTATGAAATACTAGACCAAATAACAGAAAGACTTTCTGAACTGGAAGACAGATCTTTTGAAATAATGCAGACAGACGTAAAAGAAAAAGAAAAAAGAACTTAAAAGAATGAAGAAAGTCTATAGGATTTATGGGGCACCAGTAAGCAAACAAATATTCATATTATATGAGTTCCAGAAAGAGAATAGACAGGAAAAGTCATAGGAAGCATACAAAATGAAATAATAGCTGAAAACTTGCCAAGTCTAGGGAGAGAGATGGACATCTGTTCCAGAAACAACAAAAATCCCCAAATACCTTCAACTCAGACAGATCCTCTCTGAGGCATGTTATAGTCAAATTTTCTTTAGTCAAAGAATTCTAAAAATAGCAAGATAAAAATGTGAAGTCACATATAAAGGAATCTCCATTAGACTAATGCAGATTTCTCATCAGAAATCTTACAGGTCAAAAAAAATGGGATTATACAGTCAAAGTGCTGAAAGAAAATAAATCTGCCAACCAAGAACACTGTATCCAGCAAATCTATTCTTCAGAAATGAAGTAGTCTTTCCCAGACAGGCAAAGACTGAGGGAATTTATCACCACTGGACCAGTCTTACAAGAATCACTTAAGAGAGTCCTACATTTGGAAGTAAAAAGGCAATAACAATCATCATGAAAACACAAAAAAATTCTAAAACTCACCTGTAAAGCAGATACAAAAAGAAAAAAGGAATCAAATCTTATTGTGACAGAAAAACCACCAAACCACAATGAAAAACAATAATAGAGGAGGAAATTTTAAAAGGATATACAAAACAACCAGCAAACAATAAAATGATAGGAGTAAGTCCTCCCCTATCAATAACTTTGATGTAAATTGATTTCCCAATTAAAAGACATAGACTGGCCAAATGGGTTGAAAAAATAAACAGGCATGACTATATGCTGCCTATGAGAACTAAATTCACCATATGGACACAAATAGACTGAAAGTGGAGTGATGAAAAAAGATATCCCTTGGAATATCAAATGGGTACAAAAAGCAAGCAGGAGTAGCTACATTTATGTCAGATAAAACAGACTTTACATCAAAAACTGTAAAAAGAGACAAAGAAGAATATTATGTAACAATAAAGGGATCAATTCAGCAAGTGTATATAACAAATGAAAATATATAGGCATTAACACCAGAGCACCCAGGTATATAAAGCAAATATTATTATATCTAAAGAGTGAGAGACATTCCAGAACAATAATAGTTGGGGACTTCAACATCCCATTCTCAGCATTAGACAGATCATCTAAACAGAAAATGAACAAAGAAACACCAAATTTAAGGTGCACCATAGGCAAAATTGACCTAACACATTTATAGAAGTTTTCACCCAATAGCTGCAGAATACACATTCTATTTCTCAGCACATGGAATATTCTCCTAAATTAACTATATGTTATGAAAAAACAAGTCTCAAAAATTAAAAAAAAATTAAAATCATACCACGTATTTTTTTTCTGACCACAATGGAAAAAAGCTAGAAATCATTAACAAGAATATTCAAAAATATACAAATACATAAAAATTCAACACCATATTTATGAGTAACCAATGAATCAAGGAGGAAATTAAGAAGAAAATTTAAAATTTCTAGAAACAAATTGACATAGGAATACAACATACAAAAACCTATGGGACACAAAAAAGCAGTATTAAGAGACAGGTTTATAGTAATAAATAAATGCCTACATTGAAAAGTAGAAGTATTTCAAATAAACCACCTAAGAAGGCACTTCAAGGAACTAGAAAACAATAACAAACCAAACCCAAAACTAGAGAAGGAAAGAAGTAATAAAGATCACAGCAGAAATAAACAAAACTGAGACTATCACATCACATAAACAAAACATAAAATAAAACCACATCATCATCTCAATAGATGAAGAAAAGACTTTCAATAAAATTTAACATCCCTCATGTTAAAAACCCTCAACAAACTAGGTATAAAAGGAACATACCTCAAAATTACAAGAGCCATCTATGACAAACACACAACCAACATCACATTGAATGGGCAAAAGCTGGAAGAATTCACCTTGAGAACTGAAATGAGACAAGGATGCCCTGTCTCACCACTCCTATTCAACATAATACTGGAAGTCCTAGCCAGAGCAATCAGGTAAGAGAAAGGAATAAAAGGCATGCAAATAGGAAGAGGGGAAGTCAAACTATCTTTCTTCACTGATGATATCATACTACAACTAGAAATACCCATAGTATTTGCCCAAAGGCTCCTAGAACTGAAAAACAACTTCATTAAAGTTTCAGGATACAACATCAACTTACAAAAATCAGTAGCATTTCTATACATC
The DNA here is from genome assembly GCF_000001405.40 of Homo sapiens. Classification (NCBI taxonomy): domain Eukaryota; kingdom Metazoa; phylum Chordata; class Mammalia; order Primates; family Hominidae; genus Homo; species Homo sapiens. The sequence continues at coordinate 36,942,833 of NC_000008.11, forward strand.
AATAATATTTAGGCTGAGAGCCAAATCAAGAATGCAATTCCATTCACAACTGCCACAAAAAGATTAAATACCTAGGAATGCAGCTAAGCAGGGAGGTAAAAGATCTCTACAGGGAGAATTACAAAACACTGCTGAAAGAAATCATAGATGACACTAACAAATAGAAAATCATTCCATGCTTACGGATAAGAATAATCAATATTCTTAAAATGGCTATACTGCCAAGGGCAATTTACAGACTCAATGCTATTTTTATTCAACTACCAACATCATTTTTTTCACAGATTTAGAAAAGACTATTCTAAAATTAATATGAAACCCAAAAAGAGCTTGAATAGCAAAGCAATCCTAAATAAAAAGAACAAAGTCAAAGGCATCACATACCTGACTTCATACTATTCCACAAGGCTACTGTAAACAAAACAGCATGGTACTGGTACAAAAACAGACACATAGACAAATGAAAAATGATAGAAAGCCAAAAAATAAAGCTGCACACCTACAACTATCTGAGCTGGAACAAAGATGACAATAACAAGCAATGGGGAAAAGACTCCCTATTCAATAAATGGTGCTAGAATAACTGGCTTGCCACACGCAGAAGATTGATAATGGACCCCTTATTTTACCATATGCAAAAAAATCAATGCAAGACAGATTAAAGACTTAAATGTAAGACCTGAAACTATAAAAATCCTGGAAGTAAACCTAGGAAATACCATTCTAGACATAGGCTTTGGCAAAGATTTCAGAACGAAATCCCCAAAAGCAATTGCAGCAAAAACAAAAATGGACAAGTTGGACCTAAGTAAACCAAAGAGCTTCTGCACAGCAAAAGAAATTATCAGCATAATAAACAGCCTACATAATAAGAGAAAACATTTGCAAACTATGTATTAGACAAAGGCCTAACATCTAGAATCCATAAGAAACAAATCAACAAGAAAAAAACAAGCCCATTTAAAAATGGGCAAAGAACATGAACAGACACTTCTCAAAGAAGGCATACAGGTGGACAACAAGCATACGAAAAAAATGCACAACATCACTAATCATTAGAGAAATGCAAATCAAAACCACAGTGAGATACCATCTCATACCACTCAGATGGCTATTATTAAAAAGTCAAAAAATAGCAGATGCTGGCAAGGTTGCAGAGTAATAGGAATGCTTATGCACTGCTGTGGGAATGTAAATTAGTTCAGGCACTAAGGAAATAAGTTTGGGTATTTCTCAAAGAACTTAAATGAGAACTACTATTCGACCAGCAATCCCATTACTGGCTATATGCCCAACGGAATATAAATCATTCTACCAAAAAAATCATAAACTCATATATTTATTGCAACACTATTTACAATAGTAAAGACACGGAATCAACGTAGATGCCATCAATGGTGGGATGGATAAAGAAAATGTATATATGCACCATGGAATACTATGCAGCCATAAAAGAATAAACTCATGTATTTAGCAGCAACATGGATGCAGTTGATGGCCATTATCCTAAATGAATTAATTTAGGAACAGAACACCAAAGTACTGCGTGTTCTCACTTATAAGTGGGAGCTAAACATGGAGTACCCATGGGCACAGAGATAGGAACAATAGACACCACAGCCTGTTTGAGTGGGGAGGGTGGAAGGAGGATGAGGGTGGGAAAACTACATATTGGGTACTATGTTCACTATTGGGTAACAAAATCATTTGTACACCAAACCCCAGTGACATGCAAGTCACCTATATAGCAAATCTGCACATGTACCCCCTGCACTTAAAAGTGTAAAATAATAATAATTTTTTGAAATTTTTTTTGAAAAATCTTTAGCTATACTAAGAAAAAAAGAGAAAACTCAAATTAATAAAATCAGAAATGAAGAAAAATGTTACACCTGATACCAACAGAAATAGAAAGAATCACTAGAGGCTATTACTAACAACTACAGACCAAAACATTTGAAAATCTAGAGGAAATGGATAAATTCCCAGATATATACAACCTACCAAGATTGAACCAAGAAAATATAGAAAACTGAAACAGACCAATAATGAGTAATAAGGTTGAATCAGCAATAAAAAGTCTACAAAGGGGCCGAGTGCAGTGGCTCATGCCTGTGGTCCCAGCACATTGGGAGGCAGAGGCGGGCGGATCACGGGGTCAGGAGATCAAGACCATCCTAGCTAGCATAGTGAAACCCCGTCTCTACTAAAAATAAAAAAATTAGCCCGGCGTGGTGGCAGATGCCTGTAGTCCCAGCTACTTGGGAGGCTGAGGCAGGAGAATGGCGTGAATCTTGAGCCGGGATCACGCCACTGCACTCCAGCCTGGGCTACTGAGGGAGACTCCGTCTCAAAAAAAAAAAAAAAGTCCCCAAAGGAGAAAACCCAGGACCAATGGCTTCACTTCTGAATTCTACCAAACATTTTTTAAAAAGCTAATACTAATTCTTCTTAAATTATTCCAAAAAACTGAAGGGAGGCTAATTCTTCCAAATTCATTCTGCAAGGCCACTTTAACCCTGATACTAACACCAGATAAAGACACAACAACAACACTACAGGCCAATATTTCTGATGAACATAGATGCAAAAATTCTCAAAAAAACCCTAGCAGATTGAATTCCACAGCACGTCAAAAAGATTATACACGATAATCAAGTGAGATTTACCTCAGGGATGCAAAAATGGTTCAACATATGCAAATCAATAAATGTGATATAACTCATCAACAGAATGAAGAACAAAAACAATATGATCGTTTCAATAGATGCAGGAAATATTTGATATAGTTCAGGATCCTTTCATCAAAAAAACTCTCAATAAATTAGGTGTAGAAAGAATGTACCTGAACACAATAAAGGCCACATATTATAAACCCACAGCTAACATTATATTTAATGGGGAAAAGATCAAAGCTTTTCCTCTAAAAACTAGGACAAGACAAGGATGTTCACTCTCTCCATTCTAATTCAACATAGTACTAAAGGTCCTAGCCAGAGCAATTAGGAAAGAGAAATAAATAAAGAGCATCCAAATTGGAAAATAGGAAATACAATTGTTCCTGTTTGCAGACAACATAGTAATATATATAGAAAAACCTGAAGACTCCAGCAAAATACTCTTAGAACTGATAAACAAATTCAGTAAATTTACAGGACACAAAAACAACATTAACAATCAGTAGTGTTTTTACACACCAACAAACTAGTTGAAAAATAAATTTTAAAAAAATCCCATTTACAATAGCTAAAAAAAGAAAAACCTAGGAATAAGTTTAACCAAGGAGGTGAAAGGTGTCTACCAGGAAAACTATAATACACTGATAAAAGAAACTGAAGATGTAAGCAAATGGAAATCCCACATTCATGACCTGGGAGAATTCATTTTGTTAAAATGATCATACTACCCAAAACAGTCTAGGGATTTAATGCACTCTCTATCAAAATACCAATGACATTTTTCACAGAAATAGCAAAAACAATTCTAAAATTTGTATGGAACCACAAAAGTTCTCAAATAGCCAAAGCAATCCTGAGCAAAAGGAGCGAAGCTGGAGGCATTATACTACCAGACCTCAAAATATACTACAAAGCTATGCATGATAAACAAAAGAGCATTGTATTGGTATAAAATGGATACATAGATTAGTGAAATGAAATATATAACCCAGAAATAAATGGATACATAGATCAGTGAAATGAAATACATAACCCAGAAATAAATACATGTATTTACAGCTTACTGATTCTTGACAATGGCACTAAGAACATTCATTAGGGAAAGGACAGTCTCTTCAACAAGTGATGCTGAGAAAACTGTATATCTATATGCATAAGAATGAAACAAGACTCCTATCTCTTACCTCATACAAAAATCAACTCAAAATGGAGTAACGACTTAAATGTAAGACCCAAAACTATAAAACAACTAAAATAACAAAGGATAAATTCTTCAGGACATTGGTATGAAAAATGATTGTATAAATAAGACCTCAAAGGCACAGGCAACAAAAGCAAAAATAAACAAATGAGATTATATCTAACTTAAAAGTGTCTGCACAGCAATGAAAACAATCAATACAGTGAAAAGATAACCTACCGAATGGGAGAAAATATTTGCAAACTATTTATTTGACATGAGATTCATATCCAGAATGTATAAGAAACTCAAGAGAAAAAAAAAGTCATCAGGTTAAAAATACAGCAAATAATCCAAATAGACATTTCTTAAAAGAAGACATGCAAATGGCTAACAAATATATGAAAAAATGCTCAACATCACTAATTATCAGGGAAATGTAAATCAAAACCACAATGAGATACCATCTCAACCCACTTAGAATGGCTACTATCAAAAAGACAATAAAAAACAACAACAAATGCTGGTGAGTGTGGGGAGAAAGGGACCTCTTATACGCTGTTTGTGGGAATATAAACTAGTATACCTATTATGTAGAACAGTATGGAGATTCCTCAGAAAATTAGTACAAGAACCATATGATCCAGCAATCCCACTGCTGGTTATATATCCAAAGGAAAGGAAATCAGTATGTTGAAGAGATGGCTGCACTCCCATGTTGTTTGCAACACTGTTCACAAAAGTAAAGATATGGTATCAACCTAAGTGTCCATCAATAGATGAACAGGTAAAGAAAACGTGATGGATATCAACAATGAAGTACTCTTCAGCCATTTTTTAAAAAGAATAAAATCATGTCATTTATGGCAACATGATTGAGCCTGGAGGACATTATTTTAAGTGAAATAAACCAGGAACAAAAAAATACCGCATGTTCTCACTCACATGCAGAAGCTTCACAAGTTGATTTTATGGAAGTAAAGAGTAGAATAGAGGTTACCAGAGGGTGAGAAAAGGAGGGGGTGGGAGTGGGGTAGAAAGGAATTGGTTAAGGATACAAAATGACAGCTAGATAGAAAGAATAAGTTATATTGCTCTATAGCACTGTAGGATGACTATAGTTAACAGTGCATTATTATATACTTTCAAATATGTATAAGAGAGGACTTTAAATGTTCCCAACACACACAAAAAATGATAAATATTTGAGATGATGGATGGGCTAATTACCCTAATTTAATCACTATACATTTTATGTATTGAAACATCACTATGTACACCATGAATTGTACAACAGGCAAGGTGGCTCACTCCTCTCATCCCAGCATTTTAAGGGAGGCTGAGGTGGGAGGATAGCTTGAGCTCAAGAGTTTGAGACTAGTCCAGGCAGCAAAGCAAGACCCTGTCTCTAGAAAACAAACAAACAAAAATTAGCCAACTGTGGTGGTGTGCACCTGCTGTGCACCTGGTGTGGTCCCAGCTACTTGGGAGGCTGAGGTGGGAGGACTGCTTGAGTCCAGATCAAGGCTGCAGTGAGCTATGATTGCACCACTGCACTGCAGCCTGCACAACAGAGTGAGACCCTGTCTTAAAAAAAACAAGCAAACAACAAACAGAAAATAACAAGTGTTAGCAAGGACATGGAGAAATTGGAACCCTTGTGCACTGTTAGTGGCAATGTAAAATGTTGTAGCCACTATGGAAAACAGTGTGGAAGTTCTTCAAAAAGTTAAAACTTGAATTACCATATAATCCAGTAGTCCCACTTCTGATTATCCAATAAAAATGAAAACAGTATCTCAAAGGGATATTGCATATGCCCATGCTTATTGCAGCATTATTCACAATAGCTAAGAAGTGAAAGCAACTTAAATGTCCATCAGCAGATGAATGGATAAAGAAAATGTGGTATAGGCATACAATGAAATATTATTTAACCTTAATAAGAAAGAAAATACTGTATCCATGCTACGACATAGACAAACCTTGAGGATATTACACTAAGTGAAAGAAACCAGCTACAAAAAGACAAATACTGCATGATTCCACTAATATATGGCATCAAAAGTCAAACTCTTAGAGAGTAGAATGGTGGTTGCAAGTGGCTGGGGTAGAGGGTAAAGGGGAGTTTGTTTAATGGGTATAGAGTTTTAGTTTTGCAAGATGAAAAAGTTCCCAAGATCTGTTGCACAACAGTGTGCATATAGTTAGTAATACTTTACTGTAAACTTAAAAATCGTTAAGGTGGTAAATTTCATGTTATGTGTTTTTGACCACAATAAAATAAATTGTTACATACATATAAATTAGTAGAAAGAAGTGAATTTGTAACTTTATATGCATATGTAGGAATAGATGAAATCTTAAAAATTAATAAGCTAGTCGTTCAATTTATTATAGTAAATAAGAGAAAGAATGGTGGAGTAAACTGACATAAGTCTAAAGGAATTTTGCATCGGTCTTCATATTTCCCAACAAACTTGTCTGGAACAGGAAACCAGAACACAAATCAAGACTCTGCTTCACTCAGTAGCTAACCATTTGTTATTTTGAGAAATAGGGAAAACATCCTCCATCAAATGATTGTTTTGTTTAAGTAGCCTAAAGAAATATTGGAGCAACATTTGAACAGAACTGAAGAGTAGGGTAAGATGAAGAAGCTGGAGGCAATACATGAAAATCTCTTTAAGATGTGCTGTTCAAAATATGGTCCCCCAACCAGCAACATCTATGTTATCTGAAAGCGAGCCCCATCCCTGGCCTATTGAATCAGAATCTGGATTTTAACAAGATTGATAAATGATTTATACATTAAAGTTTGAAAAGTAATATTTTCAAGGGATATATACATATGCATGTATTTATGCAATATATGTGTGTCATATAATACACATGCACACATACATATACCAATATATATACACATATATGCATACACATATAAATACAGACACACACACAGTGGTTTCTGAAAAAAAGATCTGGAGGTTTGGTTTCAATGAAAACTACCTCCATTATAGTAACATATACATGTGAATGTGTGTATGCAATATATATGTGTCATATAGTACACATACACACACATACACAAATATATATACACAAATATGCATATGCATATAGATATAGATACACACACACAGTAGTTTATGAAAAATTAAAAAGATCTGGAGGTTTGGTTTTAATGAAACGACCTCCACCAACATTCTGCTATTTGGCATGTTAACTTCTATTTAAGACATATACCAACACCTCCAATTAATTATAAAATTCTCAAGCTGCATACCTTCAAACCATAAAGGAGTTAAGGAAGGTTAAACTTCAATGAGGTTGATGTATATTTTCCTGGAGGAAAAACAACTTACAGCTCAAAACTTAGGCGTTGTTTCTTCCAGGCCAAAGAAACACAAGAGACAGAGCTCTGAAAGTCATCTCAAGTCAGTTCCTTGATTTGCATGCACAGGGCGCTCTGAACAGTGAGAAGGAAAGGAGGCAGTGAGAAGAATGAAGGGCTGCTGGGGATGGGAGGGAGCCAGCGAGGAAAGGCCCTAACACTAATTAGGTTTGAAAGACTACAGGATGAGGCCAGCCACGGCATGCTGAGAAGAAAGGAACCTGAGCAGCTGATGCTAAGTTCAGACTAAACTAGCTGCAAGTCCCCTGGGGACGTCCCAAGGTAAACCTGATCGTCTCTGTCATTTACAATCATTATCAGGCAGGCTGCTTCTGTAATTTTACTGGTGAGCCAATTAATAGATCCCTGAAGCTAGCGGGGAAATGTCCAAGCCCTCCTCTTGTTTTTGAAAACAAAAAATAAGGCAGCCCCTGTGCTGCTGTCTTCTGAGTGCTGCTTTTTCTAAAGGCAGGAAAGATGACTTCATACAATACAAATGCAGTGACTCCTCAGGTCAGGCGGATGGTGGGAGTCAGTCTTTTCTTCTGCCTTAATTTACTCTTTTCTCTAGCAACCTAAATTAGCCACCAGATAGCCCAGCAAGCCTTGCTTCCTCCTTTTCTGAGATACGGAAATGCTGACCAGCTCTTTTACTCTTCTTTGCCTTCAAGAAAATGTCTTTGCAGCATTTCATCTGGCAAGAAAATGGGAAAGGCCAGCTTATGTGCTAAGGAGGCAGTAAAGAAGGACCACTCTTCTGTTTATTGCTCAACGACACGATTTTCTCCTGCCCCCATCCTTTCTCTTGCCTTCTCGTCACAAACTTGGTAACTAGTTGTCTATATTCAGTACTTTATTTCAGCATCTCTGATTCACTACTCAAACCACCCAAGCTGGCTATAAATCTACTAAGAATGCTCTTCCTAAGATCACCAATGACATTTGTGTCACTCAGGATACTAGAATATTTCGTGCTAGCCTGACTTGAATGAAGCCTTAGCAGGACTCAGTACAGTTGATCCTCCTTCTCCAACCTGAAACACTGTCTTCCCTCGACTTCCATGATATAACAATCGTCTAGTTTTTCTTTCACTTCTCTGGCTGTGCATTCTCACATTACTTTTGATTCTCCTTTTCTACAACATAATTAAGTACTGGAATCACTCAAAGCTTGATCATGGACTGTCTTCTTTTTTCACTCTCAGGGATCCCTTAGTTAGGCAGACAAAAAAAATACTGGAGAGCATATAACTGAAATGAAAAAGACAGGAGCTACTTGCCTCTAGCCTTTGCTGTCATGCAAGAATGCAGGCTCAAAGTTGCTAGATTTTTTTTTTTAATTTTTAAGAGAAACTGGCAATTCTGATATTTATATGACATTATCCTTTCAAATTTTAGATTATGACTGTGAAAGAGTAGCTGTAGCAGACCAACCCTCACTCCAAGAAAAAAATTAAAACTAGATAAACATTTTTAAAATTATCTATTTGAAGTAATCAGAGAGCAACGAAGTCAGTAAGACCTTGAAAGGCTACAATCCAAGTAAAAAGAAAAACTTTGAGGTAAGCTCACCATTTTCTGCCACTTTTTCCTTAGGGCATCTTTCAGTTAGTACGTGGTACTGGACAAGAGATCAGGTTGAACTGTAAGGCTCTAGTTTTCAGCAGACTCATGGTCCTGGGAGAAAGAAAACAACTGGACAGGGGGCTATCAAGGTAGCCAGGTTTTGAGGGGACTCAGTTCAGGAGAAAAGAACTGGAAAGCAGGTCCTGTGCTGCTTTTCTCCTTGAGAAATTTATTCCCAATATTTTCAGCATGAGAGGGTGAGCACCTAAGAAAAAAGCATTAGCTAAAAAGCTAGAAAGGTAAGCAGAGCTTTTGCCCTTCTCATAGTGCTAGAAAGATGAAAATTGGCATTCAAATCCTGGAAAGGGGAATAGACCCCCAAAACCATCTCTTGTTTCCACTGGGGTCCTCAAAAGGCCCTACTTTAGGATTACATCAAACTAGGAATGGAGCACTTCTCACAACATCTGAAATCCAGTTCAGTGTCTCCTGTTCCCTGACTATATGAAGGTGATCAATTCCTACTGTAACTGCCTATAAGAAAAAAAAAAAGATAAATTCTCTCTGCTAGAAGTTAACATTATTCAGAGCTTTTCTATGCTCTTTATACACCGTATCAAGCACTCAAGAAAAATGGTTAGACTCAATATTATCTCTGCCTTTATTTACTCTTTAGGTAGGGCAGCAAACTTTGTTTTCTTCTTTTCTGAGTTACAAAAATGTTGGCCATCTCTTATTCCTTTTTTACCCCTGCAAGAAATAAATAGGTAAATAATTATCATGAATGGCAGCAACAGAGAAACTCAAAAAAATAATAATAAACCAGAAACCGAGAAAAAAATAGATAATGGAGATGGCCCACAGGCAATCTAGATATCATACATAAGACACGGACTTTAAAGTCACTCTAATTACCACGTTCAAGACATTGGATGACAAGATGGAGAAATTTACCAGAAAATGATCATTTATCCCAAAACTATTTTAAAAATACAAGAGGTAAAATTATAAATGTAAGAGACATGTTTAACAGTTGTTTGGGTAAAAAAGGAGGTAAAATTAGAGAACTGGAAAAAATGTTAGCAGAATAAAATCAGAGTATAGCATAGAGAAAAAAAGAAAACATGCATAAATATGTGTAGGAGACATGGTGATAAATGCCTAAAATGTAATTAGATCCCCAGAAAGACAGAAAAGAAAGAGCAAGTGGGATAGAATTTTATGGAAATACTAACCAAGAATTACTCTAAACTGAAGACATTGACCCAGGCATTCAAGAATCTTTTTGTACCTCATACATGAAAAAAAAGAACTCCTAAACACATCATGGTATAATTTCTTTGTATTAAACTAAAATAGAACATCTTAAAGACATCCAGACAAAAAAGACACATTATCCTCAACGAAGCTATGATAAAATTTATAGCTGACTTTTTAATTGAAACAATGAAAGTCATAGGTCAGTGGAATAAAACATTTTAAGGTTTGAAAAAGAAGAAAACTAACCGGCCAGCATCCTAGACCCAGTGAAAATATACTTTATAAATAAAGGCAAAATACAAACATTACCAGAAATACAGAAAGTGAAATAATTCATCACCTTATACTATATCAGACTTATACTATAAGAAACACCAAAGGGAATTCTTTAATCAAAAGAAGAGACCATAAATGGTAATATGGAAATACAGTACTGAATGAAAAGCAAAAAAAGTGGTAAATATATGGATAAATACAAATTAATACTGACTAAGGTAAATGATAGTAATTATCTTGTAAGATTTAAAATTTAAAAAAAGCATAGGAGTTGCTAAATGGAGGTAAAGATATCTAAGGTTTATGCATTGCTGGAAAATGATTGAAACACTGGTGAAAATGCTAATTCATAGTAACTTTATTAAGTGAAAGATACTCATTATAATTTACTGGGTAAGCATTAAAAGAATAATAAAAAGAATACATAATGAACTATAAAAAACAAAATGGAAAAAACTGTGATTGGTCAAAAGAAGGCAAAAGACAAAAAGAAAAAAGAAAAAAGCTACTAATAATCAAGTAGCAAGATGGTAGGCTTTAAAAATAAAAATAAACGATTTACTTAAAAAATAAAAACTTTCAGATTGACTAAACAGAATAAACAATCCCAATGTATATAATGCCAATGAGACACAGCTTAAATATATGGCACAAAAAGATTGAAAAAAATGATAGAAAAGCTTATACCATAAAAATAACAGAAAGAAACTTGGTATAGCTACACTAAGCAAATAACACAAACTTGAAGGTAAGAAACATTAATAAAGATATTCAGGGACATTTTGTAATAATAAATATGTTAATCCAATGAGAATGTTTAAAAATTCTAAATTATATTTACCTAATAATATGTTCTTAAAATATTTAAAACAAAAAATGACAGCAGAGACAGAAAAAATAAATACAAAAGGTAAAACATTTTAACAAACATCTCCTGGTAACTGGTAGATTAAAGAGGAAAAAAATCAGTAAAGATATGTAGGATTTAAGTAGCAAAATAGAATAAATCAACCTAATGGAAAAATATAAAACATGATATGCAACAACTGCTGAATGAACATTTTCTCCAAGGGCACATGGGATATTTACCATTTGATCATATTTGGATCATAAAGAACATCTCAATGAATTTCTAAGGACTGAAAATATTTAAAGTACATTTTCTGAGCACAGTAAAATTAAACTAAAAATCAATGTTTAAAAATCTAGAAAGCCTCTCAAATGACTTGAAATCAAGCAATATACTTCCAAAAAATCCATAAATGCAAGGAAAAAATAAGAAATTAGAATACATTGGGAATTGAATTACAATGAAAATATATGCAAAATTTAAGAAATGCTGCTAAAGCTATACTTAGGAAATTTATCATTTTAAATAGCTATATTCAAAAGAAAGATTAAAAATTAAGAATCTAAGTATCTTTCTCAATAAGTTATAAAAAGAAAAGGTATTCAAAACCAAAGAAACTGATAGTAAATAAATTATAAAGAACAGAATTTAATAAAATGAAAACAATACAACAAAGAAATTTTCAAAACCAAAAGTTGTATCTTTGGTAACATTAATCAAATTGGTTTACTCTATCAAAACTGACTAAGAAAAACATAGCAAAGCCATAAATGATCAATATTAGAACTTAAAAAGGAAACATTGTATAGATCTTACATATTAAGGAGATATGAACAAGTTTATATAATAAATTTGGCAACATGGATGAACTGGGAAAAATTCCCTGAAAAGTATAATTTATCAAAAATTATGCTTTCAGTATAAACAAAACATCTGGAGGTTTCTTGTATGAGTCAGAGTCCAGTAGGGAATGGAAATCTCACCACTAACTTAAAAAGAGATTTAATAAAATAAATTATAAACTGATACCAAAAGATTAACTGTTAAGAGGGGTAAAGAGAAGTCTGAAGAATAGAAGAACAGCATATTTAGGAAGTAGCCATTACCTGTCTCCTAGGGCTGAGGAGAAGTACACAAGAGCCCCCAAAGCTGAGCTGTGGGCATCATTGGGTGTGGCTGTGGCCCATTGGGTGCCAGAGAAATTGTTAAGGTGCCAATGGGTGGAACTTGTGAGCAAAAACCACCTCCTTGAGTGCAGGTGAAAATCACTAGAAACAAACCTATCTGGGTGACGTGTGACTTTCTGGGAAGCCCCCACTTGGGTGCCAACACAACTCACTGGGATGCCACCTGCTGAGGGGCTGATACAATTTCTAGGAAGCCACCCTCTGAGTTAAGTGAGAGTTAAATAGGTATTGCTAACCCCTACTTCATTCAAGCTTTTGAATGTGGCATTAGCTTCTGCAGCTCTCTCAGAGATGAGGGATTATTCCTGCTTTACTATCTTGGTAGGGAGGGGAAATTCCAGAGACTTTCACTTAGCACCTTTTACGATGATAGCACTCACACCCATGGGTCCAGAGTGCCATTGAGCAAATTCTGCCAATTCTCAAGTATGTCTGTTCCAACTACACACACAGGAACTACATGTGGGGGTGAGTCAACATGCCAGCTGGAGCCAATGAGAGAGGGATTCTGGCTATTACCTTATCACTATAAGCCTCCAGGTTGGCTAGGGGACCACAATGGCATTCTGGGGCCTTAGGAACTAGAATCAAAGCAGGGGCAATGTCTAGTAATTTTTTAAAGGTCTGAGTATTTCCTTTTCCCCAGGGTACAATTGTTTTAATAAATGGCCTGTTCCTAACCAGAGTTAATGTTTGTTTAAAAAAGATGGTGACATAAGCCTACATATAAATGGAGACATTTAGAGATTTTTAAGGAATAATAACATTTAAAGGAATGTCCATGAAAGAGAGAAAGAGAGAACAAAAGAACATAAAAAGACTCCAGGCTTAGGAACCACCCTTCGAAACTTGTGGTTTCATAGAATCTTTAATTTATTATGATTTTAATTCTGAGGAATAAAATCTTAGAAATAGTACAGAAAACATTTACGTTTCCATCATTTGTGAGTGATTGTTACCAGCATTTTGTCCTACTTCAATTTTGTAAATAAAAGAAGATATTACAGAAAAAATCTTAATTTTTTTTTTTTTTTTTTTTTGAGAGGGAGTCTTGCTCTGTTACCAGGCTGGAGTGCAGTGGCGCGATCTCGGCTCACTGCAACCTCCGCCTCCTGGGTTCAAGTGATTCTCCTGCCTCAGCCTCCCGAGTAGCTGGGACTATAGGCACGCACCACCATGCCCAGCTAATTTTTGTATTTTTAGTAGAGACGGGGTTTCACCATGTTGGCCAGGATGGTCTCGATCTCTTGACCTCGTGATCCGTCTGCCTCAGCCTCCCAAAGTGCTGAGATTACAGGCATGAGCCACAGTGCCCAGCCAACATTTTAAATTTTATTAGATCCCGAACCTAATCCCAATCTGTCCTCCTAATAGATGTGTATAAAGGTAACCATTACCATGAATTTAGTATATTTCCTTCTAATTTATTTTTAACTTTTACATACGTATATATTTGTGAATTATGTATACTTTTCAGTGTTTTTAATGTGCAAATATGGAATTTTACTCTTTTTATTCAACATATTATAGATCTGTTCATTGAGACATATATAAACTTAATCTATTTATCTACATTTTATCATCTTTTAAACATATTTAATACATTTAAAATAATATAAGTGATATGAATATTATGAAATACAAAATATAGTCAGCATCCTTGAGCCTCCCAACCAACCCAAGAATTAAAAAATTTTAATAACTTGCATCTATTTCTGCGTACCTTTTATATGGTTTTATCACATTTAAATGTGTATCTGAAATGGTTTTTTAAATTAGTTTTGGTGGGTTTTAAACCCTATTGTATTGTTTTAACACTTACCTTTTTCTCTCAACATTATGTTTCTAAGACTAATTTGTGATGTTTTGATATTTCTCATTCATTTATGCCAGTGGCTGTATAGTATAACCATTTCTAATGTCAATAGACATTTAAATTTTTGTTTTGTTTTATTCATCATTATAAACTCTTCTGTACATTTTTACTGATGTGGTACACATGTGCAATAGTATCAAGAGAATATATATCCAGAAATACAAAAATGTAATTGCAGGATTGTAGAATATGTGAATGCCTATCATTACATGATTTTTTTCCTTAAATTTTCTTCCTCTCTGGCTGCTTTTAATATTTTCTATTCATCAATGGTTTTGAATAATTTTATTATGAAATGTCTTAATATAGCTTTTTTCCTGTTTCTTGTAATTGATGACTCATTGAGTTTCTCATATCTGTGAGTTTAGAGTTTTCTTTCAATTTAGAAAAATTTTAACCATTATTTCTTGAATTTTTTGTTCTCTACCTCCCTTCAGGGACTTTGATTATGTGTATAATTAAACCTGTTGAAGTTTCATAACTATGATATATCCCTTCATTTATTGCGCTCTAAATTTGTCTCAAAATTTTTTGTAGTTTTTAGAGTACAAATCATGCACATATGTATCCCTATGTATTTCATAATTTTTGATATAGTGGTAATGGGTACTTTTAACATTTGAATTACAGGTTTTCTGTTGCTAGAATATAGTACTATTGATTTTTGTATATTAACTTTGTATCTGTGATGTTGTCATACTCACTTATTAGTTATATTAACATTTTCCAGATTCCTTGGGTATTTTTACATCAATACTTATGTCATCTTTGAATGAAGTTTGTTTTACTTATTCCTCTCTAATGTTTACACCTTTTTTCTTTAAGGCACTGTCTGGGACATCCAATACAATATTGGAAAGCAAAAATGACTTTTATTTCTTTAATTTCAGTATTCTAAAAACATTGTCTTCAGAGTTTCATAGTTTCTTATGGGAAATCTGTCTTTATTCCTCAGCATATGGAGTTTCTTTATTCTCTGGCTGCCTTTGTGACTTTCTCTTTATTTTTGATTTTCAGCAGTTTAACTATGATGTGACTAGGGGTGTGTGTGTATATGTCTGTGTGTGTGTGTGTGTGTGTGTGTGTTTACCTTAGTTGTAGTTCTCTGAAATTCTTAAATTTATGGTCTATTGTCTTTCATTAAATTTGGAAAATTTCAGCCATTATCTCTTTAAATATTCCTTTTGGCTTATTTTCTGTTTTCCATTCAGTATCCAATTACACATATGCTACTTATCTAATATTATCCCTCAGATTTTGGATACTCTGTTCAGTTTTTGTTTGTTTGTATATTTTTTATTTAACTATTTTTCTCCTTGTATTTCAGATCAAATCATCTCTTTGGTCTCTTTTTAAATTCCCTTATTCTTTCCACTCATGTATCAAACTTTTGATAAACCAGTCATTGAGATTTTTTATCTTTCATATTGTGGTTTTTTTAATTCTAGCATTTTTATTTGACCCCTTTCTTTGGCTTTCCTTTTTCTATTGACATTTTCTACTTGTGTATAATGTTAATATTTTCCATGAGTTATTTTAACATATATACCATTGTTATTTTGATGTCCTCATCTGATAGTTCCAACATCTAGGCCACCTCTAATTGTTTTGACTGCTGTATCTCTTGATAATTACTTTTCTTTTGATTATTTTCTGTCTCACAAGTCTTGATTGAATGCCAGACATTGTACGTAGAACAGCAGATGCTGAGGCCTATGTGCTAACTTTGTGTTGAAAATTATCTTTGAAAATTTTGTGTTGAAAATTAGCACATACCTTTTTCTTTCAGGTAAAGAGTTTGGGGTTTAGTTAACAATTCAGTGTATTTGGGTTTTGTTGTTGAAATAGTTACTTTGAAAGCCCTATGGACCTCAAATTCCTCCAGCAGCAGCTATTGTAACTTTGTGGTCAATGTTGTGTGTGGGGTGTAAGTTTGTGGTCAATGTTGGGCATGGGGTGTTGAAGGCTTTTCTTCTACTTCAATTTTAGCTTCTGTAGGTCTTGTTTCCCTCTACCACATAGAATATTTCTCTTTATGCTCTGTCTTTCCCCCAAGCAGTACTTTCCCCCAAGCAATGCTACTACTGGTTAACAGGTATACGATGTATGGAAGGAGCAGAGATTCTGGATTCTCCTGCTTCAGCCTCAGTTTTAGTCAGGCACTGCAAACTTGATGTCATGGTTAGGGTTTTCTCAGTATGACTGCCCCTTCCTTCTGTGGCTGCCAAACTTTGCCAGCTACCTATAGGGAGATCTTGGGCAAGAGAGCACTTCCTGCCCCTCCCCAGTGGTCACCAGCCTTTGGTTTGTAGCAATGCAACATCCTTAAACTCAGCAGGATTTTCCCCTTCCCAGTGGAAAAGAGTTCTTTCACTCTTCCCTCAATGCATTTCCCTTTGCCTCTCACTTATTACTCAGCACAAGGATTGTGCTTAAGGATATTTCCTACATCTCCCTTAGGAGCATACAGGTTTGACTTCTACTCTTATCTCAGCATCAGTTCACCTTTTCCTGGGACCCTGGACAGGAAGGTCTCTTAGCCCATTACCTAGGGTCAGAAGGCTTTTTTCCCCTGCTCCTACCCCAGAACAATGAATCTTTGCTTAGGCCTTTTCTTTGCTTAGGCCTTTTTGCTTAGGCCTTTTCTGCTTTCCCTCAAGCAGTTAAAGGTTTGTACTTTGCATGAGAGAAAGGGACTAGAGAATGAGGAGAGGTCTCATGCCTGTGCACCTCCAAGGAGTCTCTCTCAGATCTCCTGCTCTGTCCACAGTCTTTTGAATGAGCACCTGATGAAGGACCATAAAAAATAATTTTGTAGGGCATGCGGACTCCTCTTGTGTCTGAGGTTCTCAGGAAATCTCAATGTTATTCTGCCCCTTGGAATTACAAAATGTGGATGTTTATTCTTACCTACTATTATGTGGGTCACTTCTTCCTTCTGTGCTCTGCAAAGATGAAAAGATCTGTGTGTCTTGTCTTTGCTGAGAGGGTCTTGTCAGATTTTGGAATTTATGGCACCAAGTTGCCTCACATACTCAGCTCTCCATTGGTTTCTTGAAAAGTGATTGTTTTGTATATTACCTGGGGGTGGTTTATGCATTGTTATTAGCTTGAGGTTGATTTTTGTTTATGGCTTTCTAAATTCTAAGAAGAACCCCTGTAGTCTTTTTTATAAACATCTCAAATTAAACATCATCTTTACGATAATTTTATAAAGACAATGTTTATTTGGATTTACTGGAGATTTAACATTTTATATTTGTATCATATCATCTTCTTTATTATGGTAAGAATATTTAACATGAAATCTACCCTCCTAACAAATTTTTAAATGAACAATACATTATTGTTAAACATAGGCACAATGTTTTACAGAAGATCTGTAGAACTTAATCATCTTGCATAACTGAAACTTTATGCCCAGTGAATAGCAAATCCCTATTTCCCTGTTCCCTCAGCTCCTGGCAACCACCATTCTACTTTACATCTACATATTTGAATATTTTATATGCTTTATAGAAATGGTATCAGCAGTATTTGTCTTCTGTGACTAGATTATTTCACATAGGATAATGTCCTCAGGGTTTATCTGTCTTGTCACATACGGCAGAATTTCCTTCTTTTTTAAGGCTGGGAAATATTCTACTGTATGTATATGCCATATTTTTTTATCCATTTATTTGCCAATTGACATTTAAATTGTTTCCACGTCTTGGCTATTGTGAATAATGCTGCAATAAGCATGGGAGTGCAAATATCTCTTCAAGAACCTGTTTTCAGTTCTTTTGAAATTGAGGTAGTGAGATTGCTGGATCATATGGTACTTCTACTTTTGATTTTTTGAGAAGGCGCCACACTGTTTATCCAAAGCAGCTGTGCTATTTTACATTCCCATGGACAGTATACAAGGATTTTAATTTCTCTACATCCTT
Organism: Homo sapiens; assembly: GCF_000001405.40. NCBI lineage: Eukaryota > Metazoa > Chordata > Mammalia > Primates > Hominidae > Homo > Homo sapiens. The sequence goes on from NC_000008.11 coordinate 36,961,032, forward strand.
ACCAGCATTTGCTATCTCTGTTTTTTGAATTTTTGTTTTTATAATAGCCATCTTAACAGAGGTGAGATGACATATCATTTTGTTTTGATTTGCATTTCCCTGGTGATTAGTGAGGTTGAGCATCTTTTCATGTAACTGTTGGCCATTTGCATGGCTTTTCTGAGGAAGAGTTTATTCAAATTATTTGCCCATTTTTAATTGGGTTATTTGTTTTTTTGTTATCAAATTGAAGGAGTTCCTTATATACTTTGGATATTAACTCCTAATCAAATTTACGGTTTGCAAATATTTTCTGCCATTCAGTAGATTTTCTTTTCACTCTGTTTTTTGTTTCCTTTACCGTGCAGAAGTTTTAAGTTTGATTTAGCCCCATTTGTTTATTTTTGCTTCTGTTTCCTGTGCTTTTGGTGTCATATTCAAAAAATCATTGCCAAATCTAATGCCATGAAGATTTTTCCCTATTTTTTTTCTAAGAATTGTATAGTTTTAGGTTCTATGTTTAAGTCTTTAATTCATTTTGGGTTAATTTGTGTGTGATATAAAGTAAGGTCAAAATTTATTCTTTTGCATGTGGATATACAGTTTTGCTAACATCATTTATTAAAGAGACTATCCTTCCCCCAGCCCCCACCCCGCCACTATGTATTCTTGATATCCTTGTGAAAGATCAGTTGCCCATATATGCATGCATTTATTTTCAGGATTTTATACTATTCCATTGCTCTACATGTCTGTTTTTGTCCAAGCAACATACTGTTTTAATACTGTAGCTTTGTAATATGTTTTGAAATCAGGAAGTATGATGTCTCCAGCTGCATTATTTTTTTCAGGAACCTTTTTTCTACCTGGGTTTCTTTGTCATTTCCTGTAAATTTTAGGATTTTTTTTCTGGTTTTGTAAAAAATGCCACTGGGCTTTTGACAGTGATTGCATTGAATCTATAGATCATTTTGGATAGTAGGTCCACTTTAATATTAATTTTTCAAATCCATGAATCCAAGAACATGGGATATCTTTCCATTTATTTGTATCTTCTTAAATTTATTTCATCAACATTTTAAAATTTTTAGTGTATTAGACTTTCACCTCCTTAAGTTCATTGCTAAGTATTTTAGTCTTTGTGATAATATTAATATTATAAATGAGATTATTTTCTTAATTTCCTTTTCAGAAAATTTATTATTGGTTTATAGAAATACAAATGATTTTTTTTTTCTTTTTGAGATGGAGTCTCGCTCTGTCACCAGGCTGGAGTGCAATGGCGCAATCTCGGCTCACTGCAACCTCTGCCTCCTGGTTTCAAGCGATTCTCATGCCTCAGCCTCCTGAATAGCTGGGATTGCAGTCACGTGCCAGAAGACCCAGCTAATTTTTGTATTTTTAGTAGAGACAGGGTTTTACCATGTTGTCCAGGATGGACTCGATCTCCTGACCTCGTGATCCGCCCACCTCGGCTTCCCAAAGTGCTGGGATTACAGGTGTGAGCCACCACACCTGGCCTTACAACTGATTTTTTAATGTTGAGTTTGTATCCTGCAACTTTACTGATTTCATTTATTAGTTTAACAAATTTTTTTGTCTCTGTGGAGTGTTTAGGGTTTTCTACATGTAAAAGCCTGTCATCTGCAAAGAGAGAGAATTTCTTCTTTTCTAATTTGGATGATTTTCATTTATTTATTTTTATTATTATATTTTTGCTTATTGTTCTGACTTGGACTTTCAGTACTATGTTGAGTAAAAGTGGTAAGAGTGGACATCCTTGCTTTGTTCTGAATCTTAGAGAAAAAGCTTTCAGTTTTTTTACCATTGAGTATAATGTCAATTTTAAACCTTTCATATGTACCCTTTCTAGGTTGAGGTAATTTCCTTCTATCTCTAGTTTGTCGAGAGGATGTTTTTTAAATCATAAAAGGGTGTTGAATTTTACCAAATACTTGTTCTGTATATATGAGATGATCATGTGATTTTTATCTTTTGTTCCATTAATGTGGTGTATCACATTAATTGATGGGTGTATGTTGCACCTAAGGATAAATCCACTTTGTCATATTATATGACCATTGAGTGCTGTTGAATTCAGTTTACTAGTATTTTATTCAGTATTTTTTGTGTCTATGTTCATCAGGAATATTGGCTTATGGTTTTCTTGTAGCATTTTTATCTGGTTTTGGTATCAGGTGAATGATGGCCTCAAAAAATCGGCTTAGAAGTGTCTATTCTCTTCAATTCTTTGAAAGTAATTAAAAAGTACTGGTGTTAATTCTTCCTTAAATGTTTGGTAGAATTCACCAGTGAAGCTATGTGGTCCTGCACTTTTTTGGTTTTTTTGAAGATTTTGATTATGGATTTATTCCCCCAAGTAGTTATAGGTCTATTCAGAATTTCTACTTTTTCATAATTCAGTTTTTGTAAGTTGTACATTTCTAAAAATGCATTCATTTCTTTTACTTTATCTGTACCACCTCATCTTGCATCTCAAAACATTTTCCTGTAATAATGTTTCTTCTTTCAGAATTGCTTAAGAAATTTTTGTAGCAATTTTCTGGTGATAAATTCTCTCAGTTTTTAGATCTGTGTAAATATATCTCTCATCGTTATTATTGAAGTGAATCTTTATGATTATAAAATTCCTTGTTGATAGTTATTTTAAACAGCAAAGACCAATCACCTTAATAGTTTAACAATTCTTCTGAGTGGTCAATTGATTTTACACATGGATTTTACCTGCACTTGGTGCTTGAACCTCCAAGCAAGGACATCAGTTGACTCAGAGTCGGGTGATGAGAGTCCAATCAGCACAATGCTATCTAGAGTCACGATTAAAATCTGCTTTCACCTGATGATTATTCTATTGAAAAATGGAAATAGAATGAACAGATATTTGATTGCTATTAATACTTCTTGTGAGGTCACCCTCATTCTCGTAAAATACAAGCAGGCAACTACTTATCTCAGCTGAATAAATCTCTGAAATTGTGTTGTTTTGGACCCTGAAATAGCCTTAAAATAAGTTTTACTTTGGCAATAAATCTACAAAACGCATACTCAATAAGCCCTGGGCTTTTTCCAAAGAAACATCCATGATCATTGTCTCCTGAAAACTCTTGCTTTGCCCACTTTCATGATATCTCACTTTTCTGATTTTCTTCCTTTCTCACTGGTCACTCCTTCCCAGACATATTGGGTAGATCCCATTATCTAACCTCTGGAGTTGGAATGTTCCATGGATCAGACCAAGGCTGACTCCTCTTCTCCATGTTTACTGTCTTACTTGGTGATATCATCCAAGTCCATAATTTTAAGTATCTTCTAAATGCAAATGACTCTAAAATTTATATTTCAGCTCTTACATTTCCCACTGAGTTCCATGTGTCTATTAATGTCAACATCAGCATCTTAATGTTGGGTGCATCTGAAATTCAATATGGTCAAGGAAAAACAATGAATTCCACCATTCCCTGGGCCCCAGGCTTCATCTTCTCTGTTACTCTGTGTCTTAGTTAACTCCACCCTCATGTACCAAATTTCTCAGGCCAAAGGAGAAAGGTCTTATCCTCTCCTTTCCTTATATCCATATCCAATCTATTAGCAAATCTGTCACTTCTATTTCTCAAACATATTCTGGTTCTGTAAACTCATTGTCTCTCTATTAAATTGCTATCTCTTAGTTTACTCAAGTTCTTCACTTCACAACTGGGCAATTTTCCTGGCCTCCTAACAGTTCTTGTTTTAAGTTTTAATTGAGTTTGTTTTAGGTAGGATTCTGTAAAAGACTCATTTGTCCCATTTGCTACTGTATTATTGACATTTAGAAGAGTGCTTTGTACATATTAGATGCTAAATAGATATTAGTTGAATGAATGAATAATAAATGTGGGGTTTCATACCAAAAGAGCGCTTTTCATAGTTTTACAAATTCTCAATTAATTCACCCATAAATTTATAAATTCTTTGTCAGAACATGTGTCCTGAAGTTTTATACCACTGAAAACATGAGCAGAAACTGTTCAGGATAATAGCAGCTCATTATTTTGTTGCTATCAAAGATACTCCATCTGGGAATCTTCACTCATGGGGTTCTGATCCACGACTCAAAGGAAATCTTACTAGCCTTCTGCCAAAAAATTAGTATTCCAAGAAGTCTAAAAAGAATTATCCTTTTGAAGATATTCTTCAGAACGTATGCCCTTTATTAATCCATGTGTTTAGAGCATATTATTAAAATTCCACAGTTAATAGAATCTCCTACTTTCTTAAGTCATTCCAACAATTCCCAAATATTCTCCTCACTGTATGGCCATTTTATTATTGTCTGTTAATAATCCCAAACCCAAATAACCTCATCTAACCCCACTTGGAAAACATCACCTTCCTATTGAGGTGATAAAAATCTGAGTACCAGAAATGGGTAAAATGGAAGATGAAGAAAAGAAGCTAGTTGTAATATCAGAGAGGCCCAGGCTCCAGGTTTGCCTCTGTTGCTTTATGGGGCATGAATTTGAGGAAGTAACCTACTCTCTGCAAATCTCATTTTTCCTACCTGAGAAAGGCTGCCAATATGCCTCTCTTGCAAGGTGCTTGTAAAGTGTGGGCATAATCTACCTGGCCTGGCACATATGGGAAAAGTGCAGGCCACATGCCTGGAGCTAGTTTTTTGTTTTTATTTTCACAGAGTTTCACTCTTGTTGCCCAGGCCGGAGTGCGATAGCACAGCCTTAGCTCACTGCAACCTCCACCTCCTGGATTCAAACGATTCTCCTGCCTCACCCTCCAGAGTAGCTGGGATTACAGGTATGTGCCACCATGCCTGGCTAGTTTTTTTGTATTTTTAGTAGAGATGGGGTTTCACCATGTTGGCTAGGCTGGTCTTGAACTCCTGACCTCAGGTGATCTGCCTGCCTTGGCCTCCCAAAGTTCTGGGATTACAGGCAAGAACCACTGTGCCCGGCCACTGGTAAGCTCTTGAAAACTCTTCTGGGTCATCCCTCCAAGGGCTCTCTTTTGGCCACTGTCAATCAGCTGTTACTGACTACTGTAACTAACACCAGTGGCAGGGCCTGCCTCTTCCCAAGATCCACACAACTTGGGGAAAGTAAGAAATGAGGAGTCCTGAGACAGTTGTCATAAGTCTCATTCATTAAATTAAATGTAGCTACTCAATCTGACTTACACAGTCATGTGGGAGATGATCAATAAACATTGCAGAATGAATTAACAAATGAAAATGGAGATTGTTCTTCATCAGTTACTTCCTAGATAAGTAGAGCCGCATGTTTCATTGTTTTGTTGTACTTGACAGTTCAGAAAACTTTTGCCTTAGCAGATGGTACAAAAATGAGTGCTGCCATGTTGAGGGACTCAGAAGCAAGGAGGGTGGGAGGGTGGGGGGAATTGTAAGTCAAGGGAGAGCAGAGATTTGATTCTGAAGAGCAAATGCTTACTGGGTCAAGGCCGTTTTTGCATAATTCTATTATCACCAAGAAGAAGAGAAATAATCATATTAGGTGTGTGCTATACTGCTCAATGTGGCTTGTCTTACCTTACTTTTTGAAGTCATACAGGTTTAAGTGCTTTGTGTAAGTGAGTTGTTCAGAGGCACCTGATCAATAAGGCATGTGCTGTCAGGGTAAAGCAGGGAAGTTTTTGATGTTGACAATGACATACATTCTTGTGCAGAAAGGAGTAATCCATTTGGTCACAGTAATAAAAAAGTTGTATGTATTGCTTTGGAGAACAGAGGCAGTGTCATCAGGGAAGGCTACTTCCAGGCAAGCTGGCCAGAGGACATCAGCATGCTGGTGGGTCAGCCCAGGACCAAGAGGAGCCCTTTATTGCACCTCCCTGTCCTCTGTATGGAAAAATGGGCATTTGCACAAGCAACTGCCTAGTGTTACTGAGATCACTGGCTCCCCTTCATCTTCTGATTACAGAGCCCAGGCATCTCATTAATTAGCATCGAGTTTCTGCCCAGCATGGCCTCTTCCTGAAGCCCAGTGCAGTTCACAGCAAGACCTGTGTCCATCCAGGCTCTGCCGGTTCCAGGTGGGGCTTGTGCAAAGCCTCCCCTACAGTGGACCAGAGGTGGCCAGGGAAACATTGGAGCTTCCGTCTTTCCAGCCCACAGCTCTTGTTCTCTTTCTTCAGATGAGGTATCTCATCTGTCAGTGGCCACCTGAAAACGGATCAGAGACAGTCTAAAGAAGAGAACATCAAATAAGGAAGGTGTCAAACATTTTAAAGGTGTAAACACTCTCCATTGTTGAACAGTATTGGCTTCGTAACAAAATGTCCTCCTTTCTAATTCCTCTATTCTACCTCAGCCTCTATGAATGATGCCAGGCTTGGCACAAGATGCTAAAACTCTTGTTATAAAGAGGAAAAAAGCTATCTCACCTCAAGTAGCTCCCAGCTCATAGTGGAGAAGCAGTCTGCAAAAACAAGCACAATGCAAAGAGGAGGTAGCAATGCATAGTGCTTAAAAGTATGGGCTGTAGAAACAGGGACTTCTTTCCTCCAAATTCCACCTTTCCATCTATTCACTGGGTGTCTTTACCTACTTAGCCCTTCGGTACCTCCAGTTTTGTTACTTCATACATCTGTAATGAGGACAAAATAGGATCATACATGTGATCCTTAGCATGATTTGGGCATTTAGTCAGTTCTTAATAAATGTTAATACTTTAAATAATAATTACCATGGCGAAATCTCTGTACTGTGTTCTTCAGATGCACAAAGAAGGGAGAAGCCAATTCTAAATAAGATGGTAAAGAAAGCCTTCATGTAAGTGAATTCTGAAGGATGCTAATGGTTATGATTTTTATTGTTACAATTGTATTTTAAAGCAGTTACTGTGTCCTGGTCTCTGTGTTAAGTACTTACAGGTGGTGTCTTCTGCGTTCACAAAACAACCACAAAAATTAACTAAATTGCCCTTACTCCCATTTTATGGATGAACATAAGTGAGTATAGTCTGATTAAAAACAAATAATCTGTGAATGCACAGAGAAAATAATGAAATATTATTCAGCCTTAAAAAGAAGGAAATCCTACCATTTGCAACCACAAAAATGAACCTGGAGGTGATTATGCTAAGTGAAATAAGCGAGGCAAAGTATATGATCTCACTTAAATGTGAAATCTAAAAAAGTCATGGAAGCAAAGAGTAGGAGGGTGGTTATTAGGTGGTAGGAGATGGGGGAAGTCAGGGCATGTTGGTCAAATGGTCTAAACTTTAAGTTGTAAGATGAACAAGTTCAAGGAATCTAACGTACAGCATGGTGGTGATGGACATGTTAATTAATTCGAGTGTAATAATTACTACACAATGGATACATATATAGAAGAATCACATTGTATGCCTCGTTTATAAGCAATCTTTATTTGTCAATTAAATATTTTAAAAAACTAGTAATAAAGTTCAGAAGATAGAACTAAGAGCTTCCAAATGCGCCCTTACAGAGAGAACACAGACTTGCCATATATGTACAAAGCGAAAGCAAACTTTATTGTCAATTGTCACCTCTCTGGCCCCTGTGGGAAGGAAGGAGAGTCCCCTGGTGCTGATGCGGAATTTGCTTTCACCCCTGCAGGCAGGGCCCAACACATACCGATCCCAGAGGTTCAGAGTTTCAGCCAAGAGGGAACTGGGAGTCCATCTCTCCAGATGAGAAGAAAGAAGAACAGCACAGGCCAGAGTGTAGTCCTGTTATGTGTCTATGCGTGTTCAGAGAAGACCAGCATACTTATTTCAAGGGGCCAACAGAAGTCTCATCATGGCTCTTGATAAGAGCAGCCAGGGCATTTGCAGGCCACTCACATTTAAGCAGATAATCCACAAGTCCTCCCAAACCACAGGGCATTTGCAATGAAGCTACTGAACTATTACAACATTGCATTCTCTTGCTTAAATCGTAAGACTTACAGGCTTCAACTAGTTTAGGTGAGAGTTTGGTGAGCAAAGGGAAAGGTCCTTATTAAAAGCTAAACAGCTTAGAGCATCCAGATAACTCAAGAGATTTTTCTGGGGATCATTCATGTGGGTATTCTTCACACAGGAAGAATATGAAAGGGCACACCCAAAGCAGTCTTAGGAGGGTGAGAACAGGCACAGAGTTGTGGAAAACCATGGTGTGTATTCAGCGCTCATCAAGTTCTTCAGTATGATTAAGGCTTAGAGTGTTGGGGGAGGGTAGAAAAAGTTAAGGCCAAATTATGCCTAGGCCAGTATGGAGGACTTTGTACTTTATGCTAGTGAGCTCTGGCTTTGTTTTGTATGTTTTCAAACTATATTCTAGTTGTTTAATTACTCTTGAATTCCCATTAGCACTTATAGCAGCCAGAGTAAAAATATGTAGCATAGGCAGCTACTGTAGCTTTCCATGCCCATGGCAGACATTACTAATTGATCATAGCACTCTACTCCCTGAGCCTGGAGGCAATTTAAGAAATTCTTCATTGGAGTCCTCTAGACAGCTATTAACAATTGATCAGAGTTTTCATGACTTAACACCTATCTTCCATCCCTGGCTCACGAGGAAGCCAAGTATGTATGCGACAGATAAAGGCAGAGTCTTTCTGGCTGAGGCCCTGGTATGGTCAAGGAGGTGGAGTCAGTGGTGCACTAGAGCTGACTTCACATTTCTTCCAAAATCTCATGATGCTGGTAGCTTGAAATTGGTCATCGTGGGAGTGTCTGTATTATAGAAACTAGCCAAATCTACAAATAAGGATTTTGTGGGAGGTTTTTCTTTTCACTTTTGGGGAGCTGGTTGTTAAACATTTGCCAGCACAATACTAAGCTAGGGGCTGGGGGCAGAAAAAGGATGTCTACGCTTCAAAGCCCAAATTGCCTTCTTTCCCCAGCCTTCCCTGCAAACACTTGAGCGAACCTCTCCTTTAAGGTGACAACCATGTTAGGAAGTGACCAGCCACAAAAACTTTTGAGTGTGCTTTTGTTTAAGACCAGATTTGTACTTTAGAAAGGCAATCCTGGCTTTAATGTATTGGATAGACTGAAAGGGTGTAAAATCACAGATAATATCAGAGGCAAGAAAGCTAGAAGATAATCTAATTGTCCTTGTCCAAATAAAGGGTAATGAGTCTTGAACTAATGCAGGAGCAGAAGGAATAAAGTAGAGAGGACAAATATAATAGATGTTAGTGAAACAGAGATGATAGGACTTATTGGTTGATTGAGTGTCAAAGTGAAAAAAAAAAACATTCAAGTTTCAAGTGATCTTGCTATTCACTATGACAGGGTACACAGGAGTAGCATATTTTGGTGGAAAATTGGTGGCTTAGGTTTAAAGCAAGTTGAGATGCCTGAGCAGTAGGTAGAGGAGGCTGAGGCTCTTAACCAAACTTCATTTTCAAAGTCAGAAGATGGTGGGAAATTGACAGCAGGTGATTAGAGGGAATCACTGGGGGAGAATATGAAGTGAAAAGACGTCCAAAGAAGAAACATGGAAACATGATGTTTAGAGGGCACACAAAGAAATGAGTCAGCAAAGGACAGAAGGATTGGCCAGTGGAGGAGGAGGAGAACTGGAAGACAAGCAAAGGGAGTTAGAGGATTGGATGGCCATGGATACAAAATGCCGGGTCAGGGTCAAGGAAGATGCAGTTCAACGAAGAGTAGGATTGGTGTAGCTGCAAGAAGATCGCGGGGGCCTTTTGCCAGAGCAGTTTCTGTGGAGTGCAGGGAGAGAAGGAGCCAAACTGCAGTTTGTTTGAAGAAGGAAAACTGGGAGGTGGACAGATGGAAAACAAGTCAAGAAGCAAGAATTTGTAGGCTTGGATGGTAAGAAAAGAAAAGGAGGTGTAGGATCAGGGGAGGACTTTAAGATGGACAACATGCTTGATCATAATTTTATGATATGAAGAAGGAGCCAATCCAGATGGACTTGCCCATTTGGGAAGGAGAAAGGGAATCCCAGGTGCAACAGGGTCCTTGGGGTCATAGGAGCATTGTCAGTCAAGGGTACAGGCGGAGGGAATGGCCTTAAACAAGATAAATAACAGCTCTTCCTACAAGACCTGAAGGAGGGCGTGAAAATAAATGCAAATATGAACAGCTTTTCAATGGCTGGAGATTGAGGGTGTTTAAGCTTGATAATCTCAGTTGTCTCTTGAAGTATGAAAAAGTTTAAGTAGAGGGGTAGAAGTTTGAAATAAACACTGTAGGGAATAGAACAGGGCATAACACTCTGCTTTAAACCTACGTTACATTTTAATGGTATAATGCCTATACATGATTTTATTGTACTGTTGTGTTTTGTCTATTTTGTATCTCCCTTAGTAGCTGTACTGTCACAGTCATAATAGCATGGCTCACACGGCATTACTAGTGCTTATTTGATCACCTGCTTTCCGTATAGCAGTAACCCTAGATAGGGAAGGAACAGTGTGTCTAGCCTAGCAAAGCACCTGAAATATAATGAATGATAAACAAGTGTTTGTTGAATGGATGAATGATTAAGAAGTAGATGTCTAAATTAGTCCAGTCTTTCCAGCTAAACTGTTAACTCCAGGGTGGGGATTGTGTCTTAAACTTGGTTGGATTGCTCAGCATGTTTGGTACAAAGGAACTACACAATAATGACACATTAAAATGAATCAAAGGTCGGGTGCAGTGGCTGACACCTGTAATCTCTGCATTTTGGGAGGCCAAGGAGGCAGGAGGATAGTTTGAGCTCAGGAGTTTGAGGCCAGCCTGAGCAACATGGCAAGACCCCACCTCTATAATTTTTTTTCTTTAATTAGCCAGAAGTGGTGGTGCACATCTGTGGTCCCAGCTACTTGGGAGGCTGAAGTGGAAGGATGGCTTGAGCCTGGAAGTTTGAGGCAGCAGTGAGCCGTGATTGCACCATTGCACTCCAGCCTGGGCAATGGAGTGAGACCCTATCTCTAAATAAATAAATAAATAAATAAATAAAATTGAGCTACATAAGGACCAAAGTGTGAATGTGAGAAATCAAGAAGTGCCTTCCAAGGGAGGAGCTTGAGATGAGATGAAATGATGGGGAATGAAATTCAAAACTAGCTAAACCTTTAGAAGAAAATACAATCTTCTTCTTCCCAACAACTTTCTGTCATTATTGTGTAAGTTTTAGGTAAAGGATCCTTTGAAAATTCCAGTGCTTGGCATTTTCCATTTCTAAATGGAATGGTCCAATCATTACCAGAATCTCTCATCCAGCCTATTCTCTGGTTTCTTGGACCTTAATCCCCATGGTCTAGAGACCATGCTTTGTGGTTTTTCTAGTTCTAAAATCACACTCCCAACTGCCAGCCCTCTGTAACAATGAGAGAGAGAAACCCTTCAGGCAGTCAACAAGAAGCAGCTTCTCTCTGCTTTGCTCTGAAATGTCCCATAGCAAATGACAGTGGCAGGGAAATGTCTTAATAGAGCGTGTTGTTTAGCATAATTGATGTTCAGATGCAGCGTTGGTAGATACAAGCCCAGTTAATTGGTCTCTCAACCTACATTAGCTGTTGCATTGCAGCCAATTAGGCAGGGGCCAGAGGGCCCTCTGCTCAGTCATTAGAGCCCTGCACACTGAGGCGGGGAAGGGCAGCAGTTAGGGAGCAGAGCTGGCGTGAAGGGCTTTGATGAGATGTGTGTGCAGCTGCACCACGGCCGGAGCCATCTGTCCATTTAGGAGTGCAAGACCCTCAACGACCAATCTTAAAGGTGACAAAAGGAAGGTGACATTCAGGAGAGGGAAATCTGGGTGCTCCCCAAGGGGTGAAGTGCTAGAGGAAAGTTTGAAGATCATAGATTTGAAGAACATTGTCCTACAGCAATATTTCTGATGAACAAAGAGCCCGTGTCTATTCTCTGAGCCTTGATGTTATGCGGAATGCCCTGGATATAAAAGGGAAGAACCAGGCCGGGGGTGGTGGCTCACGCCTGTAATCCCAGCACTTTGGGAAGCTGAGGCGGGTGGATCACCTGAGGTCAGGAGTTCAAGACCAGCCTGGCCAACATGGCGAAACCCCGTCTCTAATAAAAATACAAAAAAAAAAAAAAATAGCCAGGCGTGGTGGTAGGCACCTGTAATCCCAGCTACTTGGGAGGCTGAGGCAGGAGAATTGCTTGAACTTGGGAGGCAGAGGTTGCAGTGAGTTGAGATCGTGCCATTGCACTCCAGTCTGGGTGACAGAGTGAGATCTGTGGACCAGTGGCACCACCATCATCTAGCAATGTCCTAGGTAGGCAGGCCTCAGGCTCACTCCTGACCTGATGAATAGGAGTCTACAGTTTAACAAGCTCTCCAGGTGTTTCATATGCTCATTAAAGTCTGAGAAGCAGTGCTCTAGGCCAAGGATCAGCAAACAACTTTCATTGGCACACAACCATATCCATTCTTTACCCATTCCTCATGGCCGTTTCCACACTTCCATAGCGGAGCAGATAATTTGCAACAAAGACCTAACAGCCCACAAGCCTAAAATAGTTACTCTCTGGCCCTGCTTTACAGAGAGAGTTTGCCAGCCCCTACTCTAGGCTGCACTGACCAGGATGGCAGAAATCTCTGTAAGGAACCCATGTGACAGACATTTCTGTTCATCCTCAGAAGACAGGCGAACCCCAGATATTTAATTTATTGTTTAAATATAGTCATAGGGGCTGGGCGTGGTGGCTCATGCTTCTAATCCTAGCACTTTGTGGGGCCGAGGTGGGTGGATCATTTAAAGTCAGGAGTTTAAGACCAGCCTGGTCAACACAGTGAAATCCCGTCTCTACTAAAAATACAAAAATTAGCCAGAAATCACTTAAACCTGGGAGACGGAGGTTGCAGTGAGCCGAGATTGTGCCACTGCACTCCAGCCTGGGCAACAGAGAGAGACTCTGTCTCAAAAAATAAATAATTCATAGCTGTGTTGTGTCAGACCCCTATTAACCTCAATAGGGAAGGCACCAGGTTTGAGAGGCTCAAGAAGAGACTCAGAGACATGGGATTTTATTTGGGGTTTATATACAGGAGAAAGAGTCCAGTGGTAGCAGACTGGACGAGAGATCCACCTCCTACAGTCCGGGGACAGCAGGCTGGCCAGGAAAACCATGGCCACCTGCAAACATCATGCAGTTTCTATGGCATTTTTACTTCACATCCTCCACCCAAAGGCCTCTAGCTGGCCATCTTTATTTAACCCAAAACTGGGGACCTCAATCCCCTGCATGGCCTGTGTTCCACAGGACAGGCTCGGGGCTCGGATGTTTATCATAAATAAGGAACAAATCTCTGGATTGGCCACACCCACATTCCCTAGCTCAGAACACACATTCAGGTGCATCTGCCCTACAAGGTCATTCTAAGAGTCTGCTTAAATCATTGCTAGCAAGTGCATTTACCCTATGGGATCCTATGGACAGGTAAAGGAATATATGTTAGGTAATGAATAACCTCAATTTCTAGGGGTTTAGAAGTTCATAAAGACTTCAGCAAAAGTTGGCAAAAACTTTGAAACTTCCTGCTACCATGAATGAGTCAAATGGTTTTCAGAATTCTTTCCTCCACATAAAGAGTAAAGGAAAAATGATAAACTGAAACTAGTAATAAAACAATCACCAATTTTCTATATTGTATCCTTGAATGCATGTTTATTGTGATGAGCAGTATTTGCGTTTTTCCCAAATTTATCAAGAGGTGGCTTTGACTTTATTGCTAGAGTTTGGGGATAATTTTACTCCCAACGAAGTAGAGACCACTTTCTTCTCTCTTGTTTTTCAGCATGTGAAATGTTACAGAGACATGGACTCTTTGAATGTTTGAAGTAGGTGTGGTGGCACACACCTGTAGTCCTAGCTACTCTGGAGGCTGAGGCATGAGGATCCCTTGAACTCAAACTCTAGGCTGTAGTGTGCAAGGATTGTTCCTGTGAATAGTCACTGCACTCCAGTCTGGGCAACATGCAAGACCCCATCTTTAAAAAAAAATTGGCTTGGCTATTCTGCTTTATATGTAGCAAAAGAATTGTTGGAAATATGCCTTCCTTAGTGTATCTGCCCATAAAGAGAGCTAGACTCCACAATAACCAATGGTTAGGAAGAGGCCTACTAAACCAACATTTCTAAAATGGCTGAAATATTTTCATAGGAGATTCTGGCTTCGAGCTTCTAGAAGACATGCACTTATAAGAATATTAAAGAGACACCTCACTGTTTTTAAAACCCTTGGAGTTTTTCCAAGCTCTAGCTACCCAAGTCTGTCTCTGTCCCTCAGTCTGACACGCATGCCCGCATACATACACACACACACACACACACACACACCCCGCCAACAAAAGCCAGGCTGCAGCCTCAGACTCCAGACGCATGCATCAATCATAATTGCAGCACCGCCGGCAGTCATGTAACTGCTTAAAGACCTCAACAGCCTTCTGGCACTTAAAGGAAAAAAAATCATCTAATTAATCACAGGTGAAACAGATTGGACTGTCTCCAAAAGCCCCTGAATTTACTGCCAAGCTTTGATGCTAATTTTCTTTCTAAGTAACCCCCTAAAGAAATTTACAATTAGGTAATTAAAGTAATGAATAAAGAGATACTTAGGTGGAGGGAAATGAGAAGAGGGAAAAAGTCTATATTTCCATCCTGCAATAAACACCTCTGGGTATGCATCATTTGTGAACCCCAACTTAAAGGTCCCCAAGTGGCTTTCTCCTGAAGAATATTTTAAAAATCAATATTTGAAAGACCAAAATGAGGCACATAAATGAAGTTAGGAACAGGTCATTCGCTAGGGCCTGTTAGACAGGGAGGGAAAGCAGTCTTCTGCTGGCTACTTAACTCTTGACTTAAAAAAAATAATGTCATGGCTTATATCCTTTGGGAAGGTTGGTAGTGGTTTCTCCCTGTGAGCTGATTGGATAACATCACTGGGTTTGATTTAGAGATTTCATCTTCCACCTATTCCCCATGTCCCTGCTGGGATGGACTCCAGATTTCTGGTTTTAATTGGTTTAAAAGCAATTGCTCCAGTCTTTTGTCCTTAAAATTGGAAATGTTCAGGGGAGGGCTTTGGGTTTTATTATTCCAGCCCTGATCCTTCCCTCGATCTCTGACACTTAATATTGGAACACTCCAGGAATGGGGAACTTTAGTTAATTGGTTACTTTAGATTACAGAATTAAACAGAAATGCTCATGTTTAAATAATTCATCAAACAAGTTTCTGCTAAACTCCTAAACACCTAGAGCTTCAACTCCTCCTGAAAAATCTTGGTAGCAACTATTTTTCTGACTTAATAAATACAGTGTAATAAGCATAATGCTTTTTTAAATAATTCAGAATCTTGAATTTTTTATTGAAAACCTCTTTGCTCTGATTTATGTGTACCCTTCGGGATCGTTTACAAGCTTCTGCAAGGAGAGATCAAAGCGGGTCCCCATGTTGTCTCTTTCCCACATCTAGCAGAGCATGAGTGCTCATTATTTATTACTGCTCGATGGTCTCGATGGTATTCCAGTTTATGCAAAGAGGGTGTAAGAGTTTTTACTAAATAAACACTGACTTAAAGTGTCATAGCCTGAAAATTTAGGTTTTTTTTTTTTCACTAAGTTACCATATGAACTTACATATTTAGTTTTGTACCCCTCCTGAAAAGAGAAGGGTGAAAATTGTAGATTTAGAATTTTGACTCGGAAGTGAGGTTGGCGATTTTATAGTCTGAAACTTCATTTCTGAGCTAAGGACATGGAGGCTTAGAGAGGTAAGATGATTTGGCAAAGACACACAGCCACCTAAGGGGTTGTGAAGATCATACACTCTGAAGCCATATGAATCTGCATATTGTAAAGCACTTCTGCTACTTACCAGCTGTGGACCTCGAGAAACTACATGCTTTATTCTGAGTTTCTTTTTCTGATCTGTACAATGAAAACAATAAGTATTCTGAAGATGAAATGAGCTAATATAAGAAAGATGCTTAGCATCATGCCTGGGACGTGATAAACAGTAAAAACCATTTAGCTCTTATTAGTTTTATTTATTCATTATTTATTTATTTGAAAGGATCTTGTATTAAATTATAATTTTATATTTATTTAAGAAATTTATTTTCATCATTCACAATCCCTTACATCATTTACAGTGATGTAATTGAATTGTTTTCATCATTCACAATCCATGGAAAGTAAGGTCTTAGTCAAAAGTGGTGCTTTGGCTGCTCACAGCCAGATGGGCATAGAAATTCAGGTTTGTGGGAGCTGGACCGGAGCTCAAGTGCTCTGCGTAAGAAAAAACTACACATTTTCAGCCGGGCATGGTGGCTCATGCCTGTAATCCCAGCACTTTGGGAGGCCGAGGCAAGTGGATTACTTGAGGCCAGGAGTTCACACCCAGTCTGGCCAATATGTTGAAACCCCGTCTCTACTAAAAATACAAAAATTAGCCGGGCGTGGTGGTGCACGCCTGTAGTCCCAGCTACTCAGCAGGCTGAGGTAGGAGAATTGCTTAAACCCACGAGGCGAAGGTTGCAGTGAGCTGAGATGGCGCCACTGCACTCCAGCCTGGGTGACAGAGTGAGTAAGACTGCCTCAAAAAGAAAAAAAAAGCCAAAAAAAAAGGAAACATGTTAGAGGTCTCTAATTCAGTGCTTTTTCTTCTTCCCAACCAATGTAGAACAATATGAGATTTGAAACTTATTCCTAATGGAGAATTGAAAGATCCTGTCCCCAAATTTCAGAACAGGGATGAGCCCCCATAGAGAGGTGGAAGGTAGGGGCAGGGGTCATTTGAGGATGTGGTTGCCTCCCAACTCCTCCCGAATCAGCCAAATTAGAAGGCCACCATCCACGCTGCCTAATATCTCTGCTCTGCTTCCCAGTCCTAAGAGCCTCAGGCTCTCCTCTGAGCCTTTATCTGAAAGGCTAGAGAAGTTGGAGAATCCTGCCAAGTAGGAATTAAAAATGACAAAACAGCTGATTAGATCTGAGGTGACAAGAATGAGAAATAAAAGCCATTAGAGCCCATTTGCAACGTGCCCTCAGCGAGTCAAGTTTCAAGGTGTTCCTCTGAAGATTATTAATGGCGTGACAGTGTTTTCCAATGTTTTCCATGCAGAAATCTGATACGTGAAATAACACTGGTGTACACACGCTGCATTCTGGATGGTAAGAGGGGCCTGCCCTCATTTATTTAGTTTCACGGATTTGAAGAGACACCCTAATTCAACTGTCAGAGTGAGGGTCAGTGTGAGCACCCAGCACTTGAAGGAACAGGTTTCCATGGTAAATAGTTTTCCTGTAAAGCAGGGGTCCGTCACCATGGCCCAGAGGCTAACCTGGCCAATTGCCTAATTTTTGTACAGACAACTTGCAAAGAGTGTTTTTGTATTTTAAAATGGTTGGTACAAAAATCAAAACAAAACTATGTGATGACCCTTGGAAATGTTGTGAAATGTATGCCAGTATTTATAAATAAAGTTTTATTGGAATATAGTGTCCCTCATGTGTTTATATATTGTCTACAGCTGCTTTTGCACCACAACAGCAGTGTCGAGTGGCTGCGACAGAGATGGTGGGCCTGGAAAGCTTTAATTATTTGCTATCTGGATCTTTACAGAAAAAGTTTGCCAACCCACCTTGTGTAGGATAGGTTGGCCATATTATTAACATTGCTTTTGCAAAAAGAAAAGTCGGCACAGCTTAGAAAAATACCAGAAGGGTTTCCTATAGCAGGCTATAGCCTCAGCTTACAATCACAGCACAGAAATCAATGTATCCACCACTGTCCAAGGACAAGCCACCTAATCCCAAAAGCAGCAAGTTCTAGATTTTGTAAGAAGTCACTGGACTTTAGGTTCTCCAGGCCCCTGGTGGTCATTCAGTTCTAAGAGAAGCCAACAGCTCCAAATGGCACTGTAAACATCTTATTCTTTCAGAAGTCGTCTCAGGCTAGTAATCAGGAATCCTGTGTAGTTGGTTACCTTAAAAGTTACTTGCATCGGTAAGGGATAGGTGAGAGCTCAGAGAAGATGTCAATCCTAATTATTTTCATCTCTACCCCTGCCTCAACGTGCATCCCAATTTCATTTCTATGCCTAGACTTTTTTGCAAGATTTAATAAAAATGGAATTTTACTCCTTTCTACATTATTCCCCGCCTCCCCACAAAAAATAGCTGTGGCCCTCAACTAGTACTACCAATTGTGTCCAAGATGCTTGTTATCCTAGAGTGACTTATTGATTACAAAGTCACTTTCTGATGTTTATTATTATTATTTATAAATAGGAGCAATATGGTAATCTTGAGTTGAAGAAAATTGTTGCTGCTGTTTGGACGACACCAGGGATGAGGATTGACAGGGAAGAACCACACTCACCCTAGATGCCTCAGATGCCAGTCTCCATGAAGCCACTCATGAAAACTCTCCCTCCTCGACATGCTCAGAGGGGCTTTAGGGGCCAGTGACCAGTGGCTTCTTATCCAGCAGGACAGATGCAGCCACATGTTCACAAACAATACAGAGTAGAAGGTAGTCCACGTCCAAGAGGAAGGACTCACAACAAATGGAGAGGCCTTACAGGGAAAGGGCACAGCACATGGCAACTTAACAAAAGAAGGAGAGTTGGAATTGAGTGGAGGAGATGGGTGGATTGTACCAGTCGGGGGGAAATTAATAAAGATTTTGAGACGAGAAAACTCTTAAACTCTGAGCCATTTAACATCTTCATTACAGTGATGACTTCGTCCAGTAGGGCTGCTGTAACAAAATACTTTAGACTGGGTAATTTATAAACAACAGAAGTGTATTTCTGACAGTCCAAGAGTCTGGGAAGTCCAACATCAAGTTTCTGGCAGATTCAGTGTCTGGTGAAGACCCATTTGTCACAGTCAATGCTTTCCCACAACATCCTCATTGGGTAGAAGAAGCAAATTTGCCCCCTCAAGCTCTTGTAGAAGGCACCAATCCCATCTATCAAGCTGGACCCCTCAGAGCTAATCAACTCCTAAAGGCCCCACCTTTTAATACTATCACATTTGTGCTTAGGTTCAACATAGAAATTTGGAGGGACACATTTCATTCATTGCTATTCAAATCATAGCAAGTCAGCTGGTCACAAGGCCAGTCTCTTGACTTTTTAATTGAATGTTCTTTCAGAAAAGAGTAGACAAAGAACCTTTAACCAGTGTCTCAATTGCCAGAGGTAGGAAGTTTTGTAGTACATCGTTTTTTAAACATAAAATGCTACTTGGGTAGTCCTATCTTTGGTGAGGTGTAGGGAGAAAAAGTGATTCAAAATCCCAGCAGATTTTGAATTCTGCTTTTTTACAACATGAGATAAAGTTTGAGCACTCTCACCCCTTGACTAATGGGACCACAACAGCTTCAGTCTGGGGAGCTCCCCTGCAGGATAAATAATCTATATATTGAACTGTGGAATGCAGGTCAAGGGCTACCAAAAAGAATTCGGAACCAAGTGCAGGAGCAAATCATAGAAATGACGTTTCTTCTCCTTCAGTCTTTAATCGTTCTTTTCCATAGGTCTTTGTGGTATTTTTTTCCTCTTTCATTCTTATCCATGAATAGTAAGGGTTTTTTCAATCAAATCTGGAAGAAAAACCTTATTTTGGATTGTGATCTCACAAAGGTATAGATGAGAAGGGAAGTATGGGGTTAATTTAAATGATTTCAAAGGGTCTTTTTTGTTTTCTCTAAATGTTTCTCTTTTAAGAATGCATCCCTGAGTTATAAGCAGGTAGTCTTATCAAACTGGATAGGAATTGTGAGACACTCAAGTTAATGCTCTTGCAAAAAAGTAGGTCATAGGGAAACCTGATAGAAATTGTGTCTGAAAGTGGGAACTGTGACATAATACCCAATTCACAAATAATATCACAATCACTTCAGAGCATCATAAGAAAACAGATGTCCTATGAACAAGAGGCTCCATTTCAGCACTGCTCCCTGTGGCCTCCCTCTGGGGGTTGCCAATAATAGTTAAATTATCGAAGGTTGAAATTTTATGTGAACCAAGTCCCTTCCCAGGTGTCTGTACAGCTTTGCCTATGCCATCAAGTTCCTGTCCTTTGAGAAATGCAGAGGACTGTTATTGTCAGTGGGTTATGCCCAGTGCTTCAGGGTAAATTTCTTAATAATTGAGACCCCTGCCAGGCCTCCCACCTGGTCATCCAGCTAATGGAAGGGCAGCCTCGCCAGAGACTTGGCAGTGAACACCTTGTTCTGCTCACTGCCTTCCAAATAGCTGGTATAAATCTTCCAAGAGGCATGAGACCACCTGCAGCCCAGAAAATACCAACAGGGAAATGAAGGTGAAAACAATTGCTCTATTTAGGCAGAAATGTATATTTCTATATATAGAAGCCAAGATATTCCTCTCCCATCATGCAGCCATGAATGCGTATGTGTTGTGTAGGGGAACTATTCTTTAGGGGGAAAACCCAGTAATTGGCAGTATGCTATTATTATAATTAAAAGCCTCGTTAACTGGAACAAAGTTTATTCCTGCAGAAACTCAGAAGAGGGCAAGGTGGCTGCAAGTTCCACCTAGAAGTGTCAGCAGGCCTGAACTCGCCTTCCTCCTGTCCTCTCCTCTGACAGTCACAGGAAGCCTGAAACCCTTTTGACACTCACCTCGGAGATGACAGATCCTCCCTGAAGACTCGACAGCCGCAAACAAATGCATTGTTCTCCTTGTCAACCCACTATTGAAAGGTGATCCACAGCGAGCTGCAATTGGCCTCATTTGTTAGTGTTAGCAAGTGCTAGGCTGAAAGCTCATTACCCTGAGAAAAGCAAAAGCCAAGAATAAGTTCCTGAAATCAGGCTACAGAATCAGAGACCTGTCAGCGAGGCCTGAGCGAAGGAAGGAACCACCTCCACTGGGTGAAGGAGCCCGTCTTGTCCCTGCCTCTGTTGGCCCCATCCCCACCTCAAACATCTCCAGAAAATGGAATCACAGGGTATTGTGTATCGGGAATATGAATTTCAGTTTTCTTGTCCAGTTTTCTTTTCATCATTACACGTGGCCTCCCTATGGAGTGAGAGAGCCCACGGACTAGGACTCTTAGGAGCACTTTGAACTTGTGCCCCTCTGTGGCAGAAGTGATTGCTCCATCATCTGTGTCCCCATAAATCTCAAGCCCTTACCCATTTCAGCATTGCACATAGAACCGCATTGTGCAATGTGTATGGCTGCTGAGAACTTTATGAGTCAGGCTATCTTTCTGAAACTGTGAACTCCTTAAAGAAATGGTTTTTGTGCCAGGCGCAGTGGCTCATGTCTGTAATCCCAGCACTTTGGGAGGCTGAAGCAGGTGGATCACTTGAGGTCAGGAGTTCAAGACCAGCCTGGCCAACATGATGAAACCCCCATCTCTACTAAAAATACAAAACTTAGCTGGGCATGGTGGTGCACGCCTGTAATCCCAAGTACTCGGGAGGCTAAGGCACGAGAATTGCTTGAACCCAGGAGGTAGAGACTGCAGTGACCTGAGATTGTGCCAGTGCACTCCAGCCTGGGCAACAGAGCAAGACTCTGTCTCAATAAAATAAAATAAAATAAAATAAAATAAAATAAAATAAAATAAAAAAGTCAGGGGTTTTGAAGACAGAGATGGGAGCATGGGATTTGGCCTGGGTTCAAAAGCTGGCTCTACTATATCCTCAAGGTCAACTGTCAAATCTTTCCAAGGTTCAATTTTCTACCCACACAATAAGGAAAGGAGTAGAGGGTGTTATGGGCTGAATTGTGTCCTGCACCTAAAATTCATATGTTGAAGTCCTCACCTGCAGTGTCTCCGAATGCAACTTTATTTGGATATAGGGTCTTTAGAAACATCATTAAGGTTAAATGAGGTCATCAGGGTGGGCCTTATTCTGATATGACTGATGTCCTTACAAGAAGAGGGAATTAGGAACCAGACAAGCACAGAGGGAGGACTATGTGAAGATAAGGGGAGGGCCATCTGCAAGCCAAGGAGAGGGGCCTCAGAAGAAACCTCCCCTTTCAAGACCTTGGTCTTTAATTTGTAGCCTCCAGAATGGTAAGAAAATGAGTTTCTGTTGTTTAACCCACCCACACTGCAGAACTTTGTTATGACATCTCTAGTCAGTGAATACAGGAAGGTGTGAGCTAGGACCCCTTCAGCCCTAACAATCCAGGCTTTTTGTTTATAACTTTGAGGATCACACACCCCTTTGAGAAGGTGCTGGAGGCTAGGGACCCTCTTGGAAAATGTGCATACACATACAAGTTTGCAAACCATTCAAAACCTCAGTGATCTAACTATGGTTCTTAATGCCCTAAGGCCCCTGGAAACTTGATTGATGATTGAGAAGGAGAAAGGGAATAAAATTCCAGGTGATAATGAGATGTTTCTGAAGAGGTAGGCCCTTCATGGCCTGGTCAGGTGAAAGAATTAAAATCTGGGGGAATAAATAATGCAACTCTCACTTCAACTCTTATTCCCTGAAAGGTACTTGAGTCCTTTATTCTAGGGGAGAAAAAATTTGATTCTCAGATTCCTCAGATTTTTTTTATTATTATTATCATCTTTGGAGACATCAGAAAGAAGAGCCCCTCGGGGCATTTTTCTTACTTTATCAGCTTTGCTTAAAAACACAAATAAACGAGCCAAACTTGATATGCTATGATATTCAGGGACATAAGGGACATTTTTCTTTTCTGCCCACATCTAAAGAATGAAAGCATTTGGCCATCTCACTTTATTTGGAGGAAAATGGTATGTGATGGGCAAGGAAATGACGTGACTTAGATTATATTTCTAAAAATGTTTAGCCTTTTCAAAGTCACAGCACTTTCAGAGAGAATTAAACACTCAGACTTTCACTAGAAAACTCTAAGTAAGACTTAACATGTTTCCTCTTATTTTTCCCACCCTGGTCACCCACTAATGATCTAAAACTTAACATCACCACCTGTACTGGACATTTCTGTAGTATTCTCCTTTTTCCATCTCCCCCTTCCCCATTTCTTATTATGTAAAATTAGCAGGTTGAAAATATCTCTATGGCCCCTTTCAACTAAAACAAAATTCTATGATTTTATGATTCTCTGAATCCCAGTGCCACGGTAGCTCTAATTTCAGGCTTGTCTTTAATTCTTTGCTTTGCTTCATGGAGCAGGAGAATAGCTTATGTTGCAAAATGCATCCCAGAGAGTAGCGCCCCAGAGACCAAGAACAGGCCGAATGCAGGCATAGCTAACACAGCACTGCAGCCTGACAGGCTGGAGGAGGAGGGAGGGAGTCTTGTATGTTGATTGTGAAAAGCTTTGCTTGGCAATTTGGCTGTGCTGGTAATTATGGGAGGGAGGGTGACAGGGAGTTAAGTGATGGTGAAGATTTCTGTTAAGAGAGCTCTTCCGGGAGTTTCTCCCTAATTTACCTCTATTGAAGAATTGGGAGAGCTGGCGGAGCCTAGGATAAACCTTGCAGGGAGCAATTCAGCTTCCTTACCTGCCTAATTTTAGGAGATAACCATGATGTCTGAGCACATTGCTTTTTTTTTCTTTTTCTTTCTTTCTTTGTTTTCTTTTTCTTTCTTTCTTTCTTTCTTCCTTCCTTCCATCCTTCCCTCCCTCCCTTCTTTCTTTTCTTTTCTTTCTTTCTTTTCTTTCCTTTTATGTATTTATTTATTTTCTTTCTTTTTTTCTTTTTACAATACTGGAAGAGAGCTTTCCATGAAATGCAAGGTCACTGACTCACCCTTAACCCTTCTTGTAACATGTCTTCTTAGGCAATCCTATCGGACAGAACCCAGGATAAGTCATGCATAATTTAAAGAAATTTCATAGGAATTAAAAGAGATAACATGAGTGAATGTGATTTAAAGGTTGTCATATGTGAATCCACAAGGCAGGGGGTAGCAGAAGAAGCATTGGCTCTGTAGACAGAACTGGCTAAGATCTGGCTTTGCGTTTAGCACCTAGTAAGACCTTGCAACCAATCCTCTTTATGTCTTACTTTGCCTAACTTTAAAGCAGTGTAAAAGTTGTTATTGTAATAACAATTACAGGGTGACTCAGGGGTGGTATTAGTAATAGGAGTAGTAGTAATAATAATGATTCCCCTTCAAAAGGAAAATGAACCACACTCTCCAGAAACTTCAGCTTTATCCTTGGCGCTGATGGATTTTCTCCCTGAAGGCCTCTCTCCATGGAGTTAGCTGGGTCAAGAGTGTTCTGGTCACAATAGCTGCAAACGACATCTTCTAATTTCCAATACCGAACCCTGTTGCCACCTTTAAAATCGTTCATATGAAGAATCACCCACCCTGAGCCAACACGGAGTGATTTACCTTTTTTTATGGCTCCAGAGGGCATCTAAGAGGTGATGAAAGAAACTGGACAAACTTCTCTGAGACTGCCACAAAAATAATCTCAACTCTTGAAGAAGTACAAATACTATATTTACAACTGTTATGGACATATAAATCCATGTTATAAAGACACAGTAGATATCTCTGGGTGATGGGAGTTGTGGATGATTTTTGGCATCTTCTCTATATTTTTCCTTATTTTTCACTTCAATGAGCATACATTTTTCTTTGGAAGGGACTGGCAATGATGTAAGGGCTAAGTATTTATCTTCCCTATTTAAGAAAATTAAGAAGACCCAAGAAGAAGCATGCACACACACACACGCGCGCGTGGGAATGCACGCATGCACACAAATTGAGACACATACATCTGATTGAGGAAACTGGTTCCTTATGCCTAATTTCTTAACTTTCCTTCATGAGACAAAGGAAAACTGGAGCCTCAACTTTCCAGGCGGCTAATGGCCTTTTTAAAAATTCTGTGCTCTTCCAGTGACGTTATTTATTCTTTGGGTTAAGAAAAGAGAGACAAATAGAAAAAGAAAAAGTCCATAACAATGCCCACGCCTGCTTCAAGGGGCAACTGGACCCTCACTGTTAACAGAGGAGGTGCCTGCGCGTCCAATTCTCCCTGAAAGCCAGCCCTGTTTTCTGTGCCTCATGGCAGACACATGAGTGATTTATTGCTCCTAACATCTCTTAGTTTGTAATAAAGTTTTCAGCAGCTCTTTTTAGCTGCTGCAACCTCTGCCCCTGCAAACACTCTCTCTTTCTCTTTTTCTCTCTCTCTTTCACACACACACACATTCTGACTTCACTTTGTTCTTTTTCCACATAATGTCAACTCATAAAGCTTTCATCAAGTCAACCAGGTGGAAAAATCCCTTTTGCTGAAAGAAGCCTTCATTCCGGTCTAGGTGGTGGAGGAGAGTCACTGGGCAGGAGAGGGGATCAGCAGACAAGGTGGGGAAGAGAAGAAAGTGTGCTGCTGATGGGAAAAGTTTTATGTGTGATGAGGTGAGTGCGAGCTTCACAGGGGCGTGCCTCTTGATGAAAGGGCTTCTCTCCTCTGCTTTCCCTGGTTGCCAACATCCACAGAAGCTGACAAATCTGTCATTGCAGGAATGGGGGATGGAATTCATAATATACGTATTCAAAGAAGTAGAGCTTTGGATCTAATACCTAATGATGATAAGATGGCATAAGTAAAGTCAGGAATTCTTCCCTTGCAGCACAGACCAGCCTCTTGTGAGGAGGTTGGCTTCCCCTTCCTTCCTCCCAGGATCCTCGCACCCCCTGGTTTCCATCTTCAGCCCTGCTACATCCTGCCAAGGTCACCCCTACCACAAGCCCCATCCTGTTCCTTAGAGCCTTCTCAGCCCACTCATTTCACATTGGCTCCTAAGTACCCTAGAGCCATGTTGGAAGGAAAAGTGTTACTAGAAGAATAATATACTTGGAGAAGGAAAGACTCAGAGAGATCAAGACTACAAGGAAAGGTAGAGTAAGATGTGTGAGGTCCTTTGTTTTCTCAAGGGCCAGTGTCAATACATAGGAGTTTAAGATTTGGGGAAAGGTTGAGTATTGCCAGAGCCCAGATCTCCCAGTTTTCCTTGCAAGAGGTTAATTTGACAGATACTCCCTGAATTCCTGCAATCCTCATGAAAGCTCCATGGTACTTTATACATGGAGGGCTTCCAGTGCTCCTGTGAAGCACTGAACATTAACTTCAGCCTTCCAGAGACTGGATGGAGAAGACTCTAGTCTCTGAGCTCTGATTTTTCCCTCCCTTACTCATGGTACTTAGTAAGGGCAGAGAATACCCACTGCTATGTAGCAAATTAACTTTTTCCCCAAGTCAGATCGTAAACAGAAAGCAAGATGCAGTGACGTGAATGCATGCAAATACCAAGAGACACAGCTTACATTAATGTGCTTGGAAATTCTGTTCTCTCTTCCCTCTACTCGAGTCCAGTACCGCAGCGAGATTTCCAAACGCTGATGTATGTAGCCAAACAGCATTCTACTTTTGTTGGAATTTTCTCCTTTTCTTTGATTTCAGTAGTTTCATTATAATGTGTGGGGGTTTTTTTTAGGCGGGGGGAGGGCGTTTTTATTTATTCTACCTGGGGTTCATTGAGCTTCCTGATCTGTAAATTTATGTCTTTCGTCAAATTTGGCGAAGTTTTTTTTGTTGTTGTTTTTGAGAGAGACTCTCTCTCTGTCATTTAGGTTGGAGTGTACTGGCACCATCTCGTCTCACTGCAGCCTCTGCCTCCCAGGCTCAAACGATTCTTCTGCCTCAGCCTACCATTACAGGCATGAGCCACCACACCTGGCTAATTTTTTGTATTTTTAGTAGAGACGGGGTTTCACAGTGTTGGCCAGGCTGGTCTCAAACTCCTCACCTCAGGTGATCCACTCGCCTTAGAATCCCAAAATGCTGGGATTACAATGTGAGCCACTGTGCCCGAGCAAATTTGGCAAATTTTTAAATCATTCTTTCAATTTTATTTTCCTGCTCCATTCTCTCTCTCCTCTCCTTCTGATACTTCATTTTTGTTAGATCTTTTGATATTAGTTTTTTTCTTCATTTCAAGTTTTAATGAAAGCCTATATATAAGATTACTTCATTCCTGCATCTTCCCAGTTGTTTCTGCCTTGTATTTGCCCATTTCCTTTCCTGCTTGGTGAGATTTGGCTTTCTGTTCAAGAATCTTTTTCCGGTCTTTGGCCACTTTTAGCTTAGTGATGAAATGTTGCTGGGGCGAATGACTACGTGTACAGTTGAGCCATCAGCCTTTTCACACTGCACCCTTTCAATGTCAACTACATATTTCTTCCTGTAAACCTGGACTATTTTGCCCATTTGCTGACCTTTATAGTGTCCTGGTACAACCTGAACTTCGCCATCCTTTCAGATGGGCATGGATCAAATGTTGCACTTCTGTCTCCTGTCTCAGCTCTTTGGAAAGAGGGGAAGACATAATCTTCCTGTGAATGTGAGAAGGTGCATTGAAATGCCTTTGGTGGTTCTTGCTTTGGTCAGAAGTCACAAAGGGATTGAACGTCGTTTTGGCTGCTCCCACTTTGGTGATGGCCACAAAAGGGAAGACAGCCACATGCTGTGTCGTTATGTGCTTTTATGAAAGATCTTGGTTTGGGGAATTTTTTAACTTTGTTCTTCAGATTGTATATTTCCTACTGCTCAGTCTTCAAATTTACTGACACTTCTGTCATCTCCAATTCGTTCTTCAGCCTCTCCAGTGATTTTTTAAAATAAACGTTTTTATTTGGGAATAATTTTACACTAACAGAAAAGTTAGAAAAATAGTAGAGGCTTCCCCTGTGTGCTATCACCTTCCACCCAATTTCTCTCATTGTTAATATCTTTCATTACCATGGTACATTTGTCAAAACTAAGAAACTGACACTGATATGTTACTATTAACCAAACTCTAGACTCTGTTTGCATTTTAACATCTTTTCCATTGGTGTTCTCTTTCTGTTCCACACCCAGTCTAGGGTACGATGAGACATTTGGCTGTCATGTCTCCCCAGTTTTCTCCGATCCATGATAGTTTTTTGTTGTTTTTCGTTTTTAATGACCTTGACAGTCTTGAGGAGTACTGGCCAGTTAGCCCATAGAATGCCCCAATCTAGGTTTGTCTAGTGTTTTCTTATGACTAAAATGGGCTTTAGGGTTTTGGGCAAGAATACAACAGGGAAGAAATATCCTCCTTGCTGGATCATGCCTGAGAGTACATGATATCTACACGACACCACTGGTGGTTAACCTTCGCCACATCAGTTGATGTCCTGTTTGCCAGGTTTCTCCACCTTAAAGTTACTACTTTTTGCTTTCCCTATTTTATTATATCCTTTCAAAGAGAATGACTAAATCTAGCCCACCCTTGAGGACATAAGGAGGAGTAAGCTCCACCTCTTGAAGGAGAGATTTTCTACATGTAGTGTTTGGAATTCTTATGTAAGTATGGTTTGCCTCTTCTCCCCTGTGCATTTTTTTAATTCAATCATCTATTTATATCAGTACGAACTCATGGATATTTATTTTGAATTTTAAGTAATAACTCAATACTACTTTATTTGTTTTGTTGCTTTAATTGTTACTGCTTTGACCAGTAGGTGCTCTTTCAGCGGGCTCCTGTGTTCCTTTGAAAATCTTCATCCGTCTGTGTGTGTGTGTGTGTGTGTGTGTGTGTGTGTGTGCGCGCGCTTCCTTACTTTCTGGTATACAAAATGCTCCAGGCCCACATTATATTTTATCTGTCCTAGCACTAGAATCAGCCATTTCTCCAAAGAGCCCTGGGTTTATGTTTATTTATTCATTCATTTTGGAAGAATTATATTTCCAAACCAAGATCTGAGTGCTCTGTGTACTTATTGCTCTCCAGTTGATTTTTTTTTTATTTCAGGTGTTTATTTTTTAATTTTAGAATCTCATTTGTTTCTTTATATAGTTTATATTTCTCTGCTGAGATTTCCTATTTATTTATTTATTACAAGCATATTTTCCCTTACATCCCTGAGCATAGTTGTTTTAAAACCCTGTTCTGCTAGTTCCACCATTTGGTAATACTAAGGTTGGTCTCTATTGATTGCTCTTTTTCCTCTTTTGAGTATGGGCCATGTTTCCCTATCTTCACATTTAGTAATTTCACATTTAGCAATTTTGGATTCTATCCTGAACATTGTAAATGATATGTCACAGAGATTGTAGAACTTTTATATTTTATATTCCTTGAAAGAGTCTTGATTTTTTGTTGATGTTGTTTGTTTGTTTTGATCCTAGCAGGCTGTTAACTTGACAGGACTCAAACTCCAAACTGTTTCTCTATAGTAAAAAGCAGCTGATATCTCTGTTCAGTTTTTTTAGATTTAGATGCTTGAAGTTTGCCCTGCACTTATGTAGTTCAGTGATGAAACAGATATTTGGGTCATTTTTGCACAGAATTTAAATGTCTTCTCTCTAAAATATACTCCCTTACTTTCCAGTTGCTGTGGTCGTTCCTCTGGTTCTTCAGTCAGCAAAACTACAAGTTTCCACCAGAGTTTTAGCCACTCCACAGGAGGCCAGACTAAAGCCTACACCTAGTCAAAGAGCCATAAAATCATAAAATCAGAAAATTCTCCCAATGCCATTCCCCTCTGCCAAATGTTGCCCTGCATTCTAGTTTCTATGTTTGAGGTCATTCTTAAGTGCTTTTAGGTTACTTTTTTTTCTGGTATTAATTATGTCCAGAATCAGTAGTTGTTATTTGTAAAAGATTTGGCCCAATTGGACCTACTCTGCTATTACTGGAAGCAAAACCTTGCTACTGCTTTTTAATACTAGGATCAATGTCCACTGACCCTGTTATTATTACACTTTGGTTGTCTACAAACATTTTTAAAACTTTAAAAAGAAAATTCTACAATCTATGTGTTCAATAAAACACAAAATTTTATCAAAAACTTACTTTCAACATTTATAAATTTCACAGGAAACACATTGTACCTATGGCCTGGAACTCTCCACTCCCCTCAGGAGAATACAGTCCAATCAAAGAAATAACTTGGCCACAACATATAAATAGCAGCATGCAGCAGCATAAATAAATACCAACTAAGTGATGTGATAATCAATACTGGGCAGGAAGAGGTCTGACTGGGCTCATTTAGATCATGAAGTCTTCCTAGACAGGGCACATATTGAGATGATATTGAAGAACAAATACTTAAATAAATGGATAAGAAATGACATTTTCTATGACGAGAATAAAAATATGAACAAAAGGCATAATCTGATTTAGGGACAACAAGTAGCTCAATTAGGCTGAAACAGAGAGTTCAAGTAAGGAAGTAATGTGATACAACGTTAGAACAGATGATAGAAGATCAAGACTCCAAAGCAAAGGTACTTGGATTCTATTATCTTATGAGGGATAGAACTAAGATTCATTATATACAGACTATGCAACTAAAGAGCTCAGGACAAGATGTAATAGAATGTAACCTGCAGTTTATGTTGGCTGTGTGCTGATGTAACAACTGTAAACTATCAGCAGTAGCCCACATCCTTTTGGTTGAGGGTGGAGTCTCTACTTGAAGTGAGTAGACTTCATGTCAAGTATCTGTGGAAGAGCTGGGTTTTAGGAAGGAATCTGGAACCAGCCTGAAATTACCCAAGGAGAAAAATACCTTTCCTTGGTCCTTACTCTCTTAAGTCTCTACTTTTCTTATGTTTCTGGGAGGTGATGGAAAGATGATCCCTACCACAAAGAACAGGTTGGAATTGAAGCAAGGAGATGCTCTGATTATAAGCTCCATGAGATCAAAGACTCACTCATTCATGTAACTCAACATCCAGGGGCCTGCAGCATCTAGCAACCAGTGAACACTAAGATTGGTCGGATGAATGCAGACGAATGAGGTAGAACTTACAAGTGGATTGCATGCTACTCTTCACACTTACTTCCCCTACCCCTCTCTTTTTTTGTGGGGGTGTCATTTAAAAGTATTTTAGCCTATGAGTTTAGACTTGTGCTTTAATTAAAAGTGAACAATGGTTGTGGGAGTACAAATTAGTAATAAATCCTGAGGAAAGGGTAAATAAATCTCCAGAGACACAAATTTGAACCTTAGGGAAGTTCTTCTCCACATAAAATATTATTCTATAATGTAAAATATGGAGTCTCTGGGTTTGCTTGCATTATGAAGGTGGAAAATAACCCAAGGGGTAATTCAAACTATTTTTAAAATTTTGTTATTACACTAGCCCTGTAAATGCAGTATTATTTTCATATTACATACGAGAAGCATGAGGTCCAGAGAAGTTAAATACCTTACCCAAATAAATACAGCTTAGTAGGTAACAAAGCCAGCAATTAAAACCAGATACCTTTAAATGAGACATCAATTAGCACTAAGGACTTAGGTTAATAAGCTGGTTGTGGTGTCATGTTCATGATACGGTTTACAAATGAAGAGAAATCCATTTATGGAGTAATGATGGGAGGAATAGGCTCATGATATAGCCCCACGATGGGGCAGGCTTGGGGTTAAAGATGAGATTAATAGCATCACATCTTTCTCCTCTTGACACAGACCATAATCAACAGTCAGAGAATAGAATATGACTAAACCAGTGAAATTCAGACCAACTTTTCCTTGATCATCTTGATTATCAGAGCTTACCATAGGCAAAATTAGGACTGTAAAGAGACCTTCAGCTGTCATGGTAAAAAAAAAAAAAATTACTACATCTTCCTGTTTGGAAATTCTACATTCCCTACTACTCCTTTCTCCATAGACCTCCCCAAGTGCCCCAAATTAAAATTAAGGCTAAAACTCAGTCCAGAAAATCACAGACAACCCAGAAATCATCTCTACTTGATTTATTTCACTAAAATAGATCAATTGAGGGAGGAAGCTGCTGAATTTAGTCCTAGTTCTCTTTCATTTAATTACAGATTCAACAAAATTTATTGAAGACTTGACTATATCCCACATATTTTTATAGGCATGCAGGACATAGATATTAATAAGACACACTTCTTACCCTCAAGGAGCTCATAGTACAATTACATAATCTAAAACCAAAGTGACTTTACTGTCTTTAGGCTTAATTTGCTCATCTATAAAACAAATAGAACAACTCTCAGCCTTTTTCTGAGACGCTGAATATTCCCGTAGGTGTTAATGCAGCTTGTGCTGCATTGCGGTGTGAAAAGTAATCTATGAGAAAATTATTTTTACCTTTATACACTGCTTCATTTAACAGCCAAGAAGCAAAATCTAAACCATGTGGATGAATTAGGCAATTTTCTACCAAATGCTCTGAATTCCTATGAGACCACTAGCAGAGTCATATAAAATCACCTCGTCTTCTCAAGGATTGAGGAAGTAGAGAAAAAGAAGGGGTATTGTTTTGCAGATTCAGTAAGGATTACCTTATTTAGGATTATATTTGTCTCTAAGTAACAGGGATTTAGAAAAAGGTCATCTAAATTAGGTAGAGATTTATTTCTCTGTCACATAAGAGAATTTGGAGATAGATAACTCCAAGACTTATATAGTTACAACGTTGTCAGGATGAAATCAAGTTTCTTCCTACTTTTGGCTGCACCAAATTCAAGGTCTATAGTCTTTGTTCATTTGGTTCAAGACAATTGCCATAATTGCAGCCGTCACATTCTTTTCCAATAGCAAGATGTGTAAAGAAATGTGAATAAGCAAGCTCCCTTCTACATTACCAATCCATTTGCATCCCATTGGTCAAAACTGAGAAACATAGCCATGCTTCACTGCAAGGGAGGCCAAGAAATTTAGTCTTTAGCCAGAGGACAACATGCCTACCTAAAACTACAACCTCCTTCGAGAGAGAAAAATGGAACAAATATTTGTAAGGCAACTTAGCAGTCTCTATCACAGGAAGCATCAGAAATACATTGTTAAATATTCATTGACAACTCCTGTAGGTCTACTTTCTTCTTTGAGAGCTGCCACCTACTACTGTTTAGGATAACCTTAATTCTTAGCCCGTGGTTTTCAAACCTTAGCATGCATCAGAATCACCCGGAGGACTTGTTAAAACACACATTGCTGAGCCGCAGCTCTAGAGTTTCTTGTTCAGTAGGTCTGAGGTGGGGCCAGATAATTTGCATTTTAGTAAGTTTCCAGGTGATGGTGATGCTGCTGGTCTGGGAACAGCACCTGAGAATTACTGCTCTAAGCAAATTGACAAGACAGGAACAAAAGGAAAAAGGAAGAAAGCAAACGATCATGAATATTAATGATGAAATGGGCAGTAGAGAATAGACTTGATGGAAATAATAATAATATCAAGCCATGAGATGGAAACACTTTAAGTCAGGACCTCTAACCCACCTACTAGGCCTCAGAAGAGTTCTTCTAGAGTTCCAGTACATTCCGGCTCATAACATAACCCAGATGCTGTTGCTCAAGAGATCCTGGGTGTGACTGTGACCTGACCTGCTTGACGTGCCTTTTTGGAATCAGCAGAGGCCACACTCTATTGCTCCACTTTGCTGAAATCGGATTTCTTCCTTACTTCTGGCATATCATCTATCGTCCCATTGGAATTGCTGGCCTATGACCTGCCTGGGATATTTAGCTCAGTTTTCCCTTGGGAGCGTAGAATGCTGACAAAAATGTATCCATAATCAGCTTCCTGTCTCCCACAGTCTCATGAAATCAGTCACCTTAGAACTCCTGCTTTCCTTGTCATCTCTCCAGAGCCCCCTAATCATGACATCTTCTGTACGAGGGGCTGCCAGCAATGATAAGTCAGAAAATTCTAACCATTGATCAAGAAAGACAACAACATTGTCTAGCTGGGTGGAGCATCTTACTTTATCACTGGGGGCTTGTTTCACCATTTGTTTCACATATGTTCTTCCCCCCGAAACATAATTGTACTTATGGCTATGTGCATATGATTTTGATCTTACTCTTAGTACATGCTGTTGGCCTACTCTAGTTATTTGTGTATATCCCCTCTCCTCCAGCTCATATGAGCATCTGAGGCAACCAGCTCAGTGCCTGACATCTAGGCCATCAATAAGTACTAGATGGTTGATGCTGGTCTTGGGGTTTTTCCACACACATGGTTTGTCAACAGAGCCTTGAGATTCTCTGCTGGCAGCCATGCCACTAGCTCCAGGCCTTACCTCCACCTGCAAGCACCAGCAGCCACAGGATGTAGCCACTTTCTCATTGCTCCTTCCATCATCTGAAATTAGATAGTGCTCTAAACACTGGACATACTACTTTTGGAAGAGTGCCAGACCCTAATGCAGGCCTTTGGCAGGAACAAACACAGATAAAAGGGGGAGAATATAAATTCCTAAAGATTTTCTGTCCAGGAGGAATAGCAGGTCCCTGAACTACACCAAAGGAATCCCAAAGGCAGTAGCAATCGTAGGGATTGATCCTGACCTAACGGGTCAGTGAGCGCTCAGAGTGAAGCAGACTTACCCTGCTGCCCTGTGTGTGTATGGCAGATAGGGCATAGAATTTGACTCAACACTTTCATTCCCTCTCTGACTCATTTTGCTATTAATTGTCACCTCCTTCACAAGACTGCCCCATCAAAGATCCTGTGGAAATTATTTACCGAGAGATTTCTCAGGGAACTGAGAAGAATCAAGAAAATATCAAGGCTCTGACAGCCTTGCTTCTTCCTTCTTTTTCCTGTTATTCCTTTTGGCATTAGAAACCTAAAGCTCAGCCAGAAAGCACAAACAAATGAGGTTTTAAAGTCACCCATACCTCAGGTGCCAGGCTGTCTATGGAAAATGAAATTGATCTGTTTTAAAGACTTGATTGGGCTTAGAAAGATAGTTCCCTGAGCTCTCTGCCTTAATCAGCTGCATTTTTTTTTTCAGTCTCATTTCACTTTTCTTGCCACACGGATAAAGTGAGTGGGAACAATAAAAAAGGGAGGGAGTGAAGAAGGGATAGAAGGAATTAAAGGGCTCCGGAATGAATAGGTAATTTGACTCACTATTTACATTGCTGGTGGAGATATTTAAACAGTTGGCCTACTGATGACCCTTTAAATTAAGATTTTAGAGAAATTTTTAAAATCAAATAAACTTTGGAGTAGTGAAGACTGTTTTGTAGATTCTAAACTAATCCAGGTGTTCAGACTAGGAAGGGATTGGGCAGGGGTCATTACTGGGGAGGGAGTTGAAAAGATAGTTCTTCTTTTTCCTTTTTAAAGCCCGTTGTTATAAACTATCAAAAATTTATGGCCATCTGTTATGTGCAAAATCATATACTGGACAATTAAAATATAGTTGGGGGAAGATAGAGTATAGAGCACATAGAAAAATGTTATATTCTTGTATATTCAAATGGTAAACACATATATAATATGTTGGAGAGGAAGACATTACTATGGAGTGTGATGTTCAAAAAATAGTTCATGTATCAAGTAAGATTCTACAGGGTCTTGGGTGATAAATAAACTTCACATAGACAGAGGTAGTTATTTTTCTAGAAAAAGGAAAAGGCATTAGATTAGATAAAAGGAGAGAGAGGGCACTAGAGATTACTGTGTTAATAGCTGCTTAGCAAAGTAAAGAGCAGAATCCCATGGGGAATTTGGGGGTAAGATGGTAATGTTCAGTGAAGATTTATAAAATCTCCCTTCTACGTACAGACCAAAAGAATGAAAAATAAGCAAAACAGAGAAAAATACTTTCTCACTAATTATTATGATTAATGATCCTGGAGAATAATCTTACTTTGTGTCACAAACACTGACAAATACATGTAAGATACAATTTGGTCCAAACGGAAATGAGTCATCAAAGGCTGACAACCCACACCCACTTTCCAAGAAATCTATGCAGTGCTGTGGGAAGATGAAAAGAAATTCTATCTAATAATTTTCACAAGAATCTAATCCCCAATTTATTAAGATGAAGATGGGATATATGAACAGGCTATAGGCAAAAAAGCAAACACCTTACCCTGATTTTCTTTCTGCACTGAGGTCAAACATGCCTTATAAACCCAACTTTTGGAACAGAAGTTTAGATAGTCACGCCACATTTTATTTTGTCTAACATGACTTTCTAATGGTGGCATAGGCTGCCTCTGCAAGAAAGACAAACCCTTCCTAATATGTAGAAACATGATTTGAGGTAGAAACACCCCTAGTATAGGTGTTTCCACTTTGATACGAAGTCTGAATTTGCACACTAAGTTCCTTAGCTGCCCATGGCTAGAGCTCCTCACCCAGTGACTACTGAACAACCGAATTAATCATTCCAACCCCCCATCCAAGTCTCCAGATAAAATATAAAGGGAGGAATAGAATAGTGTGCAAGCAAACTAAAAATAGAAAAAGGAAGAATCTACTTCAGTCATGCAAATATAAAGCCCAGAAAGAGCTTCTGTCATTAAAAGGTAATGAACAGGAAAACAAATGAAACAAGCAAGCAAACACAGAAGCTATGTGAAAATTCTGCATGACAAATGTATACACAAAGCATGAAAATGAATATAAATGATAAGTTTTAGATGAAATTCATCCTCTGGAATGAGATTTAGTTAGAAAATATGAGGAAAATGTAGACAACATCATGCTTTTAAAGAAATTAAAGAAAATGGACTTTATGAAACAAATTGAGTAAGTGAAATAATTAGTAGATTTAGTTTTTAAAAGAGTTGCTAGAAATTAATAATCAATTTATTATGATAATGCCACTGCATTTAAGTGACAGGAAATTTAGCAAAGATCAGAATTAACAATACAATAATAGAATCAGGGACACAAATTGAGATTTTAGAGAAAATTTTAAAACCAAATAAAGTTTGCAGTATGAAGACTATTTTGTAGATTCTAAATGAATTCAGGTTTTAAGACTAGTAAGGGGTTGGGCAGGGGTCATTATTGGGGAATGAGCAGGCTTACAGAAGAGGCATCTAGACTGTAGGGAAAAGTCGCAAAACACTAAAAGTAGTAATATGTATGGAGAATAGGCAGAAAACAAGCATATGAGGCCAGGTGCGGTGGCTCACGCCTATAATCCCAATAATTTGGGAGGCCAAGCTGGACAGACCACTTGAGGCCAGGAGTTTGAGACCAGCCTGGACAGCATGGTGAAACCCTGTCTCTACCAAAAATACAAAAATTAGCTGTGTGTGGTGATGTGCACCTGTAACTCCAGCTACTTGGGAGGCTGAGGCACAAGAATTATTTGAACCCAGGAGGTGGAGGTTGCAGTTAGCCAAGATCACACCACTGCCCTCCAGCCTGGGTGACAGAGAGAGAAACTGTCTGAAAATAAATAAATAAATAAGCATGCATATGATCAACAAATGGGCTTTAACGAGAAAATAGAGCAAATAGGACAGAAACAGTACACAAAGACATCACAGAAGAAAATATTCCTAAAGTTAATGAAGATTTCAAACTGCTGGCTGAAAGAATTTACCATAAATATCAAAATTACCAACAACAATTAAATATATATTATAATAAATCTTGTGAATTTCAACATTTAAAAAATATGCTACAGGCAGGGTGGCAAAAGTAACTTAGAAAGGAAAATAGTCAGGTTGACTTCAAAACAAATATTCAAAAACAAAGTATTCCAGAAGGAAATGGCAAAGTATCTGTAGAGTTTTGAAGGGGAGGGGAAATGAAATATGAAATTTTGTATATCCAGCCAAATTCTATTTATATGTATTGACAATAGAAAAGCAAACTCAAAAGTTGATGCATAGCATTCTCCGAAAAACCTACTTGAGGATAAAGTCTAACCAACTAAGAAATTAATCAAAACAAGTCATGAATGAAGAATTATTTGAAAAATGTAATTTTGAACATTTAATCTATATAAACACAGTGTTGGACCCAAGTAGTTTTGTTAATTATGTTGAACAAAAATATTATAAATATCAAATTATTCAAAGACAAAGTATGTTACATAGAAAATACTGACTGACATATAATGTAGTAATAATTTTGCTAGGAAAGTGAATATAACAATAATACCCAGATATTAAAGTCTAAGTCACCTGGTTTCTTCATCTTTAATAGACAAAAATTAATATTATTTACCTTTTCAATTGTATTAAGTTATAATTGTGTTTTAGCAATTAGTTAAACACATCAAATATTCACAACCAGATGAAAATGTTCAGTTCTCAAAAAACTGACCCAGCAAGGAACATAAACATAGCAAAAGATACACAAGTGAGCGCAGACCACGTGGCAACATAAAAAAATTTTAAAAGAAAAATAAATAAGTAAAATGTGAAACAATATAAAAAAGGAGAAAGCATAAAAGCAGAAAATAAAATAACAATATAAAACCAAAAATATCAATTACATTTATGTTTATAAAAGTAATTGATAACTTACCTACTCAAAGAAAAATATTAGAATGAAGATATAACTTCAGGCTACAAAAAACATAGCTATAAAGAAGGTATTTATTAAGACTGAAACAAAAATGATAAGCAAATACATAACAGATAAATGAAAAGTAAAATAAAGCCACATACAACTGAAACAGAAGAAACTAGATTTTCAATAACTATGTCTTGCAATGTTGAATTCCAAATTAAAGAATTAAATGGGACAAAAAGAGTCCTATTTTATTGAAGACGTAATGCCCAATGAACATATAACTCTCCTTCACTTTATGTGCCAAATAAAATTAAATTAAACTATATAAAATAAAAATCTGTTTAAAATGAAGTGAAAATTTTACTGAAACACACCAGATATAGGAAACTTAAACACTGTCCAAATTCAAATATAAGATACACTTAATATACTAAACAGATTATACCTGTTCTGAATGATATAACAAGTAAAGTTTTGATATATACTGTATCATTTCAAACTCTATGTATCTAAATCCCATAGGTGATAAATAAAAAGGTTTCTATTGTTTATGTGCAAAATTTACATTTTTTAAAAAAGTTGATTATACAAAATGTGAAGGAAATTTAAGTAAATTTCAAAGATAGCAACACTTTTTTTATCACAATGCAACTAAATGAGAAATAAGTAACAGACGTACAAATAATTGACAAACTTAAATATTTTAAACTCTAAATTAAACTCTAAATTTTAAACTCCAATCTCATTGATTGGAGAATCAATGAGAATGTCAAAATCATAATTAAAATATTAAATAACAATAAAGAAAATACTCATAATCAAACTTACTGAATGCAAACAAAATTGTTTCCAGTGGGCGATTCACAGCCTTAAACAACCTTATTACCAAATACGAATTGGTAAAAATAATTAGTATTTAATTCAAAAGATTTGAAAAATAAGTAAACAAATCTAAGAAAACATATGAAATAAATTCACACTTATAAAAACTAAACTCAATAAATTAGTGCTTCATAAATGCCAAAGAATAAAACAGATAAATCCACTAGTTTTCAAGAAATTTAAAAAAAAAGAAAATATACAATACTAGAAGTGATAAAGGGGGTATATTCACAGATTTAATAAAAATTAGATAACTTAAAAAAAACTTTATTTGATAGTATACAAGTAAAATTTTAAAAAAAAGGATAACAAGTATTTTATGGAAAAATTAAAGTTACTCAAATTTTCTCAACAAAGGTAAGAACATTTAAATTGATTAATAACCACTGGGAAGAAAAACTAAGGATACTTCAAACAGGCTGGGCACTGTGTCTCACACCTGTAATCCCAGCACTTTGGGAGGCTGAGGCAGGTAGATCTCTTGAGGTCAGGAGTTTGAGACCAATCTGGCCAACATGGGGAAGCCCCATCTCTACTAAAGTACAAAACTTAGCTGGGCATGGTGGCAGGCGCCTGTAATCCCATCTACTCAGGAGGCTGAGGAAGGAGAATTGCTTGAACCCTGGAGGCAGAGGTTTTAGTGAGCCAAGGTCACACCACTGCACTCCAGCCTGGACAACAAAGCAAGATTCCCTCTCAAAAAAAAAAAAAAAGGAAAAATACTTCAAACAAAAATAAGCGTCCTTCAACCAAAATAAAAATAACAAACAAACAAAGGACAGAACTCAAATGGCTCCAAACAGAATTGATAGGGACTCAGGAGTTTTTTAATGAAATATGTAATTCTGAAAAAACGAGGGTTCTTCCTAACGTCTTCCTGAGGCTGTAACCCTGGAAACAGTCTGGACTCATGGCCAGCTAAATCAGAAATAAATTTTAAAACCTTTATTTTTCTAGGCAGAATCAGAAGCCTGGAGAAGGTGGACAGTTAAATAAAACATCAGTTCACACTTATTAAAAGCAGGAGAGGCAAAGTTCCTTGCCAAATTGGCTTGAAGCAATTGTGTGGCAGGTATGCTTTTAATGAAGATCATTTCTCCACCTTCCTGTTTTAATTTGATTTCTCTGGCAGAGTTGGGCTTCCTTGGCTTGGAGGAAATGTGCTTAACTGCCACCATCTCAACCCTCAACCGTGAACCAGACAGAACTGAATTCTTTCACCACGTGGGCAGCTTGGCGTTTGACTTCCACATAACAGCGTGGCCTCCACCAAAGTCCTGGAGAGTCTACAGGAGGAAAGGAGAGGCTGCCACATTTGGCTGGGACTGGTCACGTGATGTGAGTGGCAGAGGCTTTGTCCACTTTAAGCTAAATTATAAACTGTATTTTCTTCCCAAATGTGTGACCCCTAGCTAGCTGGCCTTTGTAAACATCTCCATGCCACCGTACAAGTGCTTCTCAAGCTAGAAGCGTGGCTGGGCCTACAGACTCTGCTCAGTTCTAGAGCAGGCTGGGGCTGCATTCTTATCTCACCTCTGGGGCTCTCCACATTTAACCACGCTCTTTCTATAGATTGCATAAAAATGTCATGGCCATTTCATGGTTTTCCAAATAGGTTCAAAATTGTATCAGAAAGTGGAATGTCCCGCAAGGCCTGAATCCAGGTAATCAAGAGTTTGCTAAGCATGTCTGCCTTCGTTTCCCATGGCAGCTGTAGCAAATCAAAATGAATGTCATAGTTTAAACCAACACATTTTTTTTCATCTTCCACTTTATGAGATTAGAAGTCCAAAATGGTCTTACAGGCTAAAATTAAGATGTTGGAAGAGCTGCATTTCTTCTGGAAGTTCTAGAGGAAAATCTGTGTACCTGCCTTTTCCGGCTTCTAAAAGCCACTGCTGTGTCCTGGGTCATGGTCCCTTCTTTCATTGCTAAACCACATCACTGCAACCTCTGCTTCCACTTTGCATCACCTCTTCTGACTTTGGCCCTCTTGCCTCCCTCTTACAGGGACACTTGTGACTATTTTGGGTCCATCCAAATAGTGTAGGATAATCTTCTCTTCTCTAGATGGTTAACTTAATCACATCTGCAAAATCTCTTTTGCTATGTAACATAATGTGTCCACAGGTAACAGGAGATAGGACCTGGACATTACTGGGGAGCATTTTTCTGTCTACTACAGTGCCCTCTATGAAATCCCATGGTACATGCCTACAAGGACACATACCCTGGCAATATAATTCAACCAGGCAAGAGCTGCTACAACGTGATGTGTGAGTAAGATCCAGTGAAAAAACAAGAGGTGCAACAAGTGTTAGGAGGTTAAAGAAGAGAGAGCACATCTTGTTAGGGAGTGGTCCAAGGAGCCATCATGGAAGGAGGGGCCAAGGAATTGAACTAGATCTTAAAGGATGAAGGAGAAGTTTGCTTCTCTGTGTCCCAAAGGGAGCTTTGATGGGCAGTGGTTGGTTAAGGATATATAATGGCGGCACTTTCATCACTTTCCTTTTAGAGGCATCTTCAGACATACAAATACCAAATAAATGGCTTTTTAGAGAGAAAGAAGTCAGAGAATTTAGCTTTGGAGTGGGCCCTCACAGTTCTAACTACACCCACCTCCCTGTCCCGTCAATGCCAGAGAATCTGTCTTTTCTTTTGAGATGGAGCCTGGCTCTGTCGCCCATGCTGGAGTGCAGTGGCACAATCTCGGCTCACTGAAACCTCCGCCTCCTGGATTCAAGCAATTCTCCTGCCTCAGCCTCCTGAGTAGCTGGGATTACAGGTGCCTGCCACCACGCCCAGCTAATTTTTGTAGTTTAGTAGAGATAGCATTTCACCATGTTGGCCAGGCTGGTCTTGAACTCCTGACCTCAGATGATCCACCTGCCTTGGTCTCCCAAAGTGCTGGGATTACAGGCGTGAGCCACCGTGCCTGGCCGAGAATCTGTCTTTATCACTCAGAATGAGCTGGGGTTAATTGGGTCAGGGATATGTCCAAATGCAGCCTCTGTTTTTATTTGGAAAAAGCCTCTGCCAATTCCTCTATTCAATGAGGAGGGAATGTGTCCTCATTTCCTAAGTTGGAACTCGGAATCTCTCTCTCATGGAGAGAAGCAAACAGAAGCCAAACAGAATGTAAAGTGTCATTGGAACACACATAGATTCTTGGTTGGAAAGGCCTTCAGAAAGCATCTAGTCTCTGTTCGGCTCTTGCTATCCTGTTTATTTTTTAATTGTTACTTTCAGTTTAATTTGAGCCACTTGAACTCTGCCATTCTTTCAAGAAATATATTGAGCCAGGCACACTCTTATTCACAAGTCTAGGAAGATATAGACAGGAG
The DNA here is from genome assembly GCF_000001405.40 of Homo sapiens. Classification (NCBI taxonomy): domain Eukaryota; kingdom Metazoa; phylum Chordata; class Mammalia; order Primates; family Hominidae; genus Homo; species Homo sapiens. The sequence continues at coordinate 37,003,460 of NC_000008.11, forward strand.
GAATGTGTTCCTTTCACTGATAAACGCAGCAAATTGAGCAGATATCATAGCAAGCTGGCCCCAACACAGTCTCCCTGCATTGTGACTACACTACAACTCCTAATTTCTAGTCAACTCCCTTCTAGGTCATCATCTGACACATTAATTTCACCTCTTGTAACATTCTGTCTCTCCAGACTGTTGATCAACACCTACCTTCGTTCACTCTTCAACCTCAGCTCACCTCTTGTGAGTAGCTAAAGAAGAAGCACAAGATGCACCTGGACCACAGCCTTCTTGCTTTCAAGGACTAGCATGTCTTGAAACCAGGGGTGATGCTGCTAGGCTAGACATTGTATTTACAGAAGAGAAAAAAAATCAAGCATGGTCTCTTCCCTCGAGGAGCTTATGGGCCAGTTTAAGAAACAAATATTAAACAAGTAATCATGCAAAGGAACATATAGTAACCCCATATTCTGATAAACATTACAGATAAAGCTTTTCTATATAATCCAGAACAATGAGCAGAGGCAAGGTTTACATTGGGCTATCAGGAGTGGCTTCATGGGTAGCTGAGAAGTAAATGTTGGATAGGGCTTGGACAAAAATCAATTGGGAGGGAGGGGAGCTTTCCTGGAACAGCACATGCAAAGATCCTGGAGCTGGAAAGAGCTTAGGTATTTGAATACCTGAATGATGGGCAGTGTCACCCCATCACTCATCTGTCAGTCCTCTCATGTTTTCCTTCTAGGAGGGAGTTCACTTATGTTCTGCATGTCCATGTGAAATATCTGTTTGCTACGGAGTTGTAAATAAACAGACTGATTGTATAAATGTGTAATTGTTCATGTCCTATAATCTGCTTTCCTATAATCAGGTCATAAACTCCTGGTGAACTTGCCTGCAGAATTGAAAGATTCTTACCCTTTAGCATAAAATACAGACAACCACCATCTGTCCTAACCCAGATTAGGACTTCAGTCACACTCCATTAGAGAATCTAATGCCAACCCTCACTTAGATGAAGCCTTTTTATCACTCTGCCTCTAGATATTTTTCTTTATTCTTTGAAGATTGGGGACTAGGAAACAGAACTTCCAAGGCCCCAGGCACAGAGCTTGTGAGGAGAGCTGGTTCAGGGGCAGAGATAGCCAAGGCCAGGACAGGTAAGTCTCCAGGAGAGGATGTGGAGGAAACGGAAAAACAAAACTATGCCAATGATGTATAAATCCCTTTACATTTTTGTTAATTCCTAAACAATATATATAGACATTCTGATCCTTGTTTCACAGATTGAAGAACCTACCAGTGAGAGTAAATAGGTAACTTGTTTAAGCTCACAGTTACTAAATGCTGTGCTTTTGAACCCAGGCCAGTTTCCAAAGCTCTTGTTCTTTCCCATATATTAAATACTATGACTCCCATCTGCACCAGGTCATCAAGCCAAAATGAGACTCATTTCTGCTCTCTGGAAATTCTTCTATGCAAGGGTTATCTTTTTTAGGTGGGGAGAGTATAACATGATAGATGCTTCTAACTTTTGATAAGTTTAGGTGTCAGGGACATGTCAGGTCCACAGGTCCAGGAAGAATTGTCCAAGCTAAGGTGAGGTCCAGCCAGTGAATCACCAAAGTGGAATCTAACACCTTGAAGGCAGGGGTGTCAAGTTCTCTGGCAGAAGATCAAGTTCCCTGGCTGAGCAGGCAGGCTCGACTTTCGTCAGGAATCAAAATCCTGTTAGAATATCAACACATAGTGGTGATCAGAGAGGATATAACTCTGTACTCAACCTTTAAGGCCAGGTTCCCCAGGAGGACACTAGCACTTTACCTGCAGGCACTTCCGAGGCCTCCACTCTGGTGGAGGAGATGCTCCCAGGACACCACTACATCTGGCTTTCACTGGCTCCAGAGAAAGGGCTGCATTCTGTCTGACAGCTGGGGAGGGCTGGGCAGGCAACAACTCCAGCTGGGACCAAAGTGTGTATTTGGAATCGGACATGTCCCTTTTGTTTCATCATGAGTAGTGTTCTATTTTCCCAATCCAGGTAGAACAACTTGGAATTTTCGGGGACACTTCCTTCAGCAAAAGGAAGTGGTACAGGCAACAAGGGACACCTGCCCAGGTATGTAAGAACAGGACAAATTGAAAGTATTAAGTTGGTGCAAATGTAATTTTGGTGGTTTTTGTCATTACTTTCAATGGCAAAAGCTGCAATTACATTTGCAGCAACCTAATAGCATGCAGCAGGACCAGGGGTGGCACTGCAGAAATGCTGTCTAAAATATTCTCAAGTATCTTCAACATGTAAAGCCCATTTCACGTGACTTCTCTTTTTCCTTCAAATTTGAGGCATAAGTGACTTTCTTTCAAGGCTCTTTGTTTATTCTGTAGAACTTTCTATGATGTGAAAATTTTCCATGTCTGTGCTGATGATTATGGTGGCTCCTGGCCACTTGTGGCTGCTGAACACTTGAAATGTGACTTGTGTGAATGAGGAAATGCATTTTTAATCTTACTTCATCTTAATTAATTTAAATGTAAATGCAAATAACCACGTATGGCTAGTGGCCACCATTCTGCGCAGCACAGTTCTAGATACTCAAGCCGCATCAGCACAGCAGTTGTAATTTATTCAGCTTTGTATTCCCAGTGTGATCACAGTATCTGGCACATGTTTTGCCCTAAATAAACATTTTCTATCTTGATTGAATGAAGAGAGGTAAGAAGGAATCATTAAATTTAAATGATCCTACGGTGCTAAAATGGAAAGAGGACAACAATTTCTTGCTTAAATTTTGTCTCTACCTTTTACTAGTTGCATAAATTTTAGTAGGCTATAATTTAAAATGATATAATAATAACAATAGTTGGTAACATGTATGAAGTGCTCAGTGAGCGAAATCTTCCATGAGCATCAATTGGTTTGATTCTTTCAACAAGCCCATTCTTCGGTTGAAAAAACTAAGACTAATGAGAGGTTAAGTCAAATTTTAAACTGAAGATCATGACCCATTACTAGGTGGAAAATTAATTAAGTTGGCTCTATCCAACCTATATATATGCAACATATGTAAATACAAATACATATACATATACAGTATTTATACATATACATATATACTATATCTGTATATGTATAGATAACATATATATGCAACATATATGAATAACATATATGCAACATATATAAATACATATACATACACAGTATATATGTATATGTATTTATATATGCTGCATACATATATATATATATATATATATATGATATGTATATGAAGTTGATATGGTTTGGCTGTGTCTCCACCCAAATCTCAACTTGAATTGTATCTTCCAGAATTCCCATGTGTTGTGGGAGGGACCCAGGGGGAGGTAATTGAATCATGGGGGCTGGTCTTTCCCATGCTATTCTCATGATAGTGAGTAAGTCTCATGAGATCTGATGGGTTTATCAGGGGTTTTGCTTCTCTCTCATTCTCTTTTGCCACTACCGTGTAAGAAGTGCCTTTCACCCTCCACCATAATTGTGAGACCTTCCCCAGCCACGTGGAACTGTAAGTCCAGTTAAACCTCTTTCTTTGGTAAATTGCCCAGTCTCAAGTATGTCTTTATTGGCAGTGTGAAAATGGACTAATATGGCAGTATACCTATATACACATATATATGTATGTATATATATGACATGTTTGTATGCATATTCAAAAGTGTCTGAAAGCCACTAGATTAACTAACTTTACAAGGCTATTCAACTACCTAATGGTGAGTTTAGATTTGTACCCAGGCCATCTGACTCTAAGAGTTATACCTTAACTGTTATAGTCTACAGCTGCCTATGATTTTGTAAGACATGCATTTAAATTTTAAACAACTGACTTATACATATATCTTAAGAACCTCACTCATCCATAAGGTATGGGATATGCTTGTGCATGCATGCACTCTCTCTCTCTCTCTCTATCTCTCTCTCTCTCTCTCTCTCTCTCTGAGTAATGTCTAATATCTTTTAGACCCAGTCTATTGTCTCTGGCTGCAGACCAAGGAAAATCAATCCTGATTTAAATATCTCTAAATCAACCTAAAGGATTCCACTGTGGCACAGATTCCTAGTGCTCATAGATATGCATATCTTCCCTTTTCATATTAGGGACACTGCTAGGCTACCTTTCTCATTTGCCTTAAAGTTAGGTGGAGCCATTTATTGGGTTCTGGCCTTGGAGGCATAGGTAGAAATGTGATACACCATTGCCAGGACCAGCCTTCCAAATTCCCCACATAGGGCTCCAGGGTCTCTCCTTGTGCTCGTCAACAGGCTGGATGGATAGAATAAAGTGGAAGATTCTGGAGCTCAGAAGGGTGGCAGAGTCAAGAAACATTCCTGTTCAGTGCTACAAAGAAGTCTTGTCCCTCAATGACTATGTGGGTCCCAGGTCTCTACCTTTCCCCCTACCATGCTTTGGATTGTAATGTAAGAAACAGTCTTTGCTTGTATTATGCCAACTCTGATTTATTAATTTTATTACAGTAGTTATCCCATCCTGACTAATATATCACATTAGTTGGTGAAATGCACAAAATAAAACAAATCTGAGATGTGTCTGTCTACTCCCATCGCATCTCCACTGTCAGTCACACTCAGACAAGGAAGACCACAGTCCAGTTGCATTCGCTCCTGGGGTCAGGAATGGGTAAGAGGTCTGTGTATTGTAGCTTGTCCTTATTGTTTAGGCCATCAGAGGAGAAGGACAATGGGTATTCAATCATCTTCATAACATGACTTTCAATGTATACAGTGCTTTGTAATTTCAAAAAGTGCTTTTTCAATATATTATTTTATCTGACTAAATTGAATAGGAACAAGTATACCCATTCTACTGATGAAGAAGCTGAAACTTAAATATAGTAAGATTTACCTGACACCTCAGATACACATGAAGGGCAAGATTATGATTTATGTCTGCAGATTCTAAATCCAGTGACTTACTGAGGAGAAGGTGAAGAAGCGTGAGGCATCCAGAAGCCTGAGTTGAGGTTAGTCTACATGAAGCAAGTTCACGCTCCTGTCTACTTGCAAGAAGAAAGCTATAAATCATATGTGGCATTCTAAACTTTCCAAAGTATTCTCATAACTGCTGTCTTATTTGATCCTCATAATAACCCTGTGAAGTAAGCAAGGATGACATTATTATCCCCATTTTACAGATAAGGAAACTGAGGTCCAAAAAGATGAAGTGATTTTTTTCCTAAGTACATAACATGTTAGTGAGAGGTTTAAGAGTTGAACCTAGGTCTCCTGACTCCCACATCCAACGGTTGTTGGTGAATTGTGGTTCTTCTCCATTCCTGATCTCAGAGAACACTTTGCCTAGAATGACAGTTTCTGACCAGCCAAGGCTTTATTTTCTGGGACTCAATATCTTTTCATGAATTGGACATTTTTCTCACTTTACTTCTAATGAATTTTAGCTCAGGGAAAATCAATGATTTTAAAGAAGATGGAAAGTTTCCTTAAGCTACTAGCTGCTTTTTTTCTTATTCTTTCTTGATTTTCATTATCCAGGACCAAGATACATTCCTGTTCAGTCCTACAGTATTTGATATTAACCAGGTGGTGTTGCAGTGGGGAGTTGCCATTGCTCTGGCAGGGTACAAGATAGGATGGATCAGGGAAGGGAGGGTACAGGGCATCACAGACTCTTGGATAAGGGATCACAGGCTCTGAAACAGCTGACAAGAAAGTAAAGATAAAACAACAACAACAGCAACAAACAGACTGAAGGTGGCCACCACTGTCAGGCACAAGTGTGCTCCATTGCCCCTGGCAGCTGAGAAGCCTGAAGATAATTTTGGGGAGAGAAGATCATAAATCATTTCAGTGATTTGGCTCAAGAAGGAACAGGAACTCCCCCCTACAAGGAATGATGGCAGGAGGCGGGGCAAAGGAAATACAGGCAGAGATGATGTAGGGGCTGAATGGTGGCCCCCAGAACCTGTGAATATCATGGCATCTTACATGGCACAAGATGTGATTAAGTTCAGGGACTTGAAAGGAGGTGCTTTTTTCCTGTGTTATTTGGGTGGGCCCTAAATGCAATCACATGTAACCTGTTCAGAGAGAGGCAGAGGCAGTTTTGAGACAGATGTACAGAGGAGAAGGTGATGTGAAGATGCAGCAGAGAGAGACATAGCAAGACAAGGAATGTCAGCAGCCACCAGAAGTTGGAAGAGGCAAGAAATGGGTTCTCCTCTAGAGCCTCTGGAGGCAGAATGGCCCTTCTGACTCCTTGACCTCAAACTTTTGGCCCCCAGAACTGTGAGAGAATGAATTTCTGTTATTTTATGCCACCAATGTTGTAGTTATTTGTACGGTACCTCTAGAAAACTAAGACTGATGGGTTACAAGAACCAAAAGTCTGCAGAGAGGCAAACCCAGAGAATTTAACTCTTGCCGTGTGTGTTCAGAATATGGAGGTAACAAAAGCATCTGACATGCAAGACCACAAACACATCTGACTTATGCTGGTTGGCTTGGAACATAATTCCAAATTGAGTTCTACTTTGAAATTACAATGGAAAGCAGCATGTGAGAATTCCAGGCTCCTTTGGAAGTTGAGACAACTAACAAGCCGATGAGTACCCACCATGACTTTGTAGGTTTTACACGTAATGTGATTATGATCTCTATACCCCCCAACAAAAAACACACATGCATGCCCCTTGATCTCTCCTTCCACACCCAGGAGAGAAGTCTGGGAATTTGTAAGAAGTCAGATTAGCGAAAAAGAAATTTGACACGTAATCCATAGTGTGTAGGAAGGGCTTGCAGATAATTGCTCTTTTAGCATAATAAGGTCAAATTTATATTAATAGGAAGAAAAATGTTTCTTTATGCAGATACAAGGCACAATGAAGTTTTTTTGAATAAAAATCTCATTCTTGAAGGATGAGATGTGACTACATTTTTTTTTTAGCTATTTGAGGGAAAAGTGAAACAATCTTCTGTGTGCCACCCACCCCCACCCTTACCTGACAAGGACACTGACATTCATATTCCCCTTCTTGGAGCAACAAAAATGGGCAGAAGAAAAAAGACATTGGATTCACAACAAGCACCAGAGACAGGGCAATTTTCACATCAAATATTGGGATTTAATGGTTTCTGAAGGAGGGGTGGTATGTCAAAAAGTGGGAGTGGGCAGAGAGGACTTCGGGGGGCAGGCAAGATTTAACAGACAAATGCAGTCTCCTTAAGAAAGGAGGGAGCATTTTCTTGGAACACCCTCTGAAAACTCGTGGATGTCCACATGGGACCCCTGATGATCTGCACAGGGAGATCCTCATGTTTCCTACACAGAAGGGAACACAGTTCACTAGACCCTCAACTTCCGGGTAGACTCTGCAATCTGAACCACAGCCCCTGAGTGAAAAAATTGCCTGAGGCTTCTTAGGTCACATGTGATGTGTGTGGATGTGTGTGTGTGTGTGTGTCTGTGTGTGTGTGTGTGTGTGTGTATGCATGCATGTTCCCTTTGCAGAAATTATGGCCAAGGCAGCACCTGAAATAGGGAGGGTATTAACTCCTCCACAGTTGATTAATTGAGGAACTAGGTGGGCGGAGAGGAGGAGTATGTACCCACAGTGGATGATCCAGTTGATGCTTCCAACTTCTTCACTCAGAAAATAACACAAAAGGGCAGTTACACAGATAATATAAAAATTGAAGTATTCATTAAACACCACCACATTTTCCCATGCCCTTTAGGAGGTACAGTGGAAAAGGAACAAGCACTGTAATCAAATCAAATCCCAGCTCCAATACTTAGCTGTGTATCTTTAGGCACGTGATTTAATCTCTGTGAGTCCCATTTTCCTTTCTCTAAGAAAGGCCAGTGTCTATTTCCGACAGTTGAAGAACTAAATGAATGATGTATGCAATTTATTTAAATATAGACACAGAGTCAAAATTAAATCCCCTTGAAAGCAATATTGGTTTCAATATTCTGCAGAATCCAACTGATATCTGAGATGACCTTCTTTAAACAGGGAACTCAGAATTGACTGTTCTTTTTAATCAACAGCAATTACTTCTTTCAAAACTCTTGCTCCTGATGCAAATCTTAACTTACCCATTCACCTCCTAAACTGGAACTCATGGAATATATGTTTTTCTAACTGCCAGGAAATCCTAAACTTAAAGTTGGACTTTCTATCCTTCCATTTGATGTCGCCATTAACATTTTACATTTGCAGAAACCTACTAAGTATTTATAGCCATTTGCTCTTATTACTGGGGGTTGGCACCAGGCAGTCAAGACCTCCTGTTTGGGAAGTATCAGAAAGTCAGAAAGGGAAAGTGGGAAACTCGGAGCCCAGCATTTGTTGCTCTTTTTTCCCCTCCCTCCTTTCCTCCTTTCCCCTCCCTCCAAGCTTTCTGGCAGCCAAGGGAACAGGCAGAGCTAACAAACCACAGTGGACCTCCGACCTCAGCTCTCTTCCCACAACACTAAAAACACAACAAAATTGCCAGCCTTTGTATGCTGTCCCTTTCCATTTCATTAGGTCAGTGAAAAGCAGAACTAGCAAAAAAACAATTTTTTCTTTTAATTTTAATATTGTCAATTGTAATAAACTCAACTAAGTTCCACTAGCAAACTGTTTTCTGCTTGTTCAGGGAAATTAAGTTATACTCTTCAAATCCCGCTCTAACTAGATGTTTGGTTTTGGAGTAAGGTTACAGCATCTCATGACACTAATGAATTCTGCTGGCTCCTAAGGATCTGGGGCCGATGCTGAGCTTGTGGGGCTATTTGATTCATTTAACACTCGTGACTTGCTTAATACAATGTGTAAACAAAAGAAGAAATACCTTCTGAGGCAATGGAAGTACTTCATCACATCTGACAAGGTAGTCATAGCAAGTGTGTTGACTCTTTCCTTCCTTAGCCTCTCAGTTAGATTTGCACATATATGCAGCTGAACCTTAAGAGTTATTGGAACAGTTGAGATAAATAAAACTTTATTATGTTGAGGCCAAGGATTGAGGGATTCTGGGCAACTGAGTGTTAGGTGAAGGCAGGCAGACTCCAAAGAAGGGGTTTCTTGTTTCTCAGGGGTCCCCCACTGTGTTAGTCCATTCTTGCATTGCTATAAAGAAATAACTGAGACTAGGTGATTTATAAAGAAAAGAGGTTTAATTGGCTTATGGCTCTACAGGCTGCACAGGAAGCATAGCAGCTTGTGCTTCTAGGGAGACCTCAGGAAGCTTCCAATCAAGGCAGAAGGTGAAAAGGGGGAGCAACTGTCTCACATGATGACAGCAGGAGCAGGAGAGAGAGAGAGCAAGGGGCGAGGGGCTACACACTTTTAAGTGACCAGATTTCACAAGAACCCACTCGCTATTGTGAGAACAGTACCAAGAGGATGATACTAAACCATTCATGAGAAATACACCTCTGATATGGTTTGGCTGTGTCCTCACCCAAATCTCATCTTGAATTATAGTTCCCATAATCCCCACATGTCATGGGAGGGACCCAATTGGAGGTAATTGAATCATGGGTATGGTTACCTCCATGCTGTTCTGGTGATAGTCGGTGAGTTCTCATGAGATCTGATGGTTTTATAAGGGGCTTTCCCCCACCTTTGCTCTCATTCTTCTCCTTCCTGGTGTCATGTGAAGAAGGACGCGTTTGCTTCCCCTTCTGCCATAATTGTGAGTTTCCTGAGACCTCCTCAGTCCTGTGGAACTGTGAGTCAATTAAGCCTCTTTCCTTTATAAATTACCCAGTCTCAGGTGTGAGAGGAAAATAAACCTTGGGGCCCCAAAATCACTAAACTAAAGGGAAAAGTCAGGCTGGGAACTGCTTAGGGCCAACCTGCCTCCCATTCAATTAAAGTCATCCCTCTGCTCATTGACATAGATGCATATCTGATTGCCTCATTTGGAGAGGCTAATCAGAAACTCAAAAGAATGCAACCATTTGTCTCTTATCTACCTGTGACACGGAAGCCCCCTCCCCACTTCAAGTCTTCCCACCTTTGCTTCAAGTTTTCCTGCCTTTCCAGGCTGAACCAATGTACTTTTTACATATATTAAATGATGTCTCATGTCTCCCTAAAATGTATAAAGCTAAGCTGTGCCCCAACAACCTTGGGCATATGTCTTCAGGACTTCCTGAGGCTGTGTCATGGGTGAATTTCCTCAACCTTGGCAAAATAACTTTCTAAATTAACTGAGTCCTGTCTCAAATTTTTGGCGTTCACACAGGTACGTCTTTATTAGCAGCATGAAAACAGACTAATACAACCTCCACGATCCAATCACCTCACCAGGCCCCACTTGTAACAATGGGGATAACAACTCCACATGAGATTTGGGCAGGGACACAGATCCAAACCATATCAGCCAATTTCTTCCCAGGAGGTCCTGATCCAAGAGTGTTCTCCAGACCTGGGGCCTTCTTGGACCAGCAGCCCTTAGTTGGTGTCCTGGTTGTGCCTGGGTCAGAGTGACAGCAGAAACACAGTCATTGCTCTCCTTATTGGTCTTTTCCAGGCTGGGAGAAACAGGCGAGTGCTGAGGAATCTGAACTCAAACCACAAAGCCGTAAGCTTAGTGGAATAGCTCAGATCTGAGAAAGAATAGTGGGAACACGTTGGCTGGTAGGCCTTTGCAGTTGTTCTCTGAAGTGAATTTCTGCCTCACATTTCCAGGTTAGAGAGCTTGAAAAGTGTCATCTGAGACAGAGATGCTGACACATGCCTTCATTCTGCTGCCGGTGAGGATGAGGATTCGCTTTCTGCTTGTTTCTGCATTCTTCCTCTCACTATTTCCAGTTCTATTCCAAGCCTCTCCCAGCCACTGCACCCCCATGCTCCTTCTGCTGAAGGATTTTTAAAAGCTATCCTCTCGGCCAGAGCTTCCAGTGTTCTTCTCTTGAATAGCTCCTGTACATCTGGGCTTCAGGGGTTTCCTCCACAACCCTCTTTCTTCTGCCCAAGTCTGAGCACAGTGCCATTCCCTCAGCAATTCCTTAATACTCTCCATTGTCTTCTTCCTTGTCAGTATTCCCCCAACTCCAGTATGAATTTCATGTGGTGGAGGCCATGTCTCCCGTGTCCACTACTGCATCCTTGGTACCTTGCCAGCTTTACGGCATATACTTATTACATATTTGCAATCTGAGTGGATAACAGAGAAGTTGTGTGTCTATAAGCAGGCACATGTTTGAGGCCACTGGTGGGAGTTAGAAAGGAAGAGAAAGAACTTCCACTCAAACTATGGAAGCTTTCATTCGCTGAGCACTAGCCATCTCTCCATTATCAGTAAGCACTTGAACATGTGAGATATAAAACCTGAAGCAGCTCTCTGGTTGTTTTAACTGCCCATAAAAAATAAGACTCAGATCAGTATTCCTCCAGCCTCTATAAGTTCTTAAGTACTCAGGTGTTCCCGCTGCATCTGTCTCGGTTCAGGGTATTCCTTATAACACGCCATCACAGCCCCCTTCTATGCTTGAGTTGTTTTCTGTGCCCAGTTAGCTTGATTCACTCATTAGTTCAGCTCTTGAGTCTGGGACCTGGACTCTATTCTTTGGCGTGGGCTGAACATGCAAGATTTTCCCTTCATCAGGCTAATGAAGTAAGAGTCTTATGTCATCATTAGTGCTGGTGTTAATCCAAGCAGAACTAATATTGGTGTTGTTCCAAGTAGAATTAACCAAGCCCAGCCCCCAACAAGCCAGATGTTAGTCAGGCATTTCTTACCGATGTTAATGAATAATTCCCTTGGGTTCCACAAACAGCTGAGTCCACCAAATGAACTTCAGGGACCCAGAAGCAAACTGCCTGCCTAATAGAGATTTGTCCTGGGAGGCTACTGAGGGCTTGGAACTTCTGAGCTGAAAGCAAGAGAGTTCCTTTCTCTGGACTGCAGATGACTCCACTGCTGTTAGCTCTCCAAAGAGCTGGCCACGTGGGGTCAGCTAACAGGCCCAAGGGGGTTCCTAAAGATTGTTTCTTTGCAGATCCCTCTCTTCCTCTGTGCCTATCTCAATAACTGGGGTATATGTTTGTGTGTTTATTTCCTCCACTGGACAATGAGGGCAAGGACTGTCTTTTCCCCTCTGTGTCTCTGACACCTGATAGAGAGATCATTCCACTGTTCTCTGGAAATAACTGATGATAGAATGTCTTCCTGAAGAGGTTTGCTTCATCTTCCAGTTCCACATGGCTTTTCTCTCCCTCTCAATCAAATAAAATGTATGAGCGCTAGACCTGTCATTTGTACTTGATCACTGCTCTCATAGAAATGTGATAATATGAAACCATTTATAGCAAGGGCCAGACACTGTGCTAATAAATTTGCATACAGTTTTCAACAACCCTTGAAAGCAGTATATTGAGACTTTTAAATGCATAACCAAGGATTGGGGATGGATGGGGAAGCAGTTTAAGTAGTTTGATTAAGATGGTAGGACTAGCCCAGAGAAGCTCCAGAATGGGAATCAGAGACAAGCTGATGAAAGTCTGTCCAATCAGGTCATCTGTTCAGCAGGAAGTCACCCCCATAACCCACCAGGGAAAAAAAAAGGTCAAATGTATGTAGTATTTCCCACCTAAGCCAATGGGGGGGAGTTCTTCTACTATTTCTTCCCATAGTAGAAGAATTTGTAAATAAAAGCTTAAAATATTTTGAGAAAAACAGAATAGGAGAAACAAGAGGATAAAAGGAAGCCATTATGAGTAATTTTTAGGTTTGCTAAAATAATGAAGACAATATACTGAAGAGACTATCAGAAAGCAATTTACAGATGTTTGATTATTACCATAGTCTACCACTGATTTCCATGTACCCTACCCCTCCCCACCATACTAGAATGTTTTCAGACTCTCTCATTCTTCTCAGATACAGTGAAAGATGCATAGAAATGTCTTTTAATTAGTAGCAAAGATAATATGGATACCAAGAGGATTTCCTTCCTGTGGCTGCTCCATCCAGGTGTTCAGAATCTTGTCTATGATTACTCAGTCAATAGCTCCCTCCTCCTGGGCCCCTCTCTTCTCCAAGCTCCCACCACAGACCTGGAGAAGAACTGGAACTTGGAGTTCTGCACTGGAAAATGTGAGACTTTATCAACCAAACCCCCACCCACGACACCATCACCAATGCTGGAGCCTTCCTCCACCCTTGATGATAACATCGCATGAGAATGCAGCAGAACCTTCCGACCTTACTCTGCCCATTCCCCTCATCAAGCCTCAGCCCCTACCTTGCTATGAACACAATAATGTGTCCTAAAGCCAAGTTCAGTTTGTCTCCAATTCCTTTTCCTCTCTTAAAGCAGCCCTGGAAAAATGTCTATGTCTACTCTTTCTATCATCTATTTCACTTTATGCCCTTTTTCTCTTCCCAACCAGAAATTTCCTCTTTTTCTAAATATCTTTGTTAACAGTGACTAAAACTTTCAGCTACTACTCAAATCAAAATAGAAGAAAAGAATACAGGAGTAAGCCCATTTTTACTAGGCTTTTCTTAAAGGACCTTTGTGGCTGGGAGAGTTACTACATATAGATTCTTTCCCCGGGTCAATGCCCAGTCCATTTGTGCAAACCTGTTTTCTGCATGCCAGACGATGACAATAATAATGGAATAATATTGAAAGCCCAACCCTATGCTCCAAGCGATATGCTGGGCTGGGCACTTTCCATACAATATCTGTAATGTAATGACCCTCTAGAGAAAAAATTATCATCTCCATGTCACCAGTGAAGAAACTGATGTCCATCAATGTTAATTGACCTGACTTAAAGTTACTTAGTTGGAGATGAGCTCACTTCTTTTCATTTTGTTTATGAAACAACTGTTTATACCAGAGAGGCAGAGGCATGCTAGTGTGCCTGGAATGGTTAGCCACAGCTTCTGCACAGAATCCCTGAGGGTAAGCTTTCTCCTGGGAGAAGCAAGACTTCCAAGCCCCGGCAGGGTCACTGAGGGATGTGTCAGCCCTGCTCTCCATGACCTCAAGCATAACATGATCAGATGTGTTCTGGCAGAGAAAATGTCATATTTAGAAAGTCTCTATTGTGTTTTTTGGTTTTTATACTTACCAGCACATCACTTGATCCTCCGCTCTTCCAATCCTTGAACTTCTAGTTTCCAATTGAGATATAGTCCATAATACTACAGTATATGACATTTTATCATGATAAATGAAAGCTCAAGGTATTCTTTCAAAGTAATGATTTCCCAGTTAGACATAGGAAACTAAAAACATTGTTGAAACTCCTGAAAGGAAACTGAGTTCCTTTGAAATTCGTGGATGCTTTGAGTATGAGATGTTCCATCATTTTTGTAATATAACTTACATATGTTATCATATTTTAACTTCACAATTCAAAGGTGTAATTATAATTATCCTTATTTTATTGATAAGACACTGAGAGGTGAAAGGCTAAAAATAATGGGGACAACAGTCGAAACTGGTACCATCTCACAGCAAGGCCAATACAGGTTGAGTGTCTGTAATGTGAAAAGCTAAAATCTAAAATGCTCCAAAAGTTGAAACTTTTTGATCACTAACATAACACTCCAAGTGGAAAATTCCACACAGAAGTACTTAACACAAATTTTGTTTTATGCACAAAATTATTTAAAATATTATATAAAATTACCTTCAGGCTATGTGTGTAAGGCATATAATGAAACATAAATACATTTTGTGTTTAGACTTGGCCCCCAGGCCCAAGATACTTTATTATGTATATACAAATACTACAACATCTAAAAACATTCCAAATATAAAACACTTCTGGACCCAAAAATTCAAAATAAGGGTACTCAACCTGTATATGGGGTAGCTCAGGAGTTCTAAATTCCAACTTCTCCCAAGAGGATTCTTTGACTGTCATATTTCTTCCACTTAGCTTGATAGTTGATATCAATTTATTGGCCAGCCAACTGTTGGTCTAATGCCTATTTGTTTTCTTTTGTTTTGCTTTTGTTTTTGTTTTTTTGAGACGATGTCTCACACTGTCGCCCAGGCTGGAGTGCAATGGTGCTATCCCAGCTCACTGCAACCTCTGCTTCCTGGGTTCAAGTGATTCTCCTGCCTCAGCCTCCTGAGTAGCTGGGATTACAGGCATGTGCCACCATGCCTGGCTAATTTTTTGTATTTTTAGTAGAGACAGGGTTTCACTATGTTGGCCAGGCTTGTCTCAAACTTCTGACTTTGTGATCTGCCAGCCTCAGCCTCCCAAAGTGCTGGGATTACAGGCATGAGACACCGTGCCCAGCCTAATGCCTGTTAATCTAAACACTGAAATTTGATGTCTCTGGCTAATCTGTTTATGCAAATTTGGAGCATGTGGCCCCATTCTAAATGAGAAAAGCTGTTATTATGATACAGTTGTAAATTTTAGACCCTTATCCTGTTCTAAGCCCTCCCATTAAGACTAAATCTAACCCTAACTTAAAATGGTCTACCTTCCAGAATATTATGCCCTGTACTACCATGCCATCTATATATTCTCAGGTGTTACTAGAGATTTTATAACCTCATGATCCCCCAGGGTCAAGGCCCAGAGCTGGTAGCACATAGGGAGTTTTTGGCAAAAGCAAGGCTAATGAGTAGGTTCCCCATACACGTCTTTCCAGGGAAAGAGAAAGACTCAGGGAGAGGAAGAATAGCTGATGGTTGGGCTGGAGGTTGATGCTGGGCCCACTTGAGCTGTAGGCTTTTTCCTCTCCATGATTCATGAACATGGGCCTGGGCTTTGCTGCCTTGCCAAAGCATATCATCAGTGTGTGGGACCCACACAACCTAAGGGTCCCACACATGACATCATCGGTGTGTGGAACCCTCAGGGAGAAGGTAGGAAGGTGTCAGCAGGGCCAGGATAGAAAAAGAGAACAAACCAAGGACTAGAGGTTTTCTATGTTATTAATTTAAAGCAAATGATGCATTCTGGCTGTTGGGTTCAAAAACAGATGTCTGTGGAAGTATAAGGTCATTCAAGAGCATAGAGTTATAAATGAAGGTTATAAATATGCATTGGTGTAATCTCTTAGTTATATCCTTTATTCTCCATCCTGCATCTTATTCTAGGTCACAGTGATGACAGAGTGCAAGAAATTTGTGCTACAGAATTGTGTATCCCCTATGCATCTCGATGCCTTTCTCCACTCTACCCAACACTCATACACATTCATAGACCCACCATGACGGTTTAATCAATAAGATTAGGTAAATTACATGTCCTTGTTATCCAATACTTGATGTGTATGGGTAACAGAAGTACCCATTATATTTATGAAGTTCCAATTTCAGGCAATGTTCCAGTGGTGAAAATAACCATTTAAAGTTTCTCCACATATATGCGCAACACACGTTCCCAAACACTCAAGTATATTTTCCATTTGCATCTTTTCTCAGCAAAAACCCAAACATTCATCTCAATAAAATGATTACCACGTGCTGAATTTCATTTCAAAGCTCCAGAGACCCATAGCCTACCCAGATACGTGAGAGCCGCAACACACTACACACTCCTACTCACACCACCACTTCTACCACCCACCTCTGTCCAGCAAATCGTTGCACTCAAATGCTCTCATTTCCCTCTCTTCCCACTGCAGACTGTCAACTCACCAGCCTCGTCTGATCTCTGCTCTCCTTTTCCTCCAAATTAAATTTCAACTTTTTGTAAACCTCTCTGTAAATGACAAGCCAGTGCCAGAGCTGTCTTTTAATACACAAAAGCATAAATAATGCCATCCATCAGGACTGTCACTCAGAAAGATAGATTGCTAGTTGTCCAGACCCCTGAATGACACCAAAGCCAAAGTTAGAAAGTGTCTCCTTTCTTTTCTTTAGTCTCTCTCTCTCTCACACACACATGCTCACTCACTCTCTCCCTTTTTTATTTGCCGGACTGCTTGATTCTGATTAATGGTCCTGTCAGGGTGGGATTCCACTTGCTCGGATAATGAGTCAAGAATGTATTCCCTGTCACAGGCGCAGCAGATGTCAGGGGCAGAAGGGCTCAGGGATGCCAGAAACAATATACAGTTTCTTCCTAGTCCCCTGACAGGCCAATATGCTGCACAAGGTCTAATTTATGTAGACAAAATGCAGGCGGGGCTGTGGCAACTGGAAAACTGCCCCAGAAAACCCCAGCTACAGTGCAGCTTGCAAGCGGGGTCTGTGGGCTGGGGCAGCCAGCAGCAGACTGGTAATGAACATCAGCGGCAGACTCAATAGTGTTGCCTCCAAAGACCTAGACACACTGAGAGGCCCAGGACCTCTTTGACTTCATTAAACTGTACTTTATATCATTATGCGAAGAAATCAAACAGGGCAGAGGGCTTCTGTTTCCTTTAATGGCTTGATTAGGTTATTCACTGCTGGGCTCAGCCATTATCATACTGGGGCTGCTGAAAGCTGCTGAGAATTGTCAGCCTACACAGTTGCTCCAGCCAGACGGACGCCCTCTTTGCTTTGACTGGACTAATTTGATCTCAGAAGTTTGTGTATGGACAGGGACTGTCAGAACTCCCCGTCATTCCACCAGCGCTCCAGGAAACAGAGCTGTTCCTTGGCCAAAACATAGATGCTCGGTCTCAGCCCAAAGGTGGACATGCTTGTGTATAGTCAACCTATTCACATAGATCTTGCACATATGCACGTATTTCTTTTTTGAGAAAAATCTCTCAGGCTGTTTTGGGAGTTATGACATTAAAGCAATCTATATTTCCCTTAGGAATTAAAATGGGACCACATTCCCTTGACAACTCAAGCAGTTAAATGCTAAGGACACACTGGAATCAGATAAATCAAAATCAGGCAGTGGGGACTGTCAAATCATTCAGACTGGGAAGATAAAATTCCTGTGTTTACCAGCTTGCATTTTAATCTTAACCATGTCATAAGAATCTTCCACTAAAGGAAAAAAAAAAAACTTCAAAGAGATGCTAAAACTCATTTTAAAAGGCTCTCTGCTTGCCTTCTACACCTCATTTCTGTGAGTACAGTGGAATTATTGGGATAAGGTCTCTGGCTTCAGGTCTTAGGTTGTGGGTCCCATTAAAAGGTGGCAAGCAGCATGATTGAGCTTCAAAGCCTAGTCAAAATGTTATAGGCTTAGTTGACTTCTCTTTCTTATAGTTTTTTTCCTATTTTATTAACATGCTTTTCTCCTTTGCTATTTTTTTAAATTTAAAAGGATGTTGCCATATGTGAGCCAATGTGATGTGGTGGAAAGAATATGGACTCTAGAGATGGGCAGGTTGGTATCTGAGTGAGGCTCTGCCTGGCACTAGGGTTGAGGCTTTGGGCAAATGCTTACCCTCTGAGCCTCATTTCTTTTAACTGTAAAATGTGGCCAACACGATCTACCAGGTAGCATCTGAGGTCATGCTTACACAATGCAAAGTTATGTGTTAGGCCTTGTTTGAGCATTTTCTAAAAGCCAGCTGGCAAAAATATGGTAGCAATTATTATTATGTATTTTGTCCCACTGCTTAACATTGGATGATGCAGAAACTATTACTATGCCGCTGTGATTACATAGAAACAGAAATTAAGATGTCTCAGAAATTAAATGTCCCTGTAGTCATTACACACTTAATCGAGTTCACATACAACAATCTTGAGCATATGTGTACCAGTCTCATCCTTACCTGGACCTCTCAAAGCCCATCTCAGTGGCAAGCACATTCCCCAACTTCTGCCTCTTAAGTCTACCCATTTAACCCCGTTCCTTACAAATCCTGAGTGTTTATTGGGTCTCGCATCCACACACATTTCTCCACTAAGTAGCCACTTGAGTTTTTCACAAGTGGTAGCAATGGGAAAAGAAAACAAACAACCTCCTCAAGTAGTTTGCCTCCTCAAAGGTGAAAAAATTACTGTTTAATGACAAAAATAAGTTGCAAAGAGTATGTGTAATAAAATCCAACTTACATTAAATATGTGTGTTTTTAAAATTCATGTATTTAATGTTTAGAAAGATACATAACAGATTTAGCAGAGATACCGCTGAGTGGTTACCTCCAAGGGGTTGGATTTTTTATCATAATGATGTGTTACTTTTATATTAAAAACCAATTTTTAAATAAAATAAAGAAAAAGAAGTGGAGAGGCCAACTTAAGCAACCTACTTCCTGAACTACCCCCGACCTAAAATACTGACCTTTCTAATGGTCTAGAATTTACTGGAGAATCGTCAAGCCAAAGCAAATTTCACAATATAAATGAGCCCCACTTTCTGAAAATTCAGTGGGCAAAAACCCAAACATCAGAAGAAACTGCAGCACAGAACCTGGCTCAGCTATGGCAATAAAGGAAGGTCAGATGGTGGGAAACAGGGTTGACAGTGGGCAAAGGCAGTCATTGGCCCACAGTGCTGAGTGCTAAAGAGAGGTCACAAAACAGAGGAGAGTGTGGGGTGTTTTGCAATTATAAGAAGATTTTCGTGTTACAAGTGATTCATTGGTAATCCCCTGAAATTTGTTTAGACATTTGTATATGAAACCAAAGGGTTGGAGCAGGGCAGGAACATTAACATTTGCAAGTTTTGGGGGCCATCTGACCAAATGGTGAACAATTGGATAGGGAGGTTAGGCAGCGAATGCTCACTTCCTCCAAAATAATAAGCCAAGAAAAGCAATCTATACACAACTTGTGGGAAACAAATTATTGTGTAAAATGAGCTTCATTTGCACCAACTTGACATTGGAGCATGCCTGTTTTGATTTGTCTGAATGGAGGTCATTCATCACAGACTACAAAATCCCATAGCTGAGACACTAAGCAAGGTCACCCAAAAGACGCCAGGGTGAGCACACTGGAATAAATACTGAGAAGAACAGTGGGATGGAAAATTAATTTTAAATCCTAGTTACTGAACTGTTTCCAAAGGCCTGGCTGTTCCAGGGTGTGGAGAAGTGTGGTGTGGAAAACGGCCCTGCCTGATTTTATGCCCCTGTCTAGAGTAGGTTGAACGCTCTGGCCTTGCTAATGTTGCTGGAATTGTATCATCATTGGAAACAGTGACTTCATTGGCTGCGAAGGGTTAAGAACTGCAGAGATGAAGGGTGTTTCTGTTAGTAAGCCATTTTCTTGTGGGTATTCCCTGAAATGTTCCTATAGAGTCCTAATGAAGGAAAGAACCAGAAACAGGAGCTGGTTTCACTTCTGGCCTCACGCCTATCTGGGATTTCCTGCCTCTGTTCCTCTTTAGCACTTAGGTTTTCCCACTTGCCTGAGGTCGACTTTCCCTATCATCTTAGTCAATCACGCATCCTGCCTTCCAGGCCAGATCTGATGCATCCTTCTCTGATTTTCTTGTTGTAAGTTGCCTTAAATCTTTTTTGGGAGGCAGGTTCCTGGATGTGAAATATAAAGTCATGTCAGGAGCCTTTCCTTGCTATCTCTGCTCTCCCTGGGGATACTATGTCTAGGGACATGTGGTGCAGGGGAAAGTTGAATGATTGGCCTTACTCCTGCTCCAGTCAAAGATGCACAGGTCCTGTTTAGCAGGTGCCTAAGTCCTCAGCAAGGCTGCTCTCCACTGATGATACTGGTGTTCGGTGGGGGAGGTCGGGGTTGTGAACCCAAACCTGGAAGTTACTGTCATAATTACCTCCCCATACCAAAAACACATGGGGCCCTGATGACAGTTGAAGCAGGTTTTTGTTGGAGAGACTAGTGATCACCCCAGTGCATGTATCTTCTCCTAGGAGAAGCTTCTCTAGTCAAAGTCATTCCCTCCCACATACTACTCACTATATTGCTTTCCCTGTATTTTTGTTTTTGTTTTTGTCTCATTAAGCTTGTCTTAAAATTTGGGTTCCCTCAAAAGCAGAACCTGAGGCAAGGACTTGGGTGTAGAAAGTGTTTTTGGCAGGTGATCCCAGGAAGCAGAAGTGAGGGAGGAAGGGGAAAAAGAGGAAAAGCTAGTATTCACATGCATATCACAGTCCCTGCTGTAGGCAAAGGGGCTTGGCTCCATTCAGCCTCCTGAGAAGACGAGAAGAGCTCAGAACACAGTCCAGCACCGTTCACCTAAAAGATTAGGAGACTGGAGAATCTATACGCCAATTCCCAGCTATCCCTGCTAGTGGAGAGTTTCTCTGGGAAGCATATTCACTCCTCACTGCTGGCCTGCTACTGGCCAAAGGGCTCCTGGGCCAAAGGGACTGACAAGGGCACCAGAGGTGTCTCTACAACACTAACTGTGGAATTCCTTATTTATAAGATGTTCACTTGTTTAATGTCTCTCTCACCCCCACTTGAGAGCAGCGATTCTTCCTGGAGAGGAGAGTCTTCCATCTGCACAACCTTCTGGGAATCATAAGAAATATTAGTAAGAATCAGAAAATGGCACCACTCCTAACCCACCTAGGTGGTCACTGCCCTCAGGTCCAGGACTCAGCAGGTGGAGCTCTGGTTAAATGGAGTTCCCCACTGAGCCCCTCAGCTGGGTGCTCCTGTGCAAGGGAAAACCCCTGCAGCCATAAGGAAAGCCTTGAACATTCCTTCTGTCTGGTTTGATGGAGTATCCCCTACACCTAGAATAAGAACTGCCACTAGTGCATGCTCAACTGATTTTGTTGGATTAAAGAGCTCAAGTCACCTTGGTCAATCCCTTTATGTGAATCGTAAGCTCCATAACCTTTTGCATCCTTTGAACACCAGAAGTAGTTCTCTCTTCTGGACTTGAGTAGCCACGTGGAAAGGAGCACTGCTTTATAATCTCATGTCTGCTGTCTCTCTGCTAGGGCTCAGGAGGAGGATGAGGTCTGCCCATGAATGGCTTATGCATCCATAAGCTTCCACTTCAGACTGCAGTTGTTTCTTGTGTAAAAAATCTGAATGTAAATATGTTTCAAATATACCCAATCTCTCTCTCTCTCTCTCTCTCTCACACACACACACACACACAGACACACACACTCCCATCTTTATTCTCTTTGAGTTCTATTTTAGAAATCTATGTCCATTCCACATTTACCTAACTTTCATAATATAATTTACCATACGTTACAGCAATTTTGACTATTATTTAAAAACTTTTTTGTTTTTCTGACACAGGGTCTTACTGTGTTGCCCATGCTGGAGTGCAGTGATGCAATCATAACTCACTGTGTCTCCATTTCCTGGGCTCAAGCAATCCTCCCACCTCAGCCTTCCAAGTAAATGGGACAACAGGCATGCGCCACCATACCCAACTAGTTTTCTTTCCTTTCTTTCTTTCTTTCTTTCTTTCTTTCTTTCTTTCTTTCTTTCTTTCTCTCTCTCTTTCTTTCCTTCCTTCTTTCTCTTTTTTTCTTTTTTTCTTAGAGACAGGGTCTCACTATGTTTTGCAGGCTGGTCTTGAACTCCTGCCCTCAAGCAATCCTACTGCCTTGACCTCCCAAAGTGCTGGGATTACAGGTATGGACCACTGTGCCCAGCTAATTTTTTTGTTTTTTATTTTTGTAAAGATGGAGTCTTGCTATATTGACCAGGCTTATTATAAATTTTAATCCCCTCTGTAATTTACCTCTACATAGCTCCTGGGGTGATTGCATCACTTTCCAGCTTACAGCTCTTCCTAGCTTCCTATTACCCATGGGTAGGATCAAGACTGTGCTTCTCAACATAGTGCACTAGGACTTCCAAGATCCTACTTCAATCCACCCTCCCTGTATTACCTTGTACCCTCACTATATAGAATCCTATAAAATTCAATCCAATGGAATTATATATGTTGGTTTTTCCTAAGGGTCTAACATTTTCCCCTGCTTAAAATGTCTTTCCTCTTCACTATGAACTTGTGCTCATTCTTTGAGGTCCAGCACAAATATTACCTCCTTTGTAAAGACTTCCATTGCCTAGTCCTCACCTTAGCTGTGGCGGAATGAAGTTTATCCTCTCCTGTATTTCCATAAAACTTCAAAAGCAGCACCTACCACACCATGTTGTAGTTGTCTAGCTATAAGACAGTCTACCCGAACAGACTCTATGTCCCATTGAGGTAGGAGGTGGCGCCTGACTCAGGAGGTGGAATTCAACTCTGGAGGTGTAGCTTGGGCACCAGACCTAATTGAGGACTAGCTAAAACAGGGACAGGGTGAAAGCACCTCCCCATAGACATGCCCACCAATGTGCCATGTCAGTTTACCATTGCCATGGCAACACCTGAAAGTTAATACCCTTTATCTAGAAATTTCTGCATAATCCAACCCTTAATTTGCATATAACTAAAACTGGGTATGAATATGACTACAGAACTGCCT
Source organism: Homo sapiens (assembly GCF_000001405.40). Lineage (NCBI taxonomy): Eukaryota > Metazoa > Chordata > Mammalia > Primates > Hominidae > Homo > Homo sapiens. The sequence goes on from NC_000008.11 coordinate 37,026,720, forward strand.
CTGAGCTGCTATTCTGGGCTCAGTGCCTATGGCTTAGCCCTGCTTTACAAGGAGCAGTACCTCTGCTGCTGCTGTGCATGGTCGCTTTAATAAAAGTTGCTGTCTAACACCACCACTCACGCTTGAATTCTTTCCTGGGTGAAGCCAAGAACCCTCTTGGACTAAGTTCCAATTTGGGGGCTCACCTGCCTGCATTACCATGAAGGCCTTACTCAACTGCAGTACCCCAGCCTCTGTCATCAAGTCTAAAATAAGAAAGATTCTCAATAAATGTTGAAGAAAATGATGGATGCATGAATGAGAATAACATACTCCAGGCACTGCATTTTCCCCCATGATCCCCACAAGCTGGCCAAGTCCTCCATTAGGCATCATTTCCCAAACTGACAAGATAAATTCAACTAATTCTCGGATACCACTGCCTTCTCCTTCTCTATGCCTCTGAACAGGGCTCTCATCAAGTTCAGGATTGGCTTCAGTCTAGGAAAATAAATAGGCCTCTCCATAGACACAATACAGCCAGCTAATTTATATGAGGAGGCCACTTCAGGCCCCCTGCTTCTTGTACTAAGCAGAGAGAACAAGATGAGGAGCTCCAACATGAGTTATGGCCTCATTCAGCCCGGGATCTCTCTAGCATCAGGGCCTTCTGCTCTTTTGACAGAAGTTTATGTTCTAAGTCATTAAGGTTTTCTGCCAAAACACAACGTGTTTCTCTTTAAAGGCCCTTGTTCCCACTCAGAAGTTTCTTAATCAGAAACAGTGACCAGCTGTTAAACTCAAAATAAAGGAAATAAAATTAACTATCCCAATTGCTTTTTGCTGGTTTGGGCTTTAGTTTCATTTTATTATTTTCTTTACAAGCCTTAGACTTATAAGGGAACTCCCCAGTGCCCACCTTCCCATTCTGTTGTGGAAGGAGAGAGGTGTGATGCCCAACATGACGTTTGAGTTATAGTTTCTCTAAGCCATTTGCAAATATTGATGAATTTGGGATGTTAAGCGCCAGTGTTTCAAACTAGCATGTCTGGACTGTGGTTGAGAGACTGCTATGGGCTCCTAGCTGCATAGGTGCTGGGCATTTTCAGAGCCAAAGAGACAATGGCTCAGGAGGGAAGAAGAGGATTCTGCCAGCTTAGACTTTTTTGAATGGATTCCAGCTGCCCTTCCTATTCAAGAAAGGCCATTGTAGCAGTCTGTCTCTTTGATCCAACCATGGAAACACCTGGTATAAAGCCATTCAGGTACAGCTTAAAGAAAAGTCCAGAAAAGAGAGTGAAAAGTACAAAGAGAAGGAAATGATAAGAACTAGAAGAACTGGGTAGAGAGACTTAGAATCATTGAGTTAGAACTAGAAATCATTTGGTTCATTATATAGATTGTACAAATCAGAAGAGTGGGACCCAGAGAGATTTTGACTCACAAAGGGGGCGAAAAATTGTTCAGTGCCCTCTTCCCCCTACTGGATGAGAGAAAGCATGAGGGAACAGGCAGGGCAAAGCCTAAAACTTGGCGCATTTCCTGGCACAAAGTAGACAATAAACACCTGGTAAAATAACATTAAATAAGAGTTCACACAGGGAATAATATAACTCCATATTTTCTCTGCCCCTCAGGCAACTTCACACAAAAAAGTTTGGATGTCTTAATATTTTTAACTTTATTTTGAAATAATTCCAAATTTACAAAAGGTGTGAGAATAGTACAAAAAGTCTCCATATGCCCTTTACCCAGATTCATCAATTTGTAGTTGTTTGCCACATTTCTGCTCTATATCTGCCCATATTCACACACACGTATTCTTCCTGAACCATTTGTGAGTAGGTTTTTCTGTGTTTGTTTCCCCTTATTCTTTCAATGTGTATTCACTAAGTACAAGGACATTCTTTCATAGTTATCAAATCCAGGAATTTTAACATTCACACAATACTTTTATCTAATCAATTTTCAACTTTCACCAATTGTCTTAATGATGTCCTTTATGGCATCTTCCCCATAGAGCAAGGGTCCCCAATCCCTGGGCCATGGCCTGTTAGAAAACAGGCTGCACAGCAGGAGGTGAGCGGCTGACCAGTGAGCGTTACCACCTGAGCTCCACCTCCTGTCAGATCAGTGGCAGCATCAGATTCTCACAGAAGCATGAACCCTGTTGTGAACTGCACATGCAAGGGATCTAGGCTGTGTATTCCTTATGAGAATCTAATGCCTGATGATCTGAGGTAGAACAGTTTCATTCCAAAACCATCAACTCCCTTCCATGGAAAAATTGTCTTCCACGAAACCAGTCCCTGGTGCCAAAAAGTTTGGGGACCACTGTCATAGAGGACACAATATAGGATCACATCTTTGCACTTAATCATCACGTCTCATTAGTTTACCTTGATCTGCACAGTTCTCAGCCTGTCTTTGTCTTTTCTGAAATTGACATTGTTGAAGAGTGCAGGCCATTTCTCTCACAGAAAGACCCTCATTTTGGATTTGCCTGATGGTTCCACAGTATTAGATTCAGATAGTGCCCTTTTGGCTGAATCACAACATGAGCAGTGCTGTGTTTTTCTCAGGGTATAGGAGACACAACTACAAAAAGCCCTAGCATACTCCTTAATTAGCCTACTCCTAGCCTACTCCTTAACCAGACACAACTATGAAAATTCCTAGCCTACTCCTCAATTGCTGACGTAGACTGAATAATCACAGTATTAACATATAATCCAAACATTCTGGAGGCAAACATTCTGGAGGCACATCTGGATGCACGCTGAGTTTGTTTGCCTCTTATCCATGATGCTAATTGTGATCAGTGGCTTCTCTGCTGTACAGTTACTATTTTCCTATTGTAATTAATAAGCAATTTGCAAGGAATGTTTTGAGGCCACGTCAATGGCCTGTTCTTCACCAACCCCCACAACGAACTAAGCAACCAGTGAACTTTTTGTCTTTTATCCATTGGGTTGTAGAGTTGTCTCACACTGAGCATTCCTTTGTCCTTTTGGCGTGCTCTCTGTTTTTTTAATTTTTTTTTTTTGAGATTTTCTTGCTTTTTGACAATACCAGATGTTGCAGGCTCCTTTGTGTTTCCCTGCCCTATCCATGACATCAGCCTTTCTCCAAGGATTCCTGATTCCTCTAAGTGGAAAATAGTATTTAGGAACCAATATCAAGTGACTTATTTTGCCATTGGGATACCACCGTTTTAAGGGGCGATTGACAGATAGAATCGGTGAATATACGTTTTTAACTTATCTGCTTATATTGATACCAATACAAACCAACTCTTCAGTGATGTTTCTTGTCTTTCTCTATTTTATATTTTTATATACTTACTTCACAGTGAGAATCCTGGATCATGAAACAAACAAAAAGAATATTTATTTATTTCCTCAATCCTACAAGGCTCAAAAGCAAAATAGTTTTAAAATGGTTGCATCCATACCATTACAAAAAAATGACTAAGAAAAGTTCAAGATATGTTTGTATCCTTTTCTTCAGAGGAAGACATATATAGTCAAGGCACTGTGTTGAAAAGTTACTTGGAATAATTTGTATTCCTCTCTTTGGTGTGATTATATCATTTCATTGAAACATAGTTATGTCTATTTATTTGTTTCCAAGCAGTTTTAAGGCTTTCTCCCCATCCACATTTAATGTTTAAATTTATAGAAAAATAACATGATTTCACAAATCAAAACTATATGGAAAGGTATATCCAAAGAAGTGTTCCTCCTCGTCCTATCCAACCACTGTTTTCCCTCTACTTGCACTTCTGGTAGATTACCAATTCCATTAGTCTCTGATTTATACTTTCTGAATATCCTTTCTCCCAAACAAACAGGAAAAGTATAAGTTACTTCCAAAAAAAGTTTTAAAAAAAAACAGATATTTTTAATTTCCTTATTTCCGTTATTATCCCAAAGCAGCAATCTATGCATTATTTTGAATTTTCTTTCTTCATTTAACATATCTTGAAATTCATGTCATAATAAATCATAGACATCTTCTTTTTTTTTTTTTTGAGACAGAGGTTCGCTCTTGTTGCCCAGGCTGGAGTACAATGGCGCGATTTCGGCTCACTGCAACCTCTGCCTCCCAGGTTCAAGTGATTCTCCTGCCTCAGCCTCCCGAGTAGCTGGGATTACAGGCATGTGCTACTACGACTGGCTAATTTTGTATTTTTAGTAGAGACAGGGTTTCTCCATGTTGGTCAGGCTGGTCTCGAACTCCCGACCTGAAGTGAGGCCTCAGCCTCCCAAAGTGCAGGGATTACAGGCGCAAGCCACCACGCCCGGCCAGAAATCTTCTTAATTCTTCTTTTTCTTAGTCTTCCATCATGTGGATATACCAGTTTATTCAATCAATTTCCTGTGTTTGAGCATTTATGTAATTTCTAATATTGTGCAATTATGAATAATGCTGCCATAAATAAGCTTGTGGTGGTGTATTCTTACGTTATTGGAGGTGTATCTTCAGGACAAATTGTCAGGTCGAAGGGCAAGTGTATATGTAGTTTTGTTAGATAATTCTATACGGGTAACACTTTTTGCATTCTCAAAAGCAATCTGTGTGTATTTCCCCACAGTCTTGCCAACAGAGTCCATCAGTGTACTTCACTATACTTTTGTAAGTGAAGTTGAATATATTTTCATATGTTTAATCTGTGTGCGGGGTGGGGGGGTGTATGTGTGTATATTGTGTTCTTTTTTAATTTTTAGTTTTTGGGCATATGGAATAGTTCTTTAGTGGTGATTTCTGAGATTTCGATGCACACATCACCCAAGCAGTGTACACTGTACCCAATGTATAGTCTTTTATTCCTCACCCCACTCCCAACAGTTCCACCAAAGAGTCCCCAAAGTCCATTATATCATTCTTATGATTTTGCATCCTCATAGTTTAGCTCCTACTTATAAGTGAGAACATAGGATATTTGGTTTCTATTCCTGAGTTACTTCACTTAAAATAATGGTCTCCAACTCCATCCAAGTTGCTGCAAATGCCATTGTTTGGTTTCTTTTTATGGCTGAGTAGTAGTCCATGGCGTATATATACCACATTTTCTTTATCCACTCATTGGTTGATGGGCATTTAGATTGATTCCCTATTTTTGCAATTGCAAATTGTGCTTCCATAAACATGTGTGTGCAAATGTCTTTTTCATATAACTTCTTTTCCTTAGGGTAGATACCCAGTAGTGGGATTGCTGGATGGAATGGTAATTCTACTTTTAGATCTTTAAAGAATCTCTATACTGTTTCCCATAGTGGTTGTACTAGTTTACATTCCCACCAACAGTGTAAAAGTGTTCCCTTTTCACCACAACTACGCCAACATCAATTGTTTTTTATTTTTAAATTATGGCCATTCTGGTAGGAGTAAGGTGATATGGCATTGTGGTTTAAATTTGCATTTCTCCGATAGTGATGTTGAGCATTTTTCATATATTTTTTGGCCATTTGTATGTCTTCTTTTGATAATTGTCTATTCAATTTGTTCACCTTTTGATGGGGTTGTTTTTTCTTGCTAATTAGTTTGCGTTCCTTGTAGAATCTGGATGTCAATCCTTTGTTGGATGCAGTTTGTGAATATTCTCTCCTACTCTGTGGGTTGTCTATTTACTCTGCTGATTATTTCTTTTGCTACACAGAAGCTTTTTAGTTTAATTAGGTCACATTTATTTATTTGTTTGTTTATTTTTGTTGCATTTGCTTTTGGGTTCTTGGTCATGAACACTTTGCCTAAGCCAATGTCTAGAAGAGTTTTTCCAATCTTATCTTCCACAGGTTTTCAGTTTGGGGTCTTAGATTTAAGTCTTTGATTCATCTTGAGTGTTGTTTTTTTTTTTAATAAGGTAAGAGATGAGGACCTAGTTTCATTCTTCTACATGTGGCTTGCAAATTATCCCAGCACCATTTGTTGAATAGGGTGTTCTTTCTTCACTTTAGGGTTTTTGTAGGTTGTCAAAGAACAGTTGGCTATAAGTATTTGGCTTTATTTCTGGGTTCTTTATTCTATCCCATTGGTTTACATGCCTATTTTTATATCAGTACCATGCCATTTTGGTAACTATCGCCTTGTAGTACAGCTTGAAGTCAAGTAATGTGATGCTTCCAGATTTGTCCTTTTTGCTTAGTCTTGCTTTGTGTATGTGGGTTCTTTTTTGGTTCCATATGAAATTTAGGATGGCTTTCTCTAGTTCTATGAAGAATAATAATGGTATTTTGTGTGTATTTTATTCGTATGCCTTGCTTTTTTTTCTATATAACTTTGGTCTTTTTTTTCAATTTTAAGAGTTCCTTGTTTATTAGTCCATTATTTGTTGTATATGTTCCAAATATTTTCTGCCAATTCACTTATTTTTGACTTTGCTCACATTGTTTTCTGCCATGTATTGTTTTAATGTAGGCAATTTTATTAAACTTTTTTTGCATCTTGATTTTGAATTACAGTATAAAGCCTTTCCCTAAAACCAGGTAAAAGAAAAATTGACCCATTAAAAATACCTATATAATTAAACGTTTACATTTATGTTTCTAAAATGGATTCATTTTATCTTTGTCTAAATGGCTATTCAGTTATCCTAACATCAATTATAGAAAAGTTCATATTAGTTCTAATGATTTGATATGCCACCTTTATCATATTCTAAATTTCCAGATGTACTCAGATTTGTTTTTTTTTTTTTACTTTCTTTTGCATTCTACTTTTCTTTTTGCTTTTTTCTTTTCCATGCTAGTTCTACAATATATTAATTACAGAGATTTTATAGTATCTTTCAACATCTGGAGTCATCCTCTGAGATCTTCCTTCTATTGTTTTGCTAAATATCGTGGCATGCTTTTTTTCCATAAAACTTTAGTATTAACCTCTCTAGCTCCAGAATAACAATGGCAATGTTTTAATTAGGAGAACTACTATCTTGATGATATTGAACTATTTTATCCAAAAACAATGAATATCTTTTCATATGCTTAATTTTTTAAAGTGTGAATTCAGTATGTGTGTACATTTTTTCCTTTTTTTTAAAACTATTTCATGTTAAAATTAAACCATACTAAACAAATGTAACACTCAAAGAATTATAAGACAAATAGTCTTGTACCCAAGTCAAGAAATGGAACTTGGTCAGCCACACCAAAAACCCCTCTATGAGCTCCATTCCAATCACAGCTCCCTCCCTCATTCCAAAAGTAGCCAGTATCTTGAAATCCACAGTAATCAGCTCTTTGCCTTTCTTTATATTCAAACACTATGTGTCCATTCTTTGATGCTAAAGTTTAATCTTGCCAATGAAAACAATTTTTTTTATGTCCATTAAATCTCACTTAGTCTACAGACTTCTTCTCCATCCTTTTGTTTTCTATATAGTTATCTATTGAAGACCCTGGGCCTATTAGACCTGTAGAGTTTTTAAAGTTTGAATTTTGCAAACTCAGGATGCAGTTCGTTATGTTTCTTCTGGAAATTTGTATTCCCTATAAATTGGGAATACAAATTTAAATTGGACCAAAAGGATTGATCAGACTCTTGTTCGGTCCTTTTGGCAAGCTTATAGTGCTGTTGTTGCATTATTTCATCAGGGAACACAGAATATTAGGCATTCACTCTTTTTTGATATTAATAATTATTGTTGCTAAATGCCTCCAGTCTCTTTGTTTTCAATATCTCCCTAATTATTTTGTGTGTCTGAAACTCACTGATATACCACAGATATCTATATTCCTTTGGAAAACAGAAAGCCTGGATTTTTACATGCAGTTTTCACATCCTTTGTATGAATCAGAAGTCAGTTCCGCACCCTCCCCTTCATACTTACTCCCTTCTCCTCCTATCCACACATAATAACAAGGAGGTGCCTTTTACTATCTTGGTAGTAGGAAATAAGCACTGTGTATAAGAGCTCTTGGGAGGGGAAAGTGTATTATAGCCAACGTCCCCAAAGAGCACCATCCTTTCCTAATAAGTTCTAAAGGTTAAAGAACCTTACGTGTCTGGAGTAGATAAATAGTTTGTGTTTGTTTACATTTATTAACATGTATTAAAAGACACAGGAATGCTTAGCCCTGAGGGAAAAGTCATCCCTAGGTGTATTTATTGCTCCAAAGGGTGTGGTAGTGCTGAAGAATTCCTTTCATATAAGCTACTGCGAACCCTTCCTTGACCCAGAGAGAAACTTATCCAGAGGTGAGTTCTCTAAGGATGGTTGGCTGGTTAATGGGGCAAGCAGGGCTGAAACCCAAGTCCGCGACTGCCTAGCTCATCCTGCTGCAGAGGAGCACAGCCTCTACTTTGATCCCTCCTTCCCTTCCCTCCTCTCTCACCAAGAGTAGAAAACCAGGCTACACTAGGTCTCATAGTCACTAGAAAATGCTCTTAGATCAGCATTTTAAACAGGTGCTTTGTTTACTCATTAGTTATTTTTATTAAGTGCCTACTATGTGCCAGGCAACTGCTTGGTATGGCTATCCAGTGATGAACAAAACAGATGAGATTTTCCCCTCATGGAGTTTACTATAGTCCACAGAGGAAGACGAGCAATAAGTCAAGAGGCAGCTACATAAACACAATTACAGATGATGCTAAATGCCATATAGAAAAAAGAAAAAGAGAGAGAGAGCGAGTGAGAGAGAGAGAGTGATATGGACAAAACAAATACAGGAGTGGGGTTCTTTAGAATGGATGATGAAAGAAGGCCTCTCTGAGGGGTGGCTGTTTATACTGAGATTGGAAGATGCAGTGGTTCAAGGGCAAAAGCAGGTTCCTTACGCTACCCAATGTCACTTCTTTCTTTCCTAAATAAACTTTCGTTAAATACTTATGTGCAAATCACTGTGCTAGCTGCTAAGAACATACCAAGTTGAAATGATGTGCCTTTGTCCTAAGCAAAGCTTGTTGACTGGTGGAGGAAATACATAAATACAGAGCTAACAAAAGAGAATAAACATAAAGCAAAGAGGGAGAGGAATGTGTTCTGTCTGAGGCTGGAGATGACTGTTCTCAAGTTACTAGATTAATGCTGCATAGGCAGAGATGTTTAAAATTCAATTCCAGTAACATCATTGGTGTTGGCGCTCAGACAGTGATACCCCAAAGAATGGAGCTTGGTCATGCTGAGCACTTTTGAATTAAAGAAACTGGAAGGCTTAAGAAGATACCTCTGAATCAAGGACTTTCTCACCTTCTCCAGCTCCTACCCAACCACCTCCAAAGCACAGGAAGGGGTTCTCTCTGGAAGTTCTTTTATCTAACTGAGAAAAACTTGTTTGCAGTTATCTTGAAACCCCCCCCCCTATAAATTTCATCAAACAACCAGGAAAAATTAACCACTGAAGAAGAAAAGAGACTAAAAATCATCAGCAACCATGCCCAGACTGACTTTTTATCTATTCTTCCGAAGGCAGCTCCAAGAGATTCCCTGGGAGGCTTTATCTACATAATAAGACAACCCTTTTCACATTGAAGTTCCACCTCTCACCTTCCCATAACTTGTCATTACTGCTCCCAGAGCTCAGAGGAACTTTGCCTCAAACTGTTGTCTGCTCTTTGGGCCCATTCAATTCTCCTAAAAGTCACTTACTATCTTCAAGAGTGCCTACATTCCCCCATATCCCTCTCCCATACATAGAACAGCATAGAAGATTCTGAGTTTCGGCCTGGTGCAGTGGCTCAAGCCTGTAATCCCAGCACTTTGGGAGGCCAAGGTGGGTGGATCACTGGAGATCAGGAGTTCCAGACCAGCCTGGCCAATGTGGTGAAACCCCTCTCTACTAAAAATATAAAAATTAGCTGGGCGTGGTGGTGCACATCTGTAATCCCAGCTACTCAGAAGGCTGAGGCAGGAGAATCACTTGAACCTGGGAGGTGGAAAATGCAATGAGTCAAGATTGCACCACTGCACTCCAGCCTGGGTGACAGAGCTAGACTCTGTCTAAAAAAAAAAAGATTCTGAGTCTCTTTGATCTGTGGAGTATTCACTCACTTGTGATTTTCCCCTGTGCATGTTAATAAACGTGTATGCCTTTTCTTCCGTTAATCTATTTTTATCTTATTTTAGCAAATCTCCAGCAGGTAGAAGGAAGCTTTTCTTTCACTCCATATCGGTAAGCAAACAACAACAAAACAAAACAAAAACCATTAAGCTCTAGGATCAGCAAATGGTCCCATCAGAAATCTCATCTCAGCAGTATAATTGGTAACAGAAGATCCAAATGCTATACCTTTGTTCACTTTAGATAGAATAAGAGGCATTCATTCCATCATCAAAGAAACAGCAGGTGGGATGGAGACATGGTGAAGAGTTTTCTGGTCTGACAAGCCAGTTCTCATGCTGCGAATAAAATCGGGTGTGCTAGTCTACAGTCTTTCTTTTCTTATCCATCTTTGGGTTCAGAATGATTTGGAAAACATCTTACTGCATATTCAAAAGAACTGAAGTTACCTAAAAACAGCAAGAATGGACCCTAGCAATGTGCATATCCCCCACTGTGCAGCATGAAGTTGCCAATAGAGAAAGAGAGAGAGACGTTCCACCTACATAGGCTTACCTCCTCACTGTAAGACACACCTCCGTTGGATGTGGCCTGACAGTCCTTACCCACCTTCATCTTCTTCCCTATGGCCTCACCAAGTAGCCCAGGTTTGTTCATTGGTCATGGGGAGTATGAACGCATTCTCTTGTCTTCTACTCCATGGGCTGTTGAACATACACCTCTGGGAAAGACGGAGCTGACCTTGCCAAAATCCACAAACCATCCAGAATTGCTTGGACCCTTTTAATTACTAGATTCACTGCCCAGGGTATTCCTGGTAGAGCTGCAGAAGCAGCATGGGTTAAAAAAAGAAGTTTTTCTCCTTTCTTCCTCCCCACCTATGTCTACCTTTCTTGGTTACTAGAAAGACAGAGTAGATGAAGAATAAAAAGCAAAATGAATAATTCAGTGTTGAAGGGGGACAGAATTTTATTTACCAAGGCCTGTGCTCAGTGTTTGCTATTTACAATGTCCTGTAATTTTCAAAACAAATGAAGTTGACATTTTATTTTTATTTCATAGATGAAGAAATGGAGGCTGAAAGGGTTCAAGTGAATGCCTAGATTTGAATGGTCTCAGGTCTTCTAAATAAATAGTATATGCTCTTTTAATGGAAACAGGCCATCTGCAGGCAACACACTCAGGATGGTCTCCTGTAGTCATTGTTCTTTTGAAATCATAACACTAACTTAGGAGGTTCATTGAAAGCACATTGTCTTGTCCAGGTGCCATTAGATCCACTGTGAGATTCCCTGAAGTTCTGAACTTAAGGCCAGAATTCATCTTCACTGCCAAAAGATGTATCTGAGACTGATGAAAAAATTAGGTTTGACTCACCCCAGCCCAGGCTCCTAGGAAACCATGCCTGTGTGTATGAGGCTGAGTGAGCACTTTAGTCAAGCACATGACTAATGTGAGCTGGAATAGCATATTGTCAAGATCAACCACATCCCAGCTTGTGTGCAAATCAGAAATGCCAGAGAATTTTTCCATAGTCTTCCATAATGTTCATTATAAAAGAGTCCCCAGATGGCAGATGGCTATTAGCTCACCATGACCTATGTAAATGTCAAACGTAAAACTATTGCCCCAGCAAAAATCTCAAAATAAATAACAACAGGAGGGATGAGATTCTGTTGTCATCAGTATTTACAGTTGATGCATTTGGGCTCTTCTGTTCTCAAGCCAGCACAGAAATGCTTTCATCCCACTAGGGAATTCAATTAACAAGAGCAATACAGGAAGAGGAGTCCCACAGAAATAACTCATACAGATGAAGAATGGCTACCCTTACAAGGCTGGGAAGCAGGGGGTGGCTTTGGGGTATTGCTTAGCCCATATTTTAAAGGTTTATCTCCAGATCTTTACCCTCATGACCAGATTTACTAAGCCAAAAGAAAGGTCGGCTTGTCTAGTTTCACACCTGGACAACCTAAAACAGGAGCATTCTTTACCATCAAAGGGAAACCCCAGATCTCAAGAAAGAGAATAAGTTATTTTTGTATAGGGCTTAGAGAATCAACTTGTACCTTATTTGAAATTCACAGGGTCTCTGCCTGACAACTGTCAGCCCTACAGAGAACTGCTTTCCACCATGATATGTGTGTGTATATGTCTGGTGTGTATACATAAAATTTTTATACACACACACACACATATATATACTCAAAAAGATATGTGTATATATCTTTTTTAACATATCAATGTTTCTAACACAACACAGTTTAAATCTGGTTCTCCAGATGAACAACTGGAAAAATCTTCAGTCAATCTGTTCAGTGAACTAAAATCAGCTTACATTGTCATGTTGACTTTATGGTATAATGATTATGTTTGGAATTTTCTCCTACATTTCTAAAGACCTATTGATTCTAGGAGCTGAGAAGCAAAGGAGGAAAAAATTACCCCTAGAGCTTGGGCAAAGGATTCACCATGAAGCAATTGAGTAAGTGGTATGATCTGCAAGTTCAAAGAGAGGGTGACCATCTAATTTACCTTCCAGACTGGGAAATTCTGAGAGTGGAAGGCGGTGCTATTAATAATTTCACCAAGGCAACAGGCATAAACCAGTGGTATCCAGGCCAAACATAGACATCAGGTCACCTTACTCAAAGATGATTTATAGACACCACCAAAAGAGCTTATTTAAACAGTGCATGTGTCTGTGGAACAAAAGGTTTCATTATGAGAAATAACCAAAGCAGGAAGGCAGAAGTGTGTAATAGAAAGAACTTTGTAATTTGACAGCACTTTGTTTTAAAACCGGCTCTCTTTCCCAACTAGCTATGTGACCTTAAGCCTCTACTTTCTCACTGGAAAAGCGGGAATAAAATACCTTGAAAAGCTATTGTCAGAATTAAATGAGATAAAATATGTGAAGTGTCAGACACACTGCCTGGGAAGAAAAGGCACGTCGGAATTTTTCTTTCCCATTCTCAGGAACATGCAGATGCCACAGCTCACATCTGTGATATGACATTACTCCTTGGTTTTAAATAAACAACTACTACAAATGCACTTGAAAATTAATTTGCAACCAAGCTTTTGCTAACAATGGACATTTGGCTCTACTAAAAATACAAAAACTAGGAGGGCGTGGTGGTGCGTGCCTGCAATCTCAGCTAGTCTGGGGAGGTTGAGGCAGGAGAATCGCTTGAACCAGGGAGGTGGAGGTTGCAGTGAGCCAAGATCATGCTATTGCACTCCAGCCTGGGCAACAGCAGTGAAACACAATCTCAAAAACATAAAAAAGAAAATAGAAAAAAATAAAGGAGTATTTGATCCTAGTGTTGTTTTTGTTTTCACCTTTGAGAAGACAAGTGATTATACAAATCACACCTCAGCTATGGTGTCAAGCCAAGGTTTGCCCTGGAAGTATAGTTCTCCATTCCTAAAGAAACCTCCCAGTTTAGGAAAAGTGTCCAGTGTGTAAATCATAGACCATGAGTCTCATCATACATCTATTAATACAAGATAATTTCTGGTATGCTGAAACTGGCCGGTGTCCTACATATACTTTTCATATGCTGTAAAATTTAAAGGTTTTGTAGCAAAAAGTCAATTTATACTATTTCATTTAACTTCAAGAAAGCTCCCCAAGTGGCCCATGGGTCCCAAACAAGAGATGGCCCATCTTTCATTCCATGTGATGCTTCTTCTGGCTCCTGTTCTCCCAACTCAGGGTACTCACTGGTGGATACTTTATTTGTAACACTCTTATAAAAGCAAAGTTGCAATTATTCCATTGGAGTCACATTCCAAAATTTCACTCTCACTATGGAAAAACTTAGAGGAAAATTTAGCCCTGAGGATCTTATTACTAAAATTGAACTCACATTCTAAAGTACCACTAATACTCTGAAGTGGGTTTTGAAGTTGGAATGCATTTATCTACTGTTCAATAGGTGTTTGTAAAGCACTCATTACATACCAGTATCATAGTAACAAGCTGAAACAACTCTGGGTTGACATTCAGGAAGCTCAACGTCTTAGGGGAGAAAGGAGCAACTAGATACTATACACCAAGTACATATTTTAATGGAGTTAAGAACAAGTTAAATTGAAGCATAAAGAAGCATCTAGACAGACCTGGGGAAGAAGAAAAGAAGGAGAGGCATTTGAGCTGGGATTTAAAGGTGGAGTTTGCAAGGGGTTCAAGATCTAGGAAGATGGAACAGCCCACAGAAAGGCTGGGAAGAGGGTCCTGGGCTTCGCATGTCACAAGCACAAGGGCAGCATATGATGTGCAGAGGCTAGGAAAGCCCATAGGATGGACATGTGCAGAGGACTTGGTCACGAGGGACGCTCTCCACTTTGTAAAGGTGTGCAGAGGTTTATCTCACATGCCCTCAAGTCTTCAACCTATGCTTTGGATCTGCTCCACAACTCCATCAGAAAACCCTGTCTGCTGTATGCTGAGAGTCTGTCTTCCATTTGACTCATCCTGGTCAGGCCAACATCTCTCTCCTGCCGGTCGGGAATAACCTGTCCTAAATGATTTCGTGTGTCTGTTAAATTTTGTTTAATTTATTCTTAACTGTTCCTTCTATGTCTACCATGGCTAGAATGCAAGCTCTGTGAAGGAGTTGCTTAGGTTTATCTCAATTCACTGGTTTATTCCCAGTTCCTTGAACAGTGCTCAGGCAGACTTGGCACTCAGTAAACACATACAAAGCATGATTGAATGAAGTCCATCAGGGAAGAAGGGGAAGGCCAAAGAGAAAGCCTTCTGTGCCTCCTTCTATGGTCTTTGCCTGTCTTAAACATCAGGTTCCTTACAAGTTTTCAATGCAAATCAGATTCCACTGCTTAAACAAACAAGCATAGAAGGAAACAATTATGATGGCCTCTAAGAATTCTAAGCACCGTGATGTGACCCGACTTGACGTTGAGGAGATCCTAAGGTGCAGATGAGACAGAGGCCCTAAGGCTAGAAGGAGGGAAGGCAGGTAAGGAGGGTCCTCCTGGGCTACAGGAGAGGAGCTGAGAGCCTGCATTCAAGGGGAAGCAGGGAGAACTTAGGAATGGATGAGATAAGTGAGAGGGATTTTTAGAAGGAAGAATCCTTAGGTTTGGATGTGGAACAGGTCAAGAGAAGAAGGACTCTAAGAACTCCTCTCAGTTTCCGGCTTAGACAAATTGCACAGAAGGTGACAGCATCAGGTGACACAGTGAAGATGAACGGGGCAGTCTGGAGCTTGTGTGAAGGCCTTAGGGGACACCTGGGTGACAATGCCCATGTAGGCATTTGAATATAGATGGTCCCTGAATTACAATGGTTTGACTTACATTTTTTTTTTTTTTTTTTACTTTATGATGGTGGGAAAGTGATATGTATTCAGTAGCCACCATACTTCAAATTTTGAATTTTAGTCTTTTCCATGGCTAGTAATATCTAGTATGATACTCTTTCAAGACACTGGGTCAAGTCATCAACACAAAGCCTGTCTATAATAAAGGATTGAATAGCTCATGTAACTTATTGAATACTGTGCTGAAAGTGCTTTGATCATGTTTAAGGTAAGTCCCACTAAGCTATGATGTTCAGTAGGTTAGGTATATTAAATTCATTTTCAACTTATTATATTTTCAACTTACAATGACTTTATGGGGACATAGCCCAGTCATAAGTCAAGGAGCATCTGTACAAGGCCCTAGAGCTCAAGAGAGATACAGAAGTCATCGGCATTTGGGAGGTGAATGGAAGCATGACCTAGAGTGACGTTATTCAAGGAAAGTGTGTAGAGTGAAAAAAAAAGAGCACAAAAAACACTCATTGAGAGACACAGGCATCCAGCCATCAGGTGCTTAGAACCTGATGAGCCTTGGTTTTTATTCTGGCACCACAATACGGTGTCCAATACACTGTATCCAATGTAGTGAACTCTTCAGAGCCCCAGCTTTCTCATCCACCAAATAGTGGGAAAGATAATTCCCACTATTGAGATACTTCCCATTTGAATGATACAAATCCAATTAGGAGACAGTGTAAAGGACTTAGAACATATGAAGCATTTAATAAATATGAGCTGTGGGCATTACTATCTGTTATAATATATCAGGTAAAATAATGCCAAGTAAATTAACACTTAATAGGAAGAACAGAGTCACCAACCTAAGGAAGAAAAGCATTTCAGAAAAAGAGTGAGTGGTCAACAGTGTGAAATACTGCTGACAAAACAAGCAACATTTCAGAAATGCTACTCAAGTCTGGCAGGTAATTTTTTTGATGACTCTGCTAAAAGCAGAGCAGAGGGAGTGACAAGTACAGAAGCCAGATGGACTTGGATAGGATAAGAACTCAAGAAAATAAGTTTTAAATCAAGCTCAACCTCTCTCTAGCTCTGTGATCTTGGAACAATTACTTAGCCTCACTGTGAGCTGTGGTTTAAATATTTGTCCCTTCCAAAACTCATGTTGAAATGGAATCCCCAATATGGCAGTATTGAGAGGTGGATACTTTATGAGGTGACTGTGTCAGGAAGCCTCTGATATTATGACTGTATTAATCCATTCATGGGTTAATGGATTAATGCATTAATTAGTGGGTTATCATGGGAGTGGAACTGGTGGTTTTATAAGAAGAGGAAGAGAGACCTGAACTTGCACACTCAGCCCTCTCACCATGTGATGCCCCGTGCCACCTTGGGACTTTGTAGAGAGTCCTCACCAACAAGAAGGCTCTTGCCAGATGTGACCCTCCACCTTGGACTTCTTAGCTTCCAGAACTGTAAGAATTAAATTCCTTTTCTTTATAAATTACCCAGTTTTACATAGTCTGTTCTAAGCAACAGAAAACAGACTAAGACATTGTGTCTCAATGACCTCATTATAAAGTGGAAATAATAAAATGCTTATGACAGTATCTGGCCAATGATAGGTGATATTCCATTGCTTCTTCTCTTTGTTCCAACAGCAAAAAGGAAAAACAAATGGAAAAAGAACCAGCCATTGTATCTGATGCTGCTTCAAACATTTCATCACAGAAGTACATTGATAGTTTAAAAAATAGCTACGCGGGAAGAGAACATCAGATGATGAGAATAAAATTTGCATAAGGTATCCAAATAATTATGTAAAACTTAAATCACTCTAGCCAGTCAATGTTTTATTTTTCTCTTTTCTTAGATCAGGTTTCCTTACCCAGTGGTTACTCTCACCATAATTAAATGTAATTACACAATGACGGGACAAATCCCCAAAATGTATTTTCTTTACATTGGCCATCAGTGAAACTGACTAACATGCTCACAGCCCTAATTCAATTTTAACTCCCTTTGACTTCAAAGGACCCTGTTTTGAGTTTGGCAGTAAATTGCTATGTTGCCCTGATGAGGAAGTATTTATAAGGTTTCTGGGCCCTGCTATTAAATGACCAGTCTGCTATTTTTCTTGCTCAAATGACCTCATTTTCTTAGAGCCAAAAAAGGCTCAGCAGCCTCCTTTTCCTTCTTAGGCATCCTACTCCTGGGAGCTGAAAGAAAAGGAGTGAGAAGCTACATTCCCCCAAGCCCAGAGCAGAATCTCAGTGTATTCATTTCCTGCCCAGCCTCCCTTTGGGGAGAGGAGAGCCTTTTGTTCCTCTGCTGGTGAGGACAGAGTTAACATGACCCAGAAGAGACACAATGAAGTCTTTCCCCTCTTCTTATTCTGGCATGCCTACTCTTCACTTCAATGTCTATTTGCACAATCATAAATTCTGAACTCAGGAGGATAATCCCAGCCAAAGTCTACATGTGCCGGATACCATAATGTAAACTGCATATGTTGCAAGAAGCTGTTAAATGGAACCAGTGAATGAAATCATGGCCAGCTCAATATTTGGGTCTCTGGATTTCCTCTCCTCTGTAAACCAAGGCCTCTCCTCTCAATTCTAACTTTCTGACATGCCTATAAACAAAGGTATTTTTGGCTACCAGATCCCCTTGAGATATTCAGGAATAGCCTCAATTCCAGAGCTGTTCAGGCTTTGCTCAAGGGTACCAAGGGCCAGCCCTGCAGCTCTTTTCCCTCCGTATAGTCAGCAGACAATGATGTGCACAGAGTACCCAAAAAAGCTTCACTTCTATTCTTCATGGGCCCATCCCCACTGTCTTCCACTGGAAAGTTGACCCAGCAGACTGGTTCAGCAGGGATGAATCCAGTCCACAAAATTAGGTTAGTAGTAGTTTGAGCTTCCATCCAGCTAGGGAGATAGAAACTTATTTGAGCCATTTTAGCTCTCCTGCCTCCCACCTCCCTGGGGTGGCACCCAAGTTTGAGGTGATTAAGGGTTTTATTTCATTTCTGTTGCTATAAAGGAATACTGGAGGCTGGACAATTTATAAAGAAAAGAGGTTTATTTGGCTCACGGTTCTGCAGGCTGTATGAGAAGCATGGCACCAGCATTTGCTTCTGGTGTGGGACTCAGGCTGTTTCCACTCATGGCAGAAGGGGAAGGGGAGCTGGCATGTGCAGAGATCACATGACAGGAAAGGAAACCAGAAAGAGTGGGTGGAGAGGTGCTAGGCTCTTTTTAAAACCAGCTCTTGAGGGAACTAATAGAGTGAGAACTGACACGTTATCTTGAGGATGGCACCAAGACATTCATGAGGGCTCTGCCCCCATGACCTAAACACCTCCTATTAGGCCCCACCTCCAACATTGCAGATCACATTTCAACAGGAGGTTTGGGGAAATCAAATATACAAACTATAGCATTAAGCAATGCCCAGGTGTGAGAGGCAGACTTCTGGCCCTTGATGTCCTCTGCACAGAACATCATCCACTGAAGCACACATCTCCCTCCCTGGTCCCTGGCTATTGGTCTATGCAAGGTTATGCTAAGGCATCTGTTCATCTTCATATGGCCCCTTCTGCTCCAGCCCCATTCTCTTAACTTTATTTAAGCTATGATGTTTGGGGTTCCTTCTGCTATTTTCAAGCCCTTCTTCTGGGTTCTAAGAATTTCTGTAAAAATCACCTTTCTGAACTTGTCTTGTTTCCTCAGGCCTCTGCCTAGGAAGCAGGGCCCAGGCACTCTGTGATCTGCTAGCTTCTATATTCTTGTTACTTCCCCCTGAGAGCCCAGAATCCAACTCTGAAGCTATTGCGAAACGCCACTCTGTAGTTCAGTAAGAATTTCACTCAAAGAAGGAAAGATTACACTACCGGAGGCTAAAGGTAAACCTCTCATAGAGCTAGGAGTCCATGATTCTATAATTCACTGTCCTCAGGAATCATATTTCCTCCCACTTTCTCTTTTGCAACACATGGTCTAAAACTGATTCATTGGTATATTTTTACATATATATTTATAACATATATGCACATACAAAACATATATAACTATATATATACATATATATATCTCTCTCTCTATATATATATAGATGTGAATCTCTTCAGGCAGAAAGAACTGAGATATGTCTAATGCTCTGGGTACAGGATTTGAATTTTCATTATTTAGGGACAGGCAACCTTGAAAACTTGCACCCATTGGACATTCCACATAAAAAGGATAAAATGGAAATATAATCATAATGATAATTTTAAATATTTCATTCAATATGAAATATAGATCTTCATGTATGAATATTTTATCTGAGAAATGGGTAATCTCAGGTCAGGCAGCCAGTACACATGCACATACATTCAGGGAGAGGGAAGTAGAAAGACTTCTGGGTTCTCAATATGGGGGCTCCATAGGAACAAATACCAGAGTGAAATTCTGTAGTGTGAGAAAACTCACAAAGCTCCTCTAGGGCTTCTCCATGCACATTTAGCCCCGCCCTAACACCAACAGCCCAGAGCTCATATACAAGCTATATCTATATGTCCCATTAGCACAGTAGCATAAAAATTTAAAATCACCATCATCCTCTCTCCTCTCAGCACTGCCCACTCAGTTCATTCTCCTTTGGTCAAGTGATTAAGTGGTTATAAGATTAAGATCTCAGTATAACAGGGATAGGAGAATTAAAGAAAGACAAATTCATTGCAAAAATAAAATAAAATTTTACATATAGAGAGAGAGAGAACAGAAAAATATAAAAAGAAAATTCATTTATCATCTCACAACTCAGAAATCCAGAAATATCTACTCCTAATATTATAAAGTGTGTTCTTCCAGTTGTGTGTGTGTGCATTTATTCATTTTCAAATATACTTAACAAGATTGGAATAAAACAGTTTGGCCTTTTATGCTTTGCATACTTAGCATTTTGTCACATGTACTTTACACAAGAAATGAATTTTAATGTATACTTGGCATATTGCACCTTTATGAAAAATTTTAAACATTCAGGTTATTCGCAATGTTTGACTATTATAAATAGTACTATAATAATACTCTAATGATCATCTTTGTGCACAGATTTAATAGCCTTCATGTGAGAAATATCTAAACAAAAAAGATTAAATTATTTTAAGTAGTTTGATATATGTTGCCAAATTACCCTCTAAAAACAATTTATCAATATTCTATCATCCAGCCCCCTTACGAACATGGGTTTTATTGTCTTTGACCTTTAAATAAATTAAAATAAATATATCTATATATTTGCATATATCTAAATTTTTTTTATAGATATCTTTAGGCAGAGTTAACTGAGATATGGCTAATGCTCTGAGCGTAGGGTTTTCATTTCATTGTTTAGAGACAGGCAACCTTGAAATGTTTCACCCATTGAACATTTTACAAAAAAAAGGAAAATATAATCATAATGATAGTTTTAAATATTTCATTCAGTATGAAATATAGATCTTAATGTATTAACATTTTATCAATAGGTTTAAATTTATTTGATTATTAGTTATGTGTAGTAGGCTATACATACCTCCAAAAGTATCAGGTCTTAATCCCTGAAATACGCAAATGTTACCTTATTTGAAAAATTGATTTTTGCAGATGTGATTAAATTAAGGATCTTGAGATTAGGGATTATCCTGGATTATCTGGCTGGGTCTGACATGCAATCACAAATATTCTTAAAAGAGAAAGGAAGCAGAAAATTAGACACACTGAATAGAAAGCAGAGATTGAAGTGATATGAACACAAGCCGGAATGCCTGTGGTCACTAGAAGCTGCAAAAGGGATTTTTCTCTAGATCCTGCAGGGGAAGCATGGCCTTGCTGTTGACCCAGTGAAACTACTTTCAAACTTCTGAACTATAGAACTATAAGAAAATATGGGCTTTGTTGTTTTAAGCTACCAAGTTTGTGAAATTTGTTACAGCATCTATAGCAAACTAGTACAGGTTTAACTTATCTTCACATATGTATTGACTACTGTATTTCTTCCTGTGTTTAAAATGTCTATTCATTACATTTCTTGCTCATTTTTCTATTATGAAATTTGTTTTTTCTTCTTGATTTTTCAAATATATTGATAGCTTTGTATTTATACATTTATAGCTCTATCTTGGTGGTGCAAATAATCCCCAAATACACAATAATAAATCTTTTAAGTTTGCTTACAGTTTTTGGATGAATATGGGTTTTGAGTTTTTTATGTTTTAAAATCTTTCAATGTGTTCATCTATAATTTCTTATTTTGCTTTTATGTGATGTCAGATGGATACCTACCTACATTTTCTTATAGCTCATTAGTAATTTCATATTTTATGGTTATCTTTTTCTTTCATCTAGAATTTACTTTGGTGGGTGATATGAGGCAGGTATCTAGCTGTTTTCTTTAATAGTTATCCAATTGTTACAGAACAACTTATTCAATAATCATCTCTGTTCATTGATTTAAAGTACTATCTTTATCCTTTGATTAATTACAAACTATGGTCTATTTCAGAATCTTTTTATTCTATTCTATTATCATCCACACTTAATTATAGTGGTTTTATAAAAATCCTTTAAAGTCTAGAAATACATGTCTCCATATGTATTGTTCTTTTTTTAAATGTTTCAAAAACTTTCCAGATGAACTTTATGATTCCTTTGTAAAGTTAAAGCAATCATTTTAGAATTTGTATTGGAATTGAATTAAACTTATCAACTGATTTCCAAACCTAAGTCATTGGGATGCACTTACACATTTAAAATGTTGGCATTTTTAAACAGGAACATAGGGTGGCTGAATGCTAGTAGGGAGGTAGACTCAGACGTAGACAGGGAAAGTTGTTCTAAATACTAGATTTAATCAGGAATGTCCAGGTATGATTTTCGTTTGTTGCTCTTAGTAGTCTATGAACTCTCTCAAAAAACTTCTAGCATTTCTGTTGGCTTTACTCTTCCGGGCAATCCTTGCTATGAATATTTTGGATTTCCTAAGTCAGGCTTTTTCACAGTTCTCTTACTACTTCAATTTATTTTTTCCTTTGAATTCTGGGAGAATTTCTAGGATTTTCCTTCATTTTCACTGATTCAGTTTATCAGCAGTCTCCATTTAGTCGTTCACTGCTACCTCGTGGTTTTAAATTCTATACTTGCATTTAAAGTCTATACTTGCATTTTTAAAGTCTATACTTGCATTTTTTTTTCATTTGGTCTTTTATGATTTCATATTGTTACCTCCCTATGACATTTAAAAAATTCACAAATGAAATACCTGCTTGAGTACTGTAGAACATATACATTAGAAATGTTCAGCAATTTCCCAATTTTTTTTTTTTTTTGAGACAGTCTTGCTCTGTTGCCCAGGCTGGAGTGCAGTGGCACCATCTCAGCTCACTGCAACCTCCACCTCCCTGGTTCAAAAGATTCTCCTGCCTCAGCTTCCCAAGTAGTTGGGATCACAGGTGCCCACCATCACACCTGGCTAATTTTTGTATTTTTGTATTTTGTATTTTTGTATTTTTAGTAGAGGCAGGGTTTCGCCATGTTGGCCATGGATGGTCTCAAACTCCTGACCTCAGGTGATCGGTCTGCCTCAGCATCCCAAAGTGCTGGGATTACAGGTGTGAGTCACCATGCCTGGCCCATTTGTGCATTTTTTAAAATGACTTGTATATGTTTGTTAAGAGCTGAAAATAATAAAGTATTAAGAACTGACATGGTTTCTCTCATAGATTTTGTGAGTCCCTACAAGAAAAAAAAAAAAAACCCTTTTCAGTTTCAAGAAGAAAAGAGAAAGGTACAGATTTACACTGGTTTTATACTTTACCAATGCAGAAATTCTTCAGCATTAGGAGTATATGGACATGCCAGGCTGGAAGGTAGTTAAGTTCGGAGTGACTTGGTATTTTCACTGATGAACTTCTCTTAGGTGAGGTGAGACAGTCAGAAATTGTTAGGGACCATTCTCCATATTCTGTTGTCTATGCCGGATTATGAATTGTCATCAGCCAATTGCTTGGTGCAGTCTCTAGAACCAGACTGGTACCATGGACAAACCAATTGGACACAGATGTCTTCTCAGGCCATCCCACAGTATGTCCAAACAAAAAGCTCCACTGCTCAGAGCCTTGGATGGGTTGGGGGATTGAAAAGATTTGATTGGGTCTCTTTGGTTCACTTATCTAGCAAACTTCTCTTTCATGTGCAGGAAAATGCATAGGTTGTTGGCCAGATAAGGTAGATTTTGACATACATTTTATTAAAATGTTCCCCAAGTTTCTGGAACTTGCCTTGCACCCTTCACTAGTTTCCAATGCAAAATAAACCCCATCATTACCAACAGGTAATTTTTGTGGGACTCTAGAGGCAAGAAGTTACTGGCATATGTTTAAGTTCCCATCTTTCTTGAAAGTTTGGAAACACATTTTAGAAATTGGAAATCACTATACAACCTATTTCTGTCAATGTTGACACCATTCTAACTGTCATCTAGGTTTTAAATTGGTAATGTTACTTTTGACTACTTTTCCCTCCCAGTCTTAAAGCAGTTCCCAAGTTTTTGAAATTCTACTTGCAGTTCCATCTTTCCTTTTGCTTCTACTGTAACTAACATAGACTAAGTCCCTCCTAATGTGGAACCTCATGTTCCAAGTTATCCCCAGCTCTGCTCTTCACTCCAATCTATCCTACACACCCGTCTTAGTCCATTTTGTGCTGTTGTAATGAATACCACAGACTGAGTAGTTTATAATGAATGCCATTATATGAATGGGGATAGGAATGTGTATGGCTTGTGGTTCTGAAGGCTGGGAAACCCAAGATCAAAGGGCTGCATCTGGTGAGGATCTTCTTGCAATATCATAGCAGAAGGCATCACCTGGGTGAGAAAGAGCAACAAGGGGCCAAATTCACTTTTATAACAAATCCACTCTCATGACAATGAACCCACTCCCAAGATAACAACACTAACCTATTAATGAGGGAAGAGCCTTCATAGCATAATCACCTCTTAAAGGCCCCTCTCAACACAGTTGCATTGGGGATTAAGTTTCCAGCTCATGAACTTTGAGATACCCATTCAAATCACAGCAATGACCCTGAAGTTACTATTCTCAAAACATCTCAAGCCACCAGTGGCTTCCACTGTCAACTGAATGCAATTCAAGTGTTTTCAGGTTTCCCACTATTTGGTTTCTTCATAAATAAAAAAATCTTATTTCAATCACTCCTTGACACAAATTATTCTCACCTTTAAGTACGGTACCTGCGATAAGCAATGCTTGATTTCAATTCCAAGTATGGTCCATCCTCTGTAGCCTACTTAGAATTCCCCTTTGGGCCCCTGTGTCAGACTGTCAGCACCAGGAATATATAGTCACGTCCTATGTATCTTCACAAATCCTCAGCACCTAGCACAGTACCTGGGCCATAGTATTAAACAGATACTTATTGAGTCATACTGACTTCCATCTTTTGTATCTTTTCTAGTCCCACATGATACCATAATCTTTGACACCTGTGATAAATACTCAAGGCTTACACATTGATCCAAGTTCTTGCTTTTTATAATTATTTTTTAAGTTTTTCTTTGGGACATAATGTAGGTCAATATTTCATAAATGTTTTATTGATGATGAAAATAAAGAATATTCTCTGTAGGACACAAAAATCAATATATGCACATTTACACATATAGCCATATTAATTATGTTATCCAGGACTTACATAACTAGTTTAATTTTTTTCTATTTGATCTATAAAAGGTGTAGATATGTGTGCTACAGTCTTCTACTACCATTGTAATTCTGTCAATTCCTCCATTTTCTAAAATTCTTTCATCTATTCCAGTGAAATCTGTGTCTATCAACTTTCAAACACAGATAATCAGAATAACTATAAATTGTAGACAAGGGATTTATTGTAGCCATTAGACAGTATATAATTGTGGGAGGAACTAGGGAGGAGGGCATGTCTGATAAGGGGATTTGGAGGAACAGAGAAGTCATTAACAAGCTACTTTGAGAAACCTAGTGCATCCATCATTAGAGTGAAGCCATGGAGAGGAGAAATACATGGAAGAAATCTGCAGATCCACAGCCAAGTGTCTAGGTATGCACCAGCTGGAAAGAAAAATTGAATATAGAGTCTAAACATTCAAAGACAAGGGGAACTCTCTGACCCCTCTAAGTCTGTTACCACAACTAACCACCATAACCTTCCGCCTCCCAAATCTCATGCAGGTACTCCTTTATTCATCACCAAATTGGAAGAGGATTCCAGGAAAGGTTAACCAACTTGATGATTATAAAATCCAGCACAGCTCAATCTTTGTCAATGTGCCATCCACACACACATTTTTAAACTATGTTTAACTTTTAAATAAAGATAATACAAAAATCATGCTCCACGTAGTATGATGCAAATAGCCCTCACATAACCTAAAGCAACCCTCTTCCCAGAAAAAGGACACCAAGGTCCCCAAAGGCCCATGTCATTTTATCTATTTGGGGCCAATATTTGTAAAATACAAGGTTAAGGATATGTAAGGAGGTAAAAGGTATTAGCACATCTTATGTTAATTGGTATGGAAATTGAAGAATGAAAAACAGAAATAAAACTATATATCTATGAACTATATATATCTAATGATGTATATCTCTATATAAATACATATTGATATAAATAGTTATGTATATATAGATATATAGCTATACATACATCTACAGTTACATATCAAAATAGATACATAGATATATAACTGTATTTATGTACTTATAGATATATATCAAAATTCACCTCTAAGAAAGAAATGATCTTCTCGATTATGTTATTATGGCTAGTGTTTATAACTTCTGTCTTTCTCTATCTATTCCATATTCCCTTCCCTTCAGTTGGTCATGATTCCCTAGCTGGACTGAAATCCTTATTTCTGGGGCATCTGTACACTACCAGCCCTATTTATCTTAACTATTTGCCACCATGTTATCTGTCAGTATCAAGTGTTGGTATTTTTGAAAAATCTTATTTTAATACCTTAATCAGTATTTCAGTAAGAATTATTTTAGTAAGCGACTACACAAGCAGCCTTAAGCCAACTACCAGTTTGAGTTAGAATTTATATTAACTGATATGTAAACAGATATATACCCCCACAAAAAGCATTTATTTAATGGTCACTATCTTCCAAGAATTTAAGCTGGGTTTGGGAAACACCAAAATGTTCCCCAAGGAGCTCAGATTTAGTAGGAAGCATGTGCAGTATGAAGTTGTGATTTCAGTAGAGTGGAATCTATTATAATCTGTGGAAGCTGAAATAATTGGCTTTGCTGGAATACTGAATGGAAACAGAACAAAGGAACAGGCATTTTCCTAGGTCTTCAAGAATGAGGAGAGTCCCAAAGGGACATGTTAGGGAAAAGCAATCAAGGACAAACAGCACCATATGCACAGGCAAAAACAGTAAATATCAAGTTGAAAAATCATGTCTGATGATATAAAAGCAAAGGTATGCCAAGCAATAGTTAAGAGACAGAAGCAAGTATAGAAATGGAGGGGTGGGATATTAATGTTATCATCATTAAAATGGGGAGTCAAGAGAACTAGCCTTTACAGAATATGATATGAACGTTTAAGTATGATGTTTGAAGTTGCAGGTGGAGACAAAAGTGGAAACTTAGAATTCTTATTTAACTATATTAGGAGGAAGTGGGAGAAGGCAGGGGAGGTATGAGCTATGCCAATCTCCAGAAAGGTAGGGAGACTGCAGACTGCTATAACGATGACAAAGAAAATAAAGATGTGACATGTTTAGATATTTGGCAATAACAAAAAAGAAAAAAGAAATAGTTAAAGTTAGGTTGACCAAAAATGTATTATGCAAACCATGACACTTTGGGGAGTAAAAGCAGATGTTATTAAAAATTATCAGGGAAAAAAAAAACAGGCATAAATCTGTGCTGAATTGGGCAATCTGAGAAGTTTGGGTGTTGCCTTAGTCCATTTTACGCTGCTATAACAAAATACCACTGATTGGGTAATTTATAATAAACAGAAATGTTTTGACTCACAGATCTACACGTGGGAAGACCAAGACCAAAGTGCTGGCATCTGGTGAGGGCCTTCTTACTGCTTCATATGGCAGAAAGCGGAAGGACAAGAGAGAGCTGGAGTGAGCAAAAAGGCACAAAACTCATTCCTTTTTAATGGTATTAATTCGACCAATGACAGCAGAGCTGTCATGGTCTAATCACCTCTCAAATGTCCCACCTCTTAATATTGTTACAATGGCAATTAAATTTCAACATGCGTTTTAGAGGGGACAAGCATTCAAACCATACCAGTCACCATACAGGAAAGGGAGCAGTTGAGCTTTTCTCTATCATTTCAATTTTCTATGTGCATACTTCTGATTGGGGAAAAAAAATAACCCTCTTTGCTTTGCCTTTTTTTTCTTCTTTGAAACAGGATCTCACTCTGTTACCCAGGCTGGAGTGCAATGGCATGATCACAGCTCACTTCCATCTCTTCTTTCTGGGCTCAAGCGATCCTCCTACTTCAGCCTCCCAAGTAGCTAGGACTATAGGCAGGCACCACCACACCTGGCTAATTTTTGTGTTTTTTGCAGACATGAAGTGTTTTTGCCTTTTTACTTTTTGATATGCACAAATGATGGGGGTCTCTTGTCTGTCTACCCAATGTGGTTGTTAATTCTTGGAGAGCAAAAGTCATGTTACTCATCTTTCTATACCGGTGGAGCTAAAGATAGAAACTGCCATATTTGTTGAATTAGCAAATATATTATAACTTTTCCTTCTGAGTTCCTTATTTGGCTTTCATATTCTATTGTATATCTTTTTTAAAAAAATAGTCAAAAATACCTAATGTGTATAGATCCTAGCAATAGAAAAGAAACATTTTATACAACAATTATAAAGATTATATGAAAGGAACTCTGCTTTGTAATTGTCCAAAACAGGAAGACATAAGTTTTTTCATTTGATCTTCACAGGAACTTTACTTTGAGAGATTGTATTATATTCATCTTGCAGATGAAGGAAATGAAATTCAGAGAAGTTGAGCAACTTGTTAGGCATCACACAGATTTTTAGTGGAAGAGGTAAATCCAGATCCTAAGAATTTTAGTTGCCATCCTTGCTTTCAGCCCACTAACACCCACTGCCTTTCTAATAAATCATTTTTCCTCTTCACTGAAGAGTACTGGCAAGATTTGGATTACTAAAGGCAGACAACAATTTCTGCATGCTTCCTTCATATTCTTCTCCTGCACTGGGCTCCTTATTCTACACTGCCAGTTTCCTATGACTGAAATTTGAAAGCATGTAACTGTTAATCTAGGAGTGATTAAAGAGTTTCATTTCTCGGAAGATTCAGTACTCATCATCAGCTATGATGAATGAGCCCCTAACATCCCCTGATCCCATTATATTGTGATTAATTGTGCCAGTTTAAGTCAATAATTCATTTGTTAAAAATAGGCCTGCAAAGTATCATTTGTCTCATGGGAGATATCAGAATAAAAAAAATTCATTTGATACTTCTCATTAAATTAGTGTTGGAAGTTATATTGAAGAGCCCTGTTCATCAAATACTTACTGCAGGCTTATTTGATAAGAAGTTGTATTTCTCTAAAATTATGTCTGCTAACTGTCATAACAGTCTTCATTTTCCCTGTGTTAATAAAAGAATAAAAAGTCTAAATACGTGCATGACTGGAGAAAAGGGTGGGACTTGAAACTGGGATTAGACTAATTCCTAAATATGTGCTTTTTAGAAAATAGGTATAAATAATGTTCTTGGTTTTATGGCATTACAATGTCTTTCTAAAAAAATAAGAGAAATATTGAATAGGGTGTCTTCTTCCTGGACTCAGATACTGTTCCTGGAGATGCTGTGCTGAGCTCCTATGAGACAGAGCTTCTCCACTGTCTCTTATATATAAATTATTATAAATGCCATATTCAGTCTCCTTGGGCCATGAAGGTATTTTCAGCTGTGATTCTAAAAGAAGATAGACATAAAGAACAGCTCGACTGCAAATGGTAATGGTCATTATCACAGGAGATACAGGATTCATATCTTAATATTTCCAAAGCAACATCATAGTCACCTTGGAGCGACTCCCAAAATGCTCCTAAACATTTAGATATGAGAGAGGAGATAGTGATTCATGAAATGCTAGATGCCTTTGAGAAAGGGTTGTTTCCTTGCAATTTGGTGTGATTGGAGCAAAGGAGAACTGAACTGGGGTGATTCTCTCACAACTGGTCAGGGTAATGGGGGTATGAGGCCAGGTGCTGGGCACATATTGAAAACTTAGTATTTGATGAAGGAAAAGAGCAAGAGAGAAAAAAGCTGATGGCAGAGAAGGAGGCAAGATATAGGTGGGAGAAAGGAAAAAAGAAATCAAAGGACAGAGAAAACTCTGCTGGCCATAGCAAGAGATTGAACTTCACAGCAGTGGGTTCTAATGACTAATTCTAAGACCAGCTACCTAATCACAACATGTGAAGAGTTTTAAACATTCAGAATCGTAAGCCCTGCACCCACCTTCCTCCCCAAATTCTTATTAGGCTTGATAGGACACCCAAGAGAGTATTTTTAAAAATGTTCCTAAGGTCATGCTGGTATACAGTGTCTCTGCAAAATAGAGACAAGGAGATTATTTAGATGACTGAAACAGTGCTCAGAGCTGCCTGGGTAAGAGGTGCTAGTGTCTGGTGCTAACATATGACCCAAGCCTCTTAGGATGATAGATAAAGAAATCATTGTGCAAAGGAAAAAATGTTGTACAAATATAAGGGATTACATATACATAGGTCATGCAAAAGAAAAATGCAATTTTATAAAATAAATTATTGAGGGAGTGATAAACAAATCTTGGTTAATGGATACAAATATAGAGTTGGAATGAATAAGATCTAGTGTTCTGTAGCTCAATGTGGTGACTATAGCTGACAGTAATATATTGTGTATTTCAAAATACAAGAGTAGAATTGGAATGTTCCTAACACAAAGAAATGATCAATGTTTAATGATAACCCAGCGACCCTGATTTAATCATTACATATTGTATGTTTGTGCTGAAATAGCCCATTACCCCATAAATACGTGCAACTCCTATATATCCATGAAAATTAAAAATAAAAAAATTAAAAGAATAAATTGTGGAAACCCTTTTTCATGATAGAGGAGGTGCTAAGTTCCCCTTCGGCTCTCTGGACAGTTCTCTGGTTTTGCAGAAGTAATAGCAGCATCATTATGAAGCCAAATCAAACCCCCCCAAAAATGTTGGTGATATTTTCTCTGATGATTCAGAAGAGAACAAAGATCCTGAAAGAGAGAACAAAAGAGGAAATTAGAGACATTTTTAGAATGATGGTGAATGTAGCCCCTACTACTGGCAGTAAGCCATAGGTGGCCAAAGAACCATGGCATTTTCTGAAAACTTTCCTATGGCAAGAAGGCTGAAAGCATGGTTTCAGGCTATACGTTATTTTGTGCTGTACTGTAGTACATTTTACTTTCATGGTACTTCATTTTACCTCCAGATATCACTAAGTCTGTTGCACACGACATGGTTTGGCTCTGTGTCCACATCCAAATCTCATCTAGAATTGTAATCCCCATGTGTCAAGGGAGGGACCCTGTGGGAGGTGACTGGATCAAGGGGGTGGTTTCCTCCATGCTGTTCTCATGATAGTGAGGGAGTTCTCATGAAATCTGTTGGTTTTAAAAGTGGCAGTTTCCCCTGTGTGCTCTTTCTCTCCTGCCTCCTTATGAAGAAGGTTCCTGCTTCTCCTTCTCCTTCCACCATGATTGTAAGTTTCCTGAGGTCTCCCCAGCCATGTGGAACCATGAGTCAATTAAACCTCTTTTATTTATAAGTTACCCAATCTCAGGTAGTATCTTTATAGCAGTGTGAAAATGGACTAATATACACACAATAACACTGATTAATAAAGAAGGAAGGATAAGCCCTTCCAGGGAGAAGGTACTATGGGGAAGGGACCACAGCTGCAGGAATTTAAAGAGAAAGTAGGGACCACTGACTCACTTTGGAGCAGGAACTTGGTGTAAAAGGTGACAGGACAAATCAAGTCCATACTACTTCCTTTCTATTCCTAGACACTTTTGGATTCTTTAAAAATATTTGGGTAGTAGGCCGGGCATGGTGGTTCACATCTATAATTCTAGCACTTTGAGAGGCTGAAGCAGGAAGATCACTGGAGGCCAGAAATTCAAGACCAGCCTGAGCAACATAGCGAGACCCCATCTCCACATTAAAAAAAATTACATGGGTCTGGAAGCATGTTCCTATAGTATCAGCTATTCAGAAGGCTGAAGTGGGAGGATCACCTCAGCCAAAGAGTTTGAGGCTGCAGTGAGCTGTGATTGTGCCATTGCACTCCAGCCTGGGTGACAGAGTAAGACCCTGTCTCAAAAAAAAAAAAAAAAAGAGGGGGCTGGAATTCTCACAGCCAACCCCTAGTTAGGCTTCTGTTACCTTCGGTGAAGGGATTTATACAAGAAAAGCATTTCACTTCTTTTACTCTAAATTCTTTCCATGTGTTGGCAGCAATAAGATAAAGATCTCATCTAAGAAACCCTGAGTCTGTCTTTCCTATGCTTCATTTCTTTCTGATGCATTTCAGCAGCCATCTCTTCTTTCCTTATAATTGGCTTAAAATCTCTTCTTGATTCAAAGAAGGCAAGTTAGAAAAAAAAAGTGATACATTTATCCAATATTTCCCTTTAAAGACTACCATTTATAGTTATCTGAATCACATTTCATCCGCTTTTAAATGTTTGACAGAGATGAGGAACACTGCCAGTATTTGCACTCTCCTTCTCCAATTTAGGCCCCAGGCATAGATCCATTAATGCATGAATTAACAATGCTATTGGCACTACTCACCATGGAGAAAGATGCTATAATTCTTAATGCACCTTAGAAATGCCACTGACCCAACTTATTGTTAATATTTCTTGAGACAAGTCTTATCTCCAGTTTTACTGTTTCCCTTGTATAGTAATCAAATCTGGGTAAAACCTAACCTCAGACATCTCTAAATAAGCAAAAGGATTTTTAAATGTTGAAGCTAGAAGGAACTTCAAAAATCATTTGGGGAAGCTCTTTTATTTTTGAGATGTGGAATCAGAAGCTCATAAATATGAAGTGATTTGACTAAGGTTGTATATTTCTTGGTGCCATGTCTAAGATCAGAATACACTAATACTACTCATTCATCAGTCAATATATGTTAAGGAAATTCCATGTGCCAAGTACTTTTTGAACATTGATTTGAGAAACAAAAATGTAAAGATATAGTCCTCTGACTCAAGCTGCTTATAGATCTGAGACAAATATATAAATGATTACATTTTCTTAAATATAGTTTTCAATAGTATACATTTCAGTAATTTAATCTGCCAGGGGATTGATGGGGAGGAGGGCAGAGAGGAGAACATTGTAGCACTTGGATCTCAGTAGTCATGCCTCCTGACCCCTAAATCACATTAAAGATGGTGTGTTTTTGATAGCAACAGTAGTTGGTGGCTTACTTGCACTCTAAACTTTTTTGGGGTGCTTATGTTAGCAACTTGTAAACAAATACTTCTATTTTAAGTATAATACCACACACTAGAGGACCATCCTAATGGTTCCTTTGGTGACTCCATGACTCACTGCAAAGGCAGAAAGGGAGTTGGAAATTATTGCATTCAAAGCCATGAAGTTGTCTGTTTGACCACAGTCCCAGAGCAAAGAGCTCAAAGAATGCATGGGTCAATGAAGTCCTGAGTTCATGAATTTCTGTAGTTTGCTAAAGATGGAATGGGAGGATCAGATGTTAGAGAACTATGTTTTTTTTCAGGCCATGCAGGTCAATACTACACTGAAAACACCATAGAGTTACTAAAGAATATATAAGAATATATTATATATATCTATATATCTATATCTATCTATCTATATATATATATATATCTTCACATCAGGGAGGGAAATTAGAAACCCAGCCATGCCCCCTACAGAGCAAGTCTGAAAATCTAGGTGCTTACCTCTCTCTCTGAATCCTAGAATCCTCTGGCGCATAATTGGCACTGCAATGGTTCTGCGGTGCCTGGCAGATATTTCACACCTCCTAAATCAGACTACCTGGGATTTGCCCAAGCAGGCACACTCATCCTGCACAATGGCCTCATTGTCTGGAAAGAACCTGCCGGTGTTACTGACGGAAGGCTCTGAATGCATATTGCCTCCTTCTCTACCCTCACCAAGAAACCATAGTGCAGCAAACTTCAAGCCAAAAATATAATACTGCCCAGGAGAGGTTACAGGACAGTGCTTTAGAATGGAAAGGCAAGCTGCATTTGTTAGGAGTGTAGCTATGCAAATGCATTAGCCCAAAGGCATGGGAAGGTCACCATGGTACGTGGTCATTCACCCACTGAGGAGACAAGTACCTTGATAGTGGCTGTCTGGTTGACTTCTGGGGGCATTCAGCCAAATAGCCTAGCTTCTTGCTCCTATGCTAGAGAAGAGATGGTCCAAGGTTTCTAGATGTTTCTTGAGCTTATAAATCATATTATCCCAGAGGTCATTTCCAACAAATATCATGTGCAAAGGAATGTTCAGATTATTGCCATGTTTAGAGGAAGAAATAGGTATGGGGATGAAGTGATTCAGTTCTGTCTTCTCCTAAAAACAACCATTTCATGAATAGTGAAGATCTGTAGAAGCAATAGTAAATGCATGTCATCGAGTGTTTATTTTCTTATATGTAAAACCAGCTATGCACTGCCCTTTTAAAATCAGGGATAGATGAGTCTACAATTATACTTTCAGAATCGTTAAAGGTTAACTTTGCACATTTCATGAGGATGCCTTTTAGGAGATCTGAAACTCTCGATTGTGACACCTGTCAGTCTATCTCTTGGGCTAAGGAATGTTTCCTCATAGAATTACGTCTATTTTCAGTGTGGAAAAGTCCACACATCTGAAAGTATTTGAAGGGTTTCTGCATGGCCATGGCCTTAGACTAAGATACATGGTGTGCTGCTTTCTTTCCTTTGATATCATCTCGCCCTACACTGTCATTTTACAAACAAGAAACTAAAGCTGCGAGGTGTGGCCTGACTTCAAAGGTGACAGAGGCAGAGCTAAAACTGTAATCCAGCCCTCCAGTCCAAAGCTTTTCATCTATGACAGTGATTCATTTCGGATCATGATTGGATCAATAGCCATTCCACATTCCACAGCATTAGCAGAAATTTTCACAAAGAGGGAAATGAACAATACAGAACAAATGATAATAGTATTCCACCAATAGCTTCATTTAGAACAAATGTATTGTAGTCTTGCAGAACTTCCATAGGATCAGCCTATGACATAGGCAGGACAAGGAGTGGGGAAGTCAGGTTATGTGTGCACACGTGTGTGTGCACATGCCAGGATGTGCTGGGGGAAGAGGGGCAGAATTGGAGGTGGGCCAAAATCATAAGAGAAGCCTTCTTCATAGATTCTGCTTTTCTTAGCTTCCCATGGAGGCTAATATGAAGAAAGAAGGCTCGTGTCTTTGCTGTGTGTTTACCTTCCAGTGGGCTATTTTACTGCTTTCCTGTTTTTCTCCTGCTCTATTTATTCAGGTTGGGTCCATGCTTGGGAGATGAGGGTGGGAGGAAATTCAGAGCCATGTGGTGGGGCCTCAGTGACTCCTGTGAGATTTCCATGGCTGGGTTAGACACCTTCCTGTTTGCCAAGTTTCCCACCAAGACCATTGAGTAAGGAGTTAACTACAGATCCATACATGTCCCGCAATGGTCATCCTCCAGTGCCTGTTAGCTATGAGCTGAGGGGAGCATAGTCCCTTTAACAAGGATGGTACAAGAAGAAAAACATTTAAAAACCTAGCCTGGAAAGAATGCTAAAATTGGTCTTTTAATATGTCTTGACCGCTGTTGGAGCAAAAAAGTTTTCTATTAATACATGAACCTGCATTTATGTTTTCCACTTATGGACTCGATGTTTCTAGCTCTCCACGACACTCTAGTGCCTTGGTTTTACGGCATCTGTGAGAAGAACTAGGGGACCTTCTTATAAGCCATGGAATATGGAAGGGAAGTAATAAGTAACTTTCATGAATTGAGTACCTTTCATGTGGCAAGCTCTGTTCTTAATACCTTATGTGCTTTACTTTGTTTTATTCTCAAGGAAATTGTATGAGATCTTAACTCCTTTGAGGCTCAGAGTCAATGTTTGATCCATGTTTATTTATCTGTGTGCTCTGTGCCAGTATAATGCCATCCTTCCAGCTTGAGTGACACAGCTAGAAAGTGTGCTTGAGAGAGTCCAGTGTCACCGTGTCCTAGAAATGAGACCTCTAACAAGTCACCTTGATCTCTATCTACATCAGTTCCTCAGCAAATAATGAGGATAATAGCAATGACCAGTATCCTACTTCATGAGATGGCTTTGAGAATCAAATGAAATACTTTAAATAAAATGTTCAGTGAATCATAAAATATTATGCAAATATTAATCACTAGTATAATGGAATTTTGGCTTCTGTTTTAATTTATGTGAAGACACAAGAAACTTATGAACTATGTATAAGTTAAGCATTTGCAAGTCTACAGAATAGAATCAAAAACTAACTCAGTCCTGATCACAGTGCAAATACAATAGATTCCATGTCTGGGTAATTTAACGTCGTTTTTATGTTTAACTCTTTTAAACTGTTTCTTATCATCCTGAATAAATTTATAAAAAATATAAACGCTGACCAGGCACAATTGGCTCATGCCTGTAATCCCAGCACTTTGGGAGGCTGAGGCAGGAGGATCACTTAAAGTCAAGTATTTGAGATCAGCCTGGGTAACATAGCAAGACCCTGTCTCTACCAAAAAAAAAATTTTTTTAATTAGCCAAGCATGGTGGCATATGCCTGTAGTCCCAGCTACTCGAGAGGCTGAGGGAGGAGGATCACTTGAGGCCAGGAGGTCAAGGCTGCAGTGAGCTATAATCATGCCACTGCACTCCAGCCTGGGTGACAGAGCAAGACCCTGTCTCTAAAAACAAAACAAAAAACCCCGCAAAGTTGTAATCTACCTAAACACATAATTTTAAAAGTCATGTAGCACTCTATTTTTAATCATATAATGGGGAAATTCAAGGAGAGGGTTGCAATATGTCGATACTCAAGCATGACTTCCCTGGGAGGCAGCAGTACCCAAATACCTTCTCCTCTGTGTGCAGCCACCAGGAATGTACCAGCCACAAATGAACACTGATGCTGATATATTTATTGTGATTTAAAATAACACAGTCGCATCTCTGTTAGTGATATATTTTCTAAAATAATGAACAACTCTTGGAGAAGTGCCATATGATGCCATCCTTCCAGCTTGAGTGACACAGCAAGAATGTGTGATTGAGCAGAGAGTCCAGTGTCACCACGTCCTAGAGATGAGATCTCTAGCAAGTCACTTTGATATCTATTTATATCCATTCCTTAGCATCTGTGTGCTTTGTACCAATATAATGCCATCCTATTTTCTGTCAATTTACAGAATTGATGCTTTACTGAAAGGTTCAGGGAGTATTCAGACAGTGCAAAAATGTTTTTGAATTTACACACAATATAGATTTAGGCTTAGATTATTCCAAATAGGTCTTTCACCCAACTGTATGTCCAGTGAAACATTTGAAAATTACATGTGAAATGGGATAACTTTTTGATGTATGGAACTGACCAGTGTATTGCAAGACGTCTGCTCCCCTTGGCCCCACCTACTAAATGCCAATTACAATGATGGGTGAAATCCCACCTCCCCTAGGAGTGGCAGCTCTTCTCCATCTTGTCCCACATTGAGAACCACTGCTTTATCAGCTTTCTTGTGCTTCAGTTCTCACCCTTCTGTCTGAGCTCACCTTCTTTCCCCAGTATCCAGGATCTCTCTCTCTCCTTTTTTCTTTTTTATTCTCTATCTCTTATAATTCGGCATTTCAACATAACAAAACTTATATTTCTCTCTTAACTTCTTTATGCTAGCCTGGCACACTTGGTCCTCTGAATTATTTTGCTTCCAACTCAGCCTGGGTTGAATCCTGAAGGAGTCAGCAAGGCTTAGAAAAATTTCTTGGAACCAGAAACTCATGTGGAAGTCATTTAGTTTAACCCTCCTTTTCTACATGATCAAACTGAAGCTTAAATATGTGCAGTGACTTGCCTGGGGTCCCACAACAAGTAAGTGGTAGTTTCAAAACAGGAACCTGAGTGTCTTCCACTATCCTTATACCTAGCTCTCTCTTGCTCAATAAGCCAATAAACCAAGCAACAAACCCTTATTAATGTCAAATGTAAGGCACTTTGTTAGGAATGCCTTACACTTCCTGAATTTAAGTACAATTGGAAAGATAAGAAATGGCAATAAAACAATGATTCCATTTAACAAAGTGTATGTCTTGTATTCCAGTTTTGCACAAGACTTTGTGCTACATGTTTCAGGAGATACAATGAACGGCAGCAGCTTCAGCCTACTCTTCCTCTAGAGCACATGGTCTGGTAATGAGATAAGACCTTATTATAATGCAAGGTAGAACCAAACACAGCCGACACTTGAGCAACATGAGTTTGAACTGTGCAAGTTCACTTATACAGAGATTTCTTTCTACCTCTGCCCTGCCCCCAGATGACAAGACCAACCCCTCCGCTTCATCCTCTTCCTCAGCCTACTCAATGTGAAGACTATGAGGATTTTTGTGTATGGTGTGAGATAGGGGTTCAGTTTCATTCTTTTGTATATTGGTATCTAGTTTTCTTAACAACATTTGTTGAAGAGACTATCCTCTCCCCATTATGTATTTTTTGGCATCTTTGGATGCATGGGTTTATTTCTGGGTTGTCTATTCTGTTCCAATGGTATATACATCTGTCTTTATGCAAGTACTGTACTTTTTATTATGTCTTTGTAATATAATTTGAAGTCAGGAAGTGTGATGCCTTCAGCTTTGTTCTTCTTTTTCAAGATTGGTTATTCAGGGTCCTTTTGATTCCATAGGAATTTAAGAATATTTTTTCTATTTCTTAAAAAGTGCCTTTGGGATTTTGATAGAGATTGTGTTGAATATGTAGATCATTTTGGGTAGTATGGACATTTTTACAATATTAATTCCTCCAATCCAGGTACATAGGATTTGTATCTTCTCATTTATTTGTATCTTTTTAAATTTCCTTCATGAATGCTTTGTAAGCTTCAGTATATAAGTCCTTTACTTCTTTGGTTAAGTTAATTTCTAAGTATTTTATTTATTTATTTATTTTGTTGCTAATGTAAATGGGACTGTTTTCCTGTGGAGAAAAGAGAACCCTTATACACTGCTGATGAGAATGTAAATTAGTAAAACCATTATGGAAAATGGTATGAAGGTTCTCCAAAAACTTAAAAATAGAACTAACATGATCCAGCAATCCTAGTTCTTGGTATCTAAAGCAATCGAAATCAGGATTGTGAAGAGTTCTCTGCACTATCATGTTCATTACAGGATTATTCACAAAGCTAAGCTATGGAAATGGCCTAAATGTTTTTCAACAGATGAATGGATAAAGAAAATGTGGTGTGTGTGTGTGGGTGTGTGTGTGCGCGCGCGCATGTGTGTGTATAACAGAATACTATTAAAAAAGAAGGAAATCCTGCTGTTAGCCACAACATGATGAAGCTGGAAGACATTATGCTAGGTGAAACAAACAAGACACAGAAACAGAAATCCTGCATGATCTCATTTATATGTGAAATTGAAAATAGTCAAATTTATAGAAGCAGATAGTAGGATAGTGGTTTCCAGGGCCTGGTCAAGGAAGAAATAGGGTGATACTGGCCAAAAGATACAAAGATTCAGTTATGAAATATGAATAATTTCTAGAGACCTTATGTACAGCATGGTCATGTTAATTAACAAAACTGTATTGTATACTAGTAATTTGCTGAGAGGACACATCTTAAATCTTCTCACTACACACACACACACACACACACACGCACATAAACAATTGCAACTATGCAGAGGTAATGGATATGTTTAATTAGCTTGATTGTGGTGATAATTTAATAACGTATACTAAAACATCAAGTTGCACATCTTAAATGTATACATTTTTGTATGTCGATGATTTCTTAATAAAGCTGTTTAAAAATGAGACAACCAGGTGGACAGCTCCATGGAAGCAAGACAGAACTCCCTCGGGAAGTGGAACTTGAACACTGCCTGAGTACACAGTTGGGAAGATGATCAATTTTGATGTCGGAGTCGCTCGGACTTTAGCAAGGAAAGGGAAGGCTGTGAGCCAGATGCTGGGGTCACTCAGGAAAGCAAGAAAGTGTTAGAAACAGTGCTATATGGAGTCCAACACCAGCAAAGCTCTTGGATAATAATCACAAAACAGTGGTCGAGAGAAGTACTGGAGAGAACGGAAAAGCCGATCCCACTTTCGTTCAGTTAAGGGACAGGAATAAGAGAAAGATACGTTGAGAAGATTACAAGAGAAATGGTGTCTTCAGAGAAAAGGCAATGGTCACCTAATGGTAGAAGCAGAGGTACAAATAATTTTTTGATAAGATCTGTGCAGGTTTTTAAAATATAGAGTCTCAAGGAATAGGTCGTACAGGTTCAAGTTAGACAAACGTAAGACAAGAGGTTAAGACTCTCTGGATACGGATGAAAATAAGGGCCTAGGTGCAGGGAGAGTGGTATCTGAGATTTAAGACTTTGATTTTAATGACCAGGGCTTGGGAAGAAGAGGATGGAGGAGGGACTTGTGAGCAACTAACAAAAGAGGAATGTAAATTAGGCAGAAATCAATGAATGTAGGAAGTGTTGGGTTTACATGATGACCACTGTGGGGAGCTCCAGCCCATTCCTCCCTTAGGAGCACAGGTTCCGGAGCTCGGCAGAGGAGTTCAAATTTTCAATCTCTTCACTAGTTATGGAACAAGCCACTTAAATTGTGTTGGAGGATTAGCCGCTTAATCTTTCCGTCAAATGGAAGTCATGAAATGGGGATAATTACAGTTGCGAGAATTAAATGAGCTATTACATATCACGTGTTTTTGCGTCATCAGCCCAGAGGTTGTGTAGTTACACCAGGCAACAGTACCAAGACCGTGAGTGCAGCTGAGCAATGGTGCTCAGGGCTTGAGGCTTAGTATGACAAGATAAACTGTTAGCAGGTGTTGACTCTTCCTTTAGGACAATGTGCTCTTTGGGGATTGTCTTTTTCTCCAGCACTGCCACGCGACCCATATAGTAAAAACAAGGTGAAGGTGCCTCCAATTGTCTTTTCCAGGAAGAACCAATTGACACGAAGTCCAGGACCAGGAGCCCTGGCCTCCCTCGGACTTTGAATGAAATCTGCTCCTTCTCTGAGGTGTGCATCTCCTCCCTTGTCTCTTCTCGCAGTAGAGTGGTGGGATGCTGGGATTGTGGTGAGGATCTGGGCAACAAAGCCAGGGGCACACATCAGCCCGCTTCAGACCTGGCCTTGGGGCTTGGGAGGGCTCATGGCTCACTCGTGGTCCAAGACCGCCATGGGCGCACAGGCCTGGAGCGCAGTAGGCTATGAAGACAGTGCGATGACACCAAAGGGACCGCCCACTCTAGCGGGAGACGGGAGGAGAGAAGAAACTCCTCCACTCTCTGTTTCCATTCCTGGAACATGTCTCTGGACACACAATCTCTCAGCTTTTGCTGGGCTGTCTCCACACATATTGCTTTGGGATAAGAATACGGGCTGCCGGGCACCACCACCAAGGGCTGGACAAGCATCAGGAAGTTTCCTCGAAGTATCTACTTGCAGTGGTGCCCTTGTGCGGGTCCTGGGCCTCCTCATTATCATTTTATTGCATTTCTCTTCTTTGCACCCTGAGGACTTTTTCTAGAATAAACATAAAACCAATTACTTTAGAAATAAAATGTGTTTTTCGTTAAAACCCCATTCTGGCTCCTCCAGTCCCAACAAGGCATTTCCTGATTGAACTAATTGGCTTTCAAGTTATCAATGATACTGTTTCTTTACAAGGAGGTAAACGTATAGGACATCCCTGTGTCCAACTAAAAGCCCTCCTACCACCCATATGAAATGAAACTTTCCTTTGGGAAGCTTTAAGGAAAATGCAAGTATAAGAGGGAAAGTTGTTCAGAACTTGAAGAGAAAGCCTCTCATCCTCCGTGTGGACCACATTCCTTCCACTTACCCTCATCCAAACTGTCATCCTCCCCACTAAGGTGTCCTCCCTCATCCTATCAGCCAAGGGAAATACACATCTAAGACTAAGAAAAACATGATCTCTTAGCCTGCCCAAGTTGAAGGCACCCAGAATTTGTCCCAAGAGCAAACTTCTAGAATTCTCAACAGAGAAAACCCAAGCAGAGATCTTCCAGAGCAAGCCATTCTCCATCACACCCCTGTCCAGCAAGAAGAGAGCCATGGTTAACACAAGCACCTACTGCACCACAGTTCTCAATTCTGGCTGCATGTTACACTCACACACGAGGAACTTTGACAACTTCTGATGCAAGGGTCCCATGCCAGAGACTCGGATTTAAGTGGCGTAGTGTGAAACCAAGTCACCAGTACCTCTGAAATATCTTCAGAAGCTCTGGGTGCAGTGGCTCACACCTGTAATCCCAACACTTTGGGAGGCAGAGGCAGAAGGACTGCTGGAGCCCAGAAGTTCGAGACCAGCCTGGGCAAAAATAGTGAGACCATGTTTCTATGAATTTTTTCTTTTTAATTAACTGGGCATGGTAGCATGTGCCTATAGTTCCAGCTACTCCAGAAGCTGAAGTGGGAGAATCACTTGAGCCAGGAAGGTCAAAGTTGCAGTGAGCCATAATTGCACCACTGCACTCCAGCCTGGGCAACAGAGTGGTGAGACTCTGTCTCAAAAAAAAAAAAAAAAAAAAAAATTCAGATGTGCAGCCTGATTTGAGAATCTCTGTGGTAGCATGGTGCTGTCCAATACAGTAGCTAATAGCCATATAGCCATTCATGGCTCCTTAAAGTTAAATCAGCTAAAATGAAATAAAGTTAAAAATTCAGTTCCCAAGTTGTACTGGCCACATTCAAGGGCTCAATTACTACAGGTGACCAGTGCCTACTATGTTGAGGAATGGTGGATATAGAACATTTCCATCATCACAGAAAGTTCTACTGGATGGAGATGTTCTAGAACATCAAAATGTCAGAGTCAAAACTCAGTTTTTCTACTAACCGAGGAAGATTGTTCTTTCCAAGTCCACTTGTCTCATCTTCTCCCTGAGCTACAGACCTCACAGCAGAATTCAGTCATCTAGGACTCCTTGGCTCCCAAGAGCAATGCCAGTATTAAACTACACGATGACAGGGGCTTTCATTCATCACTGCAATAGGAAAGATGACATTCAGTGATTCCCTGATTTGCCCTAAATCTCACAGCAAGGAGCAGAGTCATGATTTTAAACCAGGCTTGTTTCTATCAAAACACAAGCTCGCTTATTCAGCCCAACCACTCCTTCACTGGGACTCCTGGCCACATCAGAGCTTTCTCCTCCAAGAGTAAAGGGCCTGAGATGTGCTCTGCTGACCACAGGGTTTCCATGTCAGCCACTCCTCTTACCTACCGCATTCTGACCCCTTAACTGCTACCATCTTCAATGTCAGCTACTGCAAAAAAAAAAAAAAAAAAGAAGAAAAAAACTGCATGGATGCATTTCAGTAAACTTGCCTTGTGGTGGCCAAGAAACAAAGGGAAGTTCCATCCTCTGAG
Organism: Homo sapiens; assembly: GCF_000001405.40. NCBI lineage: Eukaryota > Metazoa > Chordata > Mammalia > Primates > Hominidae > Homo > Homo sapiens. The sequence goes on from NC_000008.11 coordinate 37,069,836, forward strand.
TGGCTGGTAAGACTTGCTCGCAGGGGCACTTCCTATCAAAACATTGCCTGGACCTTAGGAGTAAGGTGCCTTAGAGGAATGCAAAGAAAGGAATCAGCTCGTGCAGTGGACAGGAGCTCAGGCAGCTTCTAAGACATGAGTTTCCAAGGGAAAGGCCACAGGTTTGGGGCTCCTGTGGTGTCCTGTTGCCTGAAGAAAATTAGCTTATTTTGTATCATTTTAGTACCTGAGAGAAAACACGTGGCCTCCATTTGACTGCCATTGGCTTGATTTAAACTTAAAATTGTATGCAAGTATGAGCAAGTTTCTCTTTCCTGCTCTGGTGTGTGTGTGTGTGTGTGTGTGTGTGTGTGCGTGCACATGCTAGCAGGAGGGAAAGGATTGAGGAAGGAGGAAATGGGAACTAAGAATATTCCTAAACACAATGAATGTTTACATTTTAATTATTTTCAATTATGTTTTCATAAGCCATCAAAAATGGTACAAGAAGATGTTTAAGGGGTAAATTTGGAGTACATTCATCCCAGTCTAGAACATAAATAACTCATATCATGATGCCACTGGCTATCAAGTGTAGACTTTCCCCAATATCTTCCATATTGTCTTATGTACCTTCTTTTTTAAAATTTATTTTTCGTACAGATGGGGTATTGCTAAGTAGTCCAGACCTGTCTTGAATTCCTGGCCTCAAGCAATCCTCCCTCCTGGACCTCCCAAAGCACTTGGATTATAGACCTAAGCTACCATGTCTGGCTTTATTTACCTTCTTAAATGTATTCATAGTCACCCAGTGTCACTACTCTCGTTTTGTTTTGTCACCCTTTCCTGTCTGGTGAGTTGCTGCAACTATGAATCCCAGGCCAGTGGCCTGAAGACAAAGCAAATGGCTTTGAGCTGCTGGATCCTGGACAGGCCAGGGCTTCCTCTATAAACACACAGAAATCTAACTGCACCCCAGTACATCATCTCACAAACAATGCAGAATGGTTTTCTGTTTTAATGTCAAAATTATAATTAATATTACTATCTAATAATTTGGGACTTTCTCTCCAAATAATGCTATTATCCAGTCCATGTTTTGGTAGTGGCGATTTTATTCTCATGGACTAATATGGCCACAACCATGATATAAATAGATAAAGGCAATTGGTTAATTTCCTCAGTTCTGCAAAAATCCAGGACACCAGCAAGAACAATTTTTTGATGGAGAAACACTGACTGTATCCACTTAGGCCACAAGCCAGGGTCTTTTAAAAACTATGAATCAGAACCTAAAGCCCAAGTTGGAGACTCCTCTTGCTAATGGTGTGATCACTTGGCTCCTCTTGATCATGACCCCTTTGATCATGACTGTCAGCCAATGAGGAAGCTAGATGCAGACTTTCTTTTGACTGAGGCCCTGGAGAAGCCAGGAAGTAGTGATGAGGCCCACTCTGCACGGGGGTCTGCTTGCAAATCCAGCTCCCCATTTTGGGGGTGAAATGAGAAGCAACAGCTCACTCCTTTCCGCTCCCTAATGGCTTTATACCTGCTTTGTCTTGATTGCTGCTGCCTCAGACTGCTCCTTAATCCCGTAAAACAAAAGACTCTACTACCTGTTGAAAGGCATGAACATGCCCAGAGTCCACTGCCATTTCCAACCCAATGGGGTGCATGGGGTGCCACTCAGATTGTGCGTGCAACTGGTCAAACATTGAGCTGTTTCTTGTCCCTTACCTGTAAGGATGGGGCTAGCTTGGGCCAGAACTACATGAAGCATTTGGCTGAGTTTATTTGGGCTTGATTTCTGATTACCACGCCAGTTGCCCAGGGGACAGGCAAATCACACACAGGTGATGTGATCTGATTTTTAAGAAGTGGTCTGATTAGTTCACTTGTTTTAACAACCCAATCAGATCGACTAGGTGGCAATGCATTGATTTTATGGCCCCGCCTGAATCAATCTGAATAAAACCATTTAGTGGCACATATAAACACAGCTGAATGTAGACAAGTAGGATGAAATCTTTCCTTTAAGCTCTTGAGGAATAGAAAATAAAACTACTTAGATAGTGTCTCTACCGAGGAGATTATGTATATAAGGCTAACGCGACCCTGGTTTCCTTGGTTTCTATTATATCCTAACTCCCTAAACAGAATTCAACTTCTTTTCCGAGTTTCATTCCACAGACATCCCTTCTTTGCATACATTAAGCTCCCAAATATGTGATTGTGATAGGTAAGGACAGAGGACAAAAGGCACACATGTAAACTGTCAAAGAGTTTATTTCCACAGGGATTATGAAATCCCTGGCCTCTGACCCAGGGCTCAAAGACAGATTGATTATTTTCTGAAATAAAATTGATCCAACAGAATATATGCAAAACAGGGATTCTAAAAGATTCTTGGCCAACACCATTTGACTAACAACTTACTCCTGCGCCTTATTAACAGTCACACTCCTTTCTAGTTGGACCAAAGAGTGATGTTTCAGGGCTTTTCTTTTGACTGCCCCCTGTGGAATGGCCAGGTCTCTGCTTCATGACTCTTCATGCTCCTTAGACATCACTCAAATCAAAAGGCCAGTTGATTACAGTTCTGGAATTAGAGTGCAGCACATATTCCTAATGACTCTTCTTTCCTGTTGGCTGTGCCCTCCCTACGACTCAGTTTTCTCATCTGTAAAATGAGATGGTTGACGTGAGTCATCTCTAAGATCCCTTCCAGCACTTGCATTGTAAGATTTTATTTTATTTTATTTTATTTTATTTATTTATTTATTTGAGATGGAGTCTTGCTCTGTCACCCAGACCGGGGTGCAGTGGCACAATCTCGGCTCACTGCAGCCTCCACCTCCTGGGTTCAAGTGATTATCCTGCCTCAGCTTCCCAAGTAGCTGGGACCACAGGCACATGCCATCACGCCCGGCTAATTTTTGTAGTTTTAGTAGAGATGGGTTTTACCATGTTGGCCAGGCTGGCCTCAAACTCCTGACCGCAGTGATCCACCCAGCTCGGCCTCCCAAACTGCTGGGATTACAGGCGTGAGCCAGCGAGCCTGGCCCCACTGTGTGATTTTAATAATACATTATGCTGGTATTTGCACAGACATTTCTATCCTGCACAGCAATTTTGTATCTATAACCTGCAATGCTCCTATTCTGTTGTCCTAGGAAAACAGACCCTTCAATTTCTTCAGAAATATTGGCATGTCAGATTAGATCCCCAAGGGGCCCTCAGACTTAATATGGTAATATGCTAAGTTCCTAGGGCTGCCATCACGCTGACCATTGGATTTGCAGCTGATTCTGGATTCCTTAGGCACGATAATGCCTTGTTTGTTGAGAGTTAATGCCACCTGCCAGTGTTTGATGTGGCAAGGACTGTGGCATGAGGCAATGAGCTCTAACCATCTTGTGTTGAAAGAAAGAAATTTTCTTCCTTATAACTCAGCTTTTATCAAGACTTTAAAATGCAGCCAAGGCATTAAAGAGAGAGAAAAAAAACTTTGGAAGGTTTTTATACTTTTTGTAAAAAAAAAAAAAAAAAAAAAATTTCTTTCATTTTTTTTAACCACTACCAAAATCTCCTCCAAACACACAGACCCTACAGTATCCCTATTAAATTATATAGAGCGAGTCCAGCCCTTGACTGTCAGTGGGGCCCATCAGTCCTAATTTATCGCCCCAGGAAACACAGTACAATTATGGTAATAAATAATAATAGGATTCAGTACATGACAACATGAATGATGGAGCCTCTCAGAATTCATTTACATTGCTTTGTGTTGCAATCATCATGCCTCTAATGTAATGCCAAGCAAATGAGCCCCTTTGAATATTGTGCAATCTATTGCAAGTCAACTGGCACAAAACTCACTCAATAAATCATGTTCAAACACATGCCTGTAATGACAGGTAAATCAACAATGAAGTAATTGCATTTAATGTATTGAAATACTGGACAAAAAAAAAGTGACCTCAAAGTGACTTTTTGTAAAAGGTATGATACAGTTACAACAAAGAGTGAAATCCTTCCTGAGAGGCACGCCTTGCTTAGATGCACATGCCAGAACCGATGATGATGCTGTTCCCCAAGCAGTTCTTGATTTACCTCTTTTCTCTGCAGTAATCATGGGATCAGGATGCCAGAGGCTTCAAGCGTTCACTACCTTGAATGTAATAGTCACAGGTAGAATGGAAGTCAGCCTCAAGTACAGCCAGCTCTTTTGTGCCTGAGCCATCACCAAGCTCTAAGTTTTGTAGCCAACTCTAAAGGCAACCTGATGAGGAAGAGAGAGAAAGGGTCAGGAGTCAGAAGGGCTGCATCCTTGCCCCAGCTCTGGTATTCACTAAATCACTGCATGACTCTGGCCAAGTCACACTACCTCCCGGTCCTTTGTCTGTGAAATAAAGTTGTTGGACTGTCATGGCCAAAATCCATTGCAATTCTAACATTCAATGAAGCTCTGATTCTGATTAGAGGCCTTCACTTTTAAGCAGGCAGAAGAGTTCCCTGCTCTTCCTGGAGCTGTGCTGTTCCTGAATGTTGAAGGTACTGGTTTAAACCGGCATGCATCTCTCTTCATCACTGCTGTTGGCCAGGCCAAGTGTATGTGCTTCTAATTTCTGTGAATCCTGGGTCTGCCCCTTTCTGGGCAAGCAGACAAGTCTGAAAATAGGGCCCCAGGGGCTGTGTGGATAAATAACAGACAACATTGAAATGACAACCTTCCCTTCCTTCCCCATCGCATCCACCCCAGCTCCCCTCTTCCCAGGGACAACGTCAAGAAGAGATGAAGCAGAGCCTCTGCAAAGCCAAAGGCCACTTAAGGAACTTTCCTGCTCTTGTGAAAAACTCATTCTTGGCTAAAGGGCTCCCCAGGCCTCCCCACTAACCCGCCTTCCTCTCTCTGCTCAATCATCAGTCCCTGACTGTTATCAAAGTAGCTCCCACAAACCCCATAATCTTGGAGATGTGGAGACATGAAAAAGTAGGGAAAAAAGAGCACTAAATTTAGAGTGAGAAGATCTGGCTTTAAGTACTGGGTCCATAGTTTATTCGACATGTGACATTGTGCAAGTCCCTTAACCTCTCTGTGCTTCCATTGCTTCATCTGTAAAGTGATAATAATACTCACTGTGTCTCCAATGAGGCTGTTATGAGGACAGGATGATATAGATGAAAAGGCTTTGCTAGTTGTAAAGCACAATACAGAAGTCTCATTTTTGTCATAATTTGGGAGAAAAGAACACTCTGACACAAGTTTACTGTGTTCTGCACTCAAACAGTGCTTCTTATCATAAAAGCAATCATCTTGTTTATTTGTCTGGGTATTTTTATTGTCTAACTCTCCTGAGAGTCTGAAGGAACTTGGAGAGTTTGTTCATATTGTTCATATGTTACTAGCACCTAGGACAATGTTAATAAGCATGTATTGAATATATGAATGAATGAATGAATGACAGCTTTTCTTTCCTTTAGGAAATTACAACAAAACACTGAACTTCATGGTATTTTTCAAAAATATATTTGATGCGAACCTGCCCCAACCTGTAAACACAGCCTCCTGCTTCATTTACTTTTGGTGCTGAAATGGAGCTGTTTAGAGGGAGATGGCTTTGTGAGCAATGACCCCTACTGGAAGGGTAGCAATTGGAAAGTCTTTCAAGCCCACTAAAATGCCTTCTGAGGCCAAAACTGGGCCACAGTTTCCCAGGCAACAACAGTCTAGAAAATGACAGCTCACTTCAAAGCAGGAAGGGATCTGGGAAGCTGGAAAAACCCACAGACATTTCCATATTAGAGAGATGTAGGAAGTCATGGTTAATATAACCACTGAAAACCCTTAAGTGAGAGCTAACAGGTTTCTATTCCTAGTGTCTTCAGTCCATAGACCCCATCCACCCTCTTTAGGATGTCATTCTGTCACCGAACCACGAAGGCTTACTCATAGATTACCTGTGTTCCTTTGTGAAGCAGGCCCCGCTCTCCTGATAGCTCCCATATGATACACCCTGATTAGCAAGGCAGCATCAGGCAGAACAAAAGCTCCATTAACCAGGGCTGGTGGGCGGGAAGGCAAAACCAGGGGCCCTGAGAGGGGAGAGAATGAAACAGAAAAACTCTAATTTTAGAAAATTGTTACCAGTTGCAGGATGATGAGAATGTTCCCTAAAGATGGGAACATCAGGAATAGAGGGACCCAGCTTTTCTACCTGACCTGTTGGCTCTCTGATGGGAAATGCTGGCCATGTAGCTCTTGGGTTTTCTCAGCACTGCTGGATTCAGATTGCTCCTGGAAGCAAGACAGGTGTTTGACAGCAAATTACTACCAAGTAACAAGTTGCTACTTGGTAGTTACAACTCAAAGGCCACACCCTCCACCCTTGAGATTCAAAGGTCCCCTTCAGAAAACAGCCAAGGGCAAGCCGCCTCTAGGGTTAAGGAGGAGGAAGATGGCACCCTATGTCACAAGGCAGCCTCAGGCTGAAGGTACAGGTCTTCTGATAAGTCCTTTTCAACAAAACACGGTATTGAAGCCAATGGATTGTAGTCTGACCAGTCAGTATGAATGATGAATGGGTACCCCAAAACTCCCACAATTCAAAGGACTGCCCTATCTCCCCAATTCAGCTTCCCCCAAGTCCCTTTTCTTTACTGTCGTTTCTACCATCAGCTCCCTTCCATCCCCGTCATCTCGTTCCTCTCAAGAACTCAGGGACAGGACATAAGCTCCTGCCTTTCACCATTTGATTCAGAAGCTCCCAAGAGCCAATGAGCTGCAGCCCTGCCTGGGAAATGGTTCTGCTCAGGCAGCTTGATTAATGACTGAGGGTCAGCAGATGTCACCTCTTCCACTGAATCCCCAGGGTGCGTGCACAGCCCAGCTGGAAACGGGACACCAGAGGGCTCCGAGTGAACACAAGAGCCAAGGGCAAATCCACATGATGCCCAACAGGCAGGCCTTGCACTGGCTTTCTCCATCTTCCTTTTAGAGTGGATGCTTGATGCTCATTCTTTAAAAGGACCTCTCTTCTTGGAGAATACCTAAATGAAACATGCAAACTGGTGAGGAGAAATTATGATCTATGATTATCTGGATGCCCCAGGACCCCAGGCAGGTACCTGAGGAATCTTAGTACCTGAGAGGAATGCCTATAGGTTTTAATGGGAATTTTCCATAGATGAGCATTCGATTTTGTTGTTGTTGTTTTCTATAAATACCCCTTTCTTACTTACAAGAAGCAATCATATATTCTGCTAAAATGGACTGAGATTATACTTTATATTTTTCAGCCACTCTCAAGAATTTCAGGCTGGGCACAGTGGCTCATACCAGTAGTCCCAACACTTTGGGAGGCCAAGGGGGGAGGATCTTTTGAGGTCAGGAGTTTGAGACCAGCCTGGCCAACATGATGAAACCCCATCTCTACTAAAATACAAAAATTAGCCAGGCATGGTGGCATGCGCCTGTAATTTCAGCTACTTGGGAGGCTGAGGCACGAGAATTGCTTGGACCCAGAAGATGGAGGTTGCAGTGAGCAGAGATCATGCCACTGCACTGCAGTCTGGGTGACAGAGCGAGATTCTGTCTCAAAAAAAAAAAAAAAAGAAGAATTTCAGCCCAGGTACCAAGAGCAGACTGCGTATGCAGTTTAGAACCAGCAACAGAGGGAACTGCAGTGGTGAAGGGAAGCTCCAACGGAGACTTCGTTCCAGAATTCAAAGTGCCTTTGCTGTCTCTGAAATACAAATACTTAGGATATACCTTTTCTTTCTAATAAATGCTTTAGAAATTTTTACCTGAAACTGAATTTTAGGATTCCAGGGTATCCATTATAAATTATTCTCATACTTGTATTAGGACACTTTTTCTGGGCTGTTTATTACTGCTGAGAACAATCTTTCCATACAAAAATCCCTTAGAACCTGAGAGCTTAAGCTCAACCGCCTGAGTGGGAGATTGGGCATATCTCCTCTCCCCTCATGTTTCTTCCAGGCTCAGACAGAAAACAACCACGTTTCAAACTGAGAAATAGTAAATTAGTCAAAGGGACCTTATGGATCACAGAATCCAAATCATCATCTTCCACATGAAACAACTAAGGCCTAGAGAGGTTAATGGTTGATTTAGGGAGGTACAAATAGATGTGCCAGGACTGAGGTTGGAAGCAGGGTTCATGTTCATTCCAAAATAAAACATTTTTCCTGGTAGTTGACAAATGAAAAGTTATAGGCCAAGATGAGTGAAAGCACACAAACTCGCTAACTCAACTAGTCAGAAAAAGGGCTGAGCTGAATGCCAGGAAATATTACCCTAAATGCGTTCTACAGAAGTAGTCATTTTTGAGATGCTGCAACCAAAAGAGTTATCAAATTATAAGAGAGAAATATCACTGTAAACAAACCTGTTTAACTTAGCATAATCCAACATTTTCTAAAGTTCTTTAATCGAGATTCTCAAAGATCGCTCTTTCTCTCTCTCGCTCTCCTCCCTACCCACAGCTGCTTTGCATAAAATGTATTAACATACTATATAGAATTGGCGTTCTTCCACAGTGCACACTTCAAGAAATGTTGGTAAAGGGGAAGGAACTCTGCAAGGAATAAAGAGGATTATCCTCTGGTCACGGAATTTAATTATGCTACTAATCACCTGCGAACCTTCAGCCAGTCATGTAATTCCTCTGGGTCTCCGTTTCCTAATCCCTTAAATGGTGGTGGTTAGGAGTGTGATGGTGGACAAGATAAACCCTGCAGTCCTTCCAGTTCAAAATTTCTACGATGACCTGACATTCAGCCTTCCAAGCAAGGCTAGGAGATTGTGCTAATCAGAAAAGCCAAAGGTTTGCCCTATATGGACAGCTTAGGCGAGGCACTTTTGTTTGATATACTCTTCTGTTCCAGCCTGAGGTAAGGAAAGGAAGAAGACTTTAAAACACAGGATTCTCCAGCAGATAACAGTCAGTTCCTCAGGGGCACTAGTTTGAGCCTGGCTGTTACCAAGGTAAAACCATTTTCTTGTAAACTTATTAAGTCTGCTAAGCATTCAAATGAACCTGTTTTTTTTTGTCTTTTTTTTTTTGAATCTTTTTTCTCATGAAGAAGTCAACAAAACATCCAGCCCTTTGATTAAACCTCCTCCCCAACTTCCCAATGCTGAAATAACCCATCCATGCATCGCCCAGGGGAGATGTCGCCTGGCTTCATAGGAAGCTCAGAAACAGCCTCTCCTATCAAATCACATAAATCCCTGAAACTTTCCATCTTCTTTTTACAATAATTATTAACCTTTCTTTTTTCTTTCCTTTTTCTTTCAGGATCTACTTTGTGCTACAGGCCAACAGCCCGGATAAGCATCTGGGTCCCCAGCAAGCGCTCTGTGCTTTTTTTAAAAACACGCACACATGTTCTGCCTCTTATTTCCTGAGCAGTCCCAACACCTGGAGTGGTCACAGTCCAAAAAAGTCAGGCCAGGAAATTGAGTTCTTCTTGACTCCTGGCTGGGACATTTAGCCAGGGACATTATGAATGTGTTTTGTAACTAACCCTCTACAAGAGAAGACCAGGTCCCTGCCAAGGAATTCACGAGACCCTGGAGTTCGCAAAGAGGGAAAAGAAGAGAAACCTCACTGATCCATCCGACAAGGAGCTGGACAATTTGTGATTTCATCTCAAATGTTCCCTTATCTCCTACCAAGCAAAAGAAAACTAAATATCACTCTCCCTCCTAAAGGCACACATACATAAAAGAAGAAATTTTTTAAAAGAAAGAGGAGAAGAAAAAAAACCTGGAAGCATTTTTGAAGGCAAAAGGCTGTTTATTGCTGCCAAAGTGCTGATTTTTTTTTTCTGCCTCTGGCAACTGTATGAGAATTGGAGACTTCAGCAGAGAAGAAATCCATTCACTTGTCATCGCATAAAACCTCTGTGTTCCACAGAGGAAATGGCAAAATTTCACCCTTAACTGGATTTGTAAATTCTTACAGGGGGCTGGGAGAGGGGGTGGAGGAGAGGTCAGGCTGTTCTACATCCTGGGGCATTCGGTAACCTCACTGTGCCATGTGAGGGAACGGCTTGTCCACCACAGCAGCCTTACGTCAGCAGGAGACAAAGGTAGAGGCTGAAGAGTCAGAATGGGGCGGGCACCAGTCCCCAGCCCAGGCCACAAAAGAGCAATTCCAGCCCACGCCACTACAGAGGGTTCCATCTAAACGTATTTTAAATGACTCAAGCACTGGGGATGTTTTCTTTTCCCTGGAGTATATCTCACAGCCTTTTTAATAATGATTGTTCGAAACAATTGCTTGTTATTAAGCTTAGCACTGCCACATTCGGTCATTGTGCTAAGCCCAGTATTCATTTCCTCTTTCCCTTTCCTGCGTGTGATTTTTCTTACTATCCATCTACTACCTGTCCTGCTGGATTTACCCCCATTCACAGAGACAAAGTAAAAACAGCAGGAGAGAGCCAAAGGTCATCTAGTCCATCCAGCCATTCTTATCAGGTCAGCTATCCCATTCTGACCCTCTAGGTGTGATGTTTCCATCTCTTTTGTCAAATTCTCTTTGTTCTGCTGTTTTCCATTTTGATATAAAAGTCAAAGTGTGGTGATGGCAATATTCCTAAGCATCCCTGTATCAAATTTTCCTGACTTTCAAAGTGCTGAGGTCAAGATCCAGAAAACTCGAAACCAGAGGAAATCAGGTTGCTAGGACGCCGGAACCGTTACGATGCTCTCAGCCTTAATTAGGTGTAAGTAACATCTTGTCAGTGTTCTGCCACATATGCTAAAGCTGCCGGGGCAATTTTACTGAGTCTGACAGCTGAAATCAGAAACAAGAGAGTTAACATGTCAATGATGCGGCTGGACATGATGGATATATTAAGAGGAGTCTGGAAAATTCTGGACTTCATTACATCGACTCTACTTCTCAAAAGTTCCTGTCAAAAGAATCTCCGCCTCATCAGAAAAGCTCCTCTGGGATCTGATTACACCCAATTACAGGGCCTCCCACAGCCACCTGGACACAGGGGTACTTCTGCCCAAACTCATTGGAGAAGTGATTGAGGGAAGATGAGAACAAGGAAATTGCTGATTTTGGTATAATTTCTACAAATAGATCTATTGAGATTTAAAAGGTGCAATAACTTGACATTTTTGGTAAGTTAAAAACTGCTTAAAAATTGGTTTGCTGGTTGTTTCTTTTTCCATCTTGGCCCCGGGCTATTTTCAAAATGAAAAGAATGGGATCAAGTCCTGAAAACTGAGGTGGAGTTGAAGGCAATAATAAAATTTTAAAGATGACAAAGAGGAAAGTGATAATCTCCTGAAAGTGTTAGAGGCACACTTGACTTTGGATGGCAAGTTTCTCAGAAGGAAAGAATGAGGGCAAGAAAAAGGAACTTCCTCTGCTAAGGGGCTGGCGCATTAGCAGGTTGGCCTGAACATGGCTCTTTCTTGTCCAGTCCTTGGGGTGCTGTCCTCTGGAAGGCGTCTGCAGCCAAGACCCCAAGAACTGGCACAGCGTGAACTGCCATTGACATGTCATTTTAAGGATGGGAGAATGCTTGCTACCCCAGCCAGGGAGAGAGAAGATGTAGTAACCAGGGGCAGAGCCGGTCATGCTGATATGGCATCATATTCCTGGAAGATTCCATACCTGTCTATCATTAAATAGGAGGGTTGAGCCCAGGCTAAAAATACAGTATCATGAGTGACTTGCAAAGGGACTCACGAATAATTTTTGCCTCCCCCATTCCCTTTAAAAGTAAGAATTGTCAATCAAAAGTGTGTGTTTACATTGCTGAACGATGAGGTTTTAAACCTCAGACTTGCTGCAAAGACTCATGTCTACGTAGTGCCGAGAGTGGAAGGCTCACAAAGGGGGAGAGTCTCCATGGATTTCAACAGAAGGGAACGCCTAGCTTTATAATGGGCCTTTCTATATCACCGTTTTGGCTAGGGGTCCATATGAATTTGTTGTGATATTAGGCAGAGGCTCTATGGCCTGGCAATGTTGACACTGCTTCAGAAGTTTAAACAAATGTTACGTGAGTTTTGAAGCAATGAATAAACGTCAAAGAAATGGTTTGGAAACAACAGTGGGAAGGGGAAAGTAGTTGGACATTACCTAGTAAGGAAATCATCTTGCCTTTCTATTTTTTCCCCCCACAAGAAAAAAAGCAGAAAGATTCCACACCCTTTACTCTGTTAACAAGTAATGGATCACTTTTCTTTCTTTTCCTTTTCTCAGTAGTGTGAATGCTAATTGTTTCCCCCTCTGTCTTATGCTGGTTTGGATTGAAACCCTCTTTCCCAAATCACTCTGCAGGCAATGAATCATCAGACCTGGTGGCTAATGGCTCTTTTGTGAACCCAGCAGGTGTGTAACAGGCTTCCTCTAAGTGGCCTGTCCTGTGTCTCTTGCCTCTTAGACTCCCAAGAAAGGAGTCAGGGACACATGAGAGCTCAGAGGGTCTCAGTCCTGATCCCGTACCAAAGAATCTTTTTCCACTAAAGAAAACACGAGGCTCTGTGGCCACGAGGACCTACATTTCGTTTTCTCAGTGATTAATGCTGCAGACAAAAATTAGGTCGATTACAATCTCCAGCACTCGCCTGGTATGTCCACCCCCACATCACTTGGCCAAGTGTAATAATTTCACTCAAAACAACACGATTTTTCTTATTTTTCAAGAAATATCTGTTGAGTTCATAATGCATAATGTGGCCCATGATAGGTTCTGGGAAATATGAAAACTAATATAATAGCTAATATTGATGGGATATTTACTTTGTCCCCAGCAGTATTCTAATTTCCTGATATAAAATAACTCACTTGATGCATAGATCAAGAAATTAGTACTATTATGATATGATCGTCTTCATTTAATAGATGAGGAAATGGAGGCGTAAATTAAAGAACTGGAAGAGCTAGGATTCATATTCATGCAGGGTGATTCCAGAGCCACAACGTTCTACAACCCTGCCTGCCAACAGCAAGACATGATCCCAGACCTCAAGGACATCACAGTCTATTGGTTGGACATTATCTAGTCATATAATTGAGTAATTGGACATCTAAATATAAGTGAATCATACTGTGAAACACCAAGGCATAAAACCTCATCAGACATTTGCTGAAGCCTCATCTTAATCAAATCAGACCTGTGTTGGTCAGTCTACGAAATGCTCTGTTCCTGAAATACGCACCACCTCCTCAGAAAAGCTGACTTTGGCTGTTCCTTCTTCAGGAATTGGCAGGGTCTGGATGACATGAACTTCCACCCTGGCCACAAAGAACAAGACCAGGAAGGATACCTGTATTCATTTCCTAGGTTTGCCATAACAAAGTACCACAAAGTTGGTGGCTGAGAACAACAGAAATATGTTGTTCCACAGTTGTGGAGGCTAGAAGTCCAAAATTAAGGTGTTGGCAAGGCCTTGCTCCCTTATAAATCTGTAGAGCGAGGATCCCTTCTTCCAGCTTCTGGTAGCCCCAGATGTTCATTGGTTTATGGAAGCATAATTCAGTCTCTGCCTCTATCCTTACAGGGCATTCTCCCTGTGTATCTTCCTATTGTCTTCCCTCTATGTATGTCTGTCTCTGTAACCAAATTTTTCATGTTTGTAAAGGCATTACCCATATTGGATTAGAGCCCACACTTACAACCTCATTTTAACTTGATTACCTTTGTTAAGACACTATTTCCAAATCTGGTCACATTCTGAGGCACAGGGGCATTAGAATTTCAACACATCTCTTTTGGGCAGACACAGTTCAACCCCTAACAATACTCTAGCCAAATGTGAACTGAGAAACTCCACAGCCTCAGAGCTGTCCTGGCCCAAGAACTCTGCCCAATAAGAGTGTGCCATATTGACTGGTAACTGATCCACCCCATTAGATTCTGCCTTGAGAGTTTTGGATTCTAGCTGGAGTTTAACAGACAAGTCCATGGGGGTGGTGATGTCACTGGAGCTACTTCTGATAGACTTTGAAGACACCCCCGTCACTAAAATGTCTCCAAAGCCTGAAAAGAAGAGTCAAGTACAGGTTCTCTACCAGGCCAAGGCAGCTGCTGAGGCCCCTTCCTGGGATTCCTTGCTTGTTTTTACTAAATATATCAATTAAACAAACTAGACAACAGTATTTTTTGGTCTTTTTATGCAAACGAATAACACTCCTGCCTAACCAATTCTGACTTTTTTCATCCTGTCAAAACTACACTTAAAATTCATATACTATGGAAAACCATTCAAAGTTCATCATCTTTATCTTTGGTCACTAATCATTCCAACATCTCCTTATCACATATGTACACATATATTTCATATACATGTGTGCACAGTGTATATGATTAACAATACACACACATATGTACATACATTATAGGTATTCACACACATATATATGCATATGATGATATCTGCTTCCACATTCCAAACAAGATTTGTAATAATTGCATTTATGAATATATGTCTGCACAGAAATGATTATAACTTTCTTGAGATGTTCCTTTGGTATAAAAAATAATTATGATGATAATAATAGTAGCTGTTATCCAGTGTTTAATACACCAGACATTTTGCTAAGGATTTTACATATATTATCTAATTTGGTCTTCACAAGAATCTGGAGAGGTAGGAATTATTATCCCCCTTTTACAGATGGGCAAACTGAGGCTTAGAGACTTCAAGTGATCTGTCCAGCATGACATAGCTAGAGTGTAAAATATATGGGATTTGAGCCCATGTGGCCTACCGTAGAACGATGCTGTTAATCACTTCATACTGCCTGCGACTTAACCAATGTGTTGTCATAGACACCTACAACTAAAGAGGACTCAGCAAGTCATTAGATCCTGCAGCTCCATTTTATTTATGAGAATTCTGAGCCACCAGTAAACTGTGGGTCCCAGTGGCTCAGTGGTTGGCAAAGCTGGAAATGAAATCTGATCATCTACCTCCAAAGCTGATGCTTTTGTACTTCAACTGTGGCCCTTCTGGGCTTGTATCCAGTAGAAATGTCTTCAAATTTTTTTCCCCATGGATGACTTCCCTCCTTTGTTTCCTGTACTGATACAGGATTTCTCCTATTTTTAGAGCATGTTGATCATTTCAATTAGAACCAGAGAAGAGATGTCGTGCTAGAGTCTCTGTCTTTCCAGAAAGTTTGACCAAGATTTATTTAAAACTTGAAACAAAAATTATGATGCTTCATAAAGGGTTCAGCAGGAGCTCACCTGAAAATCTAATTAAGCAGAACATGCATGCCTCAAGCATTGGTAGTAATAAAGGGTTTCCTGGGCTTTCTCTGTATTGCTATCCCCTGCTCAAATGCAGCATTCAGCTTCAAGTAGGGGCTCAGCAGATAGTTTTGACTGACAAAAGCAATTAAAAACATAATATAAGTTCCCAGCAAGCCTTGCTATTATTGTGAAGGTGTCTCACATATGTAAGGAAGTTTTAACAATCCTTTTGATTAGTCATTCATGTAAGTATTTGAATAAACATTTCAAATCAAGTCAAAATAATCACAGAGGATAATGGCACTTATGGTGTTGCTTAGATAAATTGTGATCATAGTGTGTCTTTTTTTCTTCTTTTCCTTTCATTTTTTTGGAACTGAGTAAATCCATGTAACCTCCTTTGCCTACTTTTCAGTTTCAAAATGCAAAGTAACTTGATGTTTTTCCTCTTGGTAATGATGCTCTCTAGTTGGCTCTAAGAGGAAGGCTGAATGCAACTCTTTTAACATATGTGGCTTCACAAAGAGAAGATGGAATTTCTGCAACAACCATTTTCCAAGAATTTCCTTATCACTAACAGCAAACCCATGAGAAGAGGGTAAAAGGAGAGTAGAAATGTAGGTGTGTCAGTAGAGGAGTCACCAGATGCTGCCTTTGCTCTCAATCCCAGTTATGCCTGCCTTCTCTGGAATACTTTTATTGGTAATTATCATCAATGTCCTCATACTTAGCAGATGGTCTCTTACAATTAACCCATTTGACCCCCGCCAGAAGTATTGGACACCACTGCTAACCCTGCCCTCTCTAAACCCCCTTCTTTGCCCTCTCCCAGTCTTTCCTCCTTCCTCCCTGCCCTCTCTAAACCCCCTTCTTTGCCCTCTCCCAGTCTTTCCTCCTTCCTCCCTGCCTGCCCCTGTCTGCCTTTTCTATCTATATTCCTTCCTCCACCATGCCTTAAGCCCTGATAAACCTCAGGCCTGCCCTCATGTGTCTATTTTTCTCATTCCATTCTCACCCTAGAAGAGGGCATCAGCGCCTAGATATTCCGCAAAAAAGGCTAACAACAAGCCCAATGTTCCTCTCACCAGTCTAAGATTCTTGCTCCCACAGGCCTTCGAAGGTGTGGACTTCCCCATTCCAGGCAGGCTTTCATGCCACCATCATAATGGTCTTTCTGTGCTGAAAACCCGAGGCCATCAATCTACTTAAGATGAGTCAAGTGTCTCCATCACCTTAAGAAGAGAACGAAACTCCTTGGCATGTTATACAAGGACTTCCATACTCTAGCCTTTGCTCTTGTCCCTAGCACCTTCTCTGGTCGTCACCACACCATACCTTTACCCACCCTCCCATGTACAGGTCTACCTGCAGCTTCTCGTCTCCATGACCTTCACGTGCTCTTCAATATGTTTGATTCATACCTCCCTTTCTAGACACACCAGCTTGCTAACTTCTACTGATCTTTCAAGGATGCAGTACAAACAACCTCTAAGAAACCTTCTCTGACCACTCCCACCCCAGCTGAACTCAGGGGTCTCTGAGCATAGCTCTGCTTGTTCTTCTGTGCTTCCTATGAGACACCATGGCTACACATGACTAGGTACACAGTGTTAAATTAAGCTTAACCTAAAACTGCCTCCTTACATGTTATCAGTTTGGCCCAAAAGTTTCTCCATATGTAGTAAACTATAACCTAACTGGATGTGTAAACAGACCATAACCTACTCTTACACCAATCACTGAGTTTCAGCCAATTGAAGGCAGCCAACTGTTCAAACCATGTTTAAATAAGGGAAACACCAAGCTGTAACCTATCTGAAACTACCTTGGCAAAATGTATGACAGTGAGAGAAATCTGACATAGCTGACTTCGTCTTGCTTCTAACCTCAAAATCTGTTTATGTACATTCTTGAGCATAGGCCATGTTAACTATGGGATAAATTTAGTTAGAGTTTAATGTTAAATCAAAGATGATAACGGTATTTTCTGAAACTAACCCCCTCCTTGTTCAGGGACCAAACCACATTTGTAAAACTAATAAGTTAGCCACAAGGTCAGAATTATTGTTCAAGAGTCATGTAGCTGGAGGTCACAAGATATGTGACCTCCCCAATTGTACCTAGAAATAACATCACTCTTATAAAACCCAAGATTGTTGTTTAAAGTATTTTTCAGACCCTTCATTCTGATAGACCGGCTGGCACCAACAAGATTACTAACCCATACCAAGAAATTGACATAAGTGGTCTTTTCATCCCCACCCAGGGAACTAACTCTGCACAACAAGACAGCTTCAACCCCCTATGATTCCATCCCCAACCCAACAGTCAACATTCTCCATTCCCCACTCCCCTGTCAACCAAATTATCCTTGAAAAACCCTACCCTTTGAATTCTTGGGAGAGAGATTTGAGAATTATCTACCTTCCTTCCACTTGGCTGACCCTCCAATTACTAAGTGCTTTCTTTGCTGCAAAACATGCTGTTCTCAGTGCATTGGCTTTTCTGGGAAGTAGGCAAGAATAAGCTGGTTGGTCAATTGCAAATCCAGCTGTTTTGTACCTCACTTCTGCTTTCTGTGTGTCATTTTCCTTTTTCTGTCCATAAATAATCTTCAACCACAGAGCAGCACCAGAATCTCTTGGAACCTATCCTGGTTTGGGAGGCTGCCTGACTTATGAATCATTCTTTGCTCAATTAAGCTCTGTTTAGACAACTTCAATTTGTCTAAAGTTTTCCTCTTAATAACATTTTACTTATTTCTGTGCCTCCCCCTACTGTGCCACCAACACACACTTGCCACAGGAAATATTCCACAGCAGATATTTATAAGTATTGGTGCATTAGTCCATTCTCATGCTGCTATGAATAAATACCCCAAACTGGGTATTTCTGAAGAAAAGAAGTTTAATTGACTCACAGTTCCACATGGCTGGGGAGGCCTCAGGAAACTTACAATCATGGTGGAAGGCACCTCTTCCCAGGGTGGTGGGAGAAAGAATGAGTGCAAGCATGGGAAATGCCAGATGCTTATAAAACCATCAGATCTTGTGAGACTCATTCACTATCACAAGAACAGCATGGGGGAAACCACCCCCATGATTTGATTACCTCCATCTGGTCTTGCCTTTGACACATGGGGATTATTACAATTCAAGGTGAGATTTTGGTGGGAATACAGAGCCACACCACATCAACTGGATAAATAAATGATGGTCATAGTCACACCATAAATTGTGAAGTAGGAATTCAAATGCAAGTAAGTCCAAATTCATGATTTTTTTTCATTACAATATATGGATCCCAACAAAAATGGGGATGCCATGTCCACCAAGAGAGTGACTTTGGCAGATAGTTCCATAAATAATAACAAGAGACTCCGTTTTCTACTGTTAACTTTATTGATATTTTCTGTGCATAATTATAACAATGCAATCCTATTGGTCTACCCACAAATAACAGATACTTTCAACATACAAACAAAATGTTTAAAATAACTTATTTTCCCTCTGTGTGCCACTGGTTAGAACCAGTATAGTATAAAATCCCTTTTGAGAGAATTTCCCCCTACATTCTTCATCCCAATGGGTTTGTGAAGTTTGAGACATGTTGAAGTAAGTGTGACTGTGGACTCGGGCAAATGGTTCTAAGACTTCCTTCTACCTACTTCCTCATTTTATTTCCATTTCTCTGGTAAAAGATGTTGAAAGTTCAAAGAACTCCAGTGTTGGTAAGATGAGGAAGAAATAGTCCAGACTAGAAAGCTGTTTTAGGCACAAGCATCTTAAATCACCCAGGCTAGGGAAGTTCACGAGATTTCAGACTGAAAACTCCACAGCTTCCTTTGGAAGAACTTCACAGTGTTCCATCTACAAAGAAATGCCATCCCTACTTAGGGATCAAGAGGTTTCCATAGAGGATGTGCTTTGTTCTCCAAGAAGCATCTTCAGAAGGCAGTCATGGGTGGTCCAACTGCTTTATATGCTTGCTGAGAACCATCGTGTTTTCCAGTCAACTGACTCTCAGGTTAAATGGGGAAAATGGTGATTTTTTTTTAAAGGAGTCTCCTTCTGTCACCCAGGCTGGAACGCAGTGACACGATCTCAGCTCACTGCAACCTCCGCCTCCCGGGTTCAAGCGATTCTCCTCCCTCAGCCTCCTGAGTAGCTGGGATTACAGGCATGTGCCACCACGGCCAGCTAACTTTTGTATTTTTAGTAGAGACGGGGTTTCACCATATTGGCCAGGCTCGTCTCGAACTCCTGACCTCAGGTGATGCACTCCCCTTTGCCTCGCAAAGTGCTGGGATTACAGGCGTAAGCCACTGCACCCGGCCGAAAATGGTGATTTTTAAGCTAAACTACTTTTCTTGGAAGTTGCTTCTGAATTTTTAGGGCCATAGGAAATAAAAGCACAAACACTGAATGTTATGACAAATCAGTGGAATTAAGTAAGCATTGTTGATTTCTCATGTTTAAATGCTAGTCAAGAATAGGTCGGTATAATATTTATAAATTTTGAATCCCAGAATACTTCCCTTCTAGATGAATGGCTTTTCTTTACCTGCTTTTGGGTAGATGTATCGTATCTTATTTAAGCCCAAGTTACATCTTTTTTAGCGAAGGACAAAACATTTTGGAGTGACCTACCAGCCACATGCTCTGGTTCTCATTTGCAGCATCAACAAGTACCAAAATAATAACAGGTGTAATTGAAAGTGTTTTGGCAGCCATTTCTCTCATCTTCTTCTCTCTCCTTTTTCTCTCTCTTTTCCTCTTTCCTACTACCCAACAAGCCAGGATAATATCATATTAAAGAAAAAAGATACAGATGACTAGGAAATACTTTATATGAACTAAGAAATAAAGATATGTTTTGAGTTTGGAATTAGAATCAAACATGAAGGAAAAATGAAAAAAATATGTACTTGGTGCTTACAATATACCAGAACCTTTAATAAGAATTTTGTTTACATATTCTTATTTAATCTTCAAATTAACCCTGTGGGGTAGGTGATATTTTTCTACAGATAGGAAAAATGAAGCTAACATGATTATTGCCTAATATTATACAGTTAGCAAAAGGGAAAAACCTAGATTTTTAACCCAGCTCCAATGTCCAAAGTCTAAACAACTACATCTTTCTCCCTCTTGAGATAAAAATCATGTTTTAGGCTGGGTGTGGTGGCTCACGCCTATAATCCCAGCACTTTGGGAGGCTGAAGTGGACAAATTACCTGAGGTCAGGAGTTCAAGACCAGCCTGACCAACATGGAGAAACCCCGTCTCTACTAACAATATAAAAATTAGCTGGGCATGGTGGCACATGCCTGTAATCCCAGCTACTCAGGAGGCCGAGGCAGGAGAATTGCTTGAACCGGGGACGTGGAGGTTGCAGTGAGCTGAGATCATGCCACTGCACTCCAGTTTGGGTGACAGAGCAAGACTCTGTCTCAAATAATAATAATAATAATATTTTTAATAGCAATTATCAAAAAATAAATGTTTTGATAAATATGGTTAACTTGGAGGAAAGCCCTAACATATAAGACTGGAGATTTATCTACAGGACAGTCAGGATTCAAGGGGACTTTCCAGAGCTATGTTTATTCAGAACTAAAGTACTAACTGAACTTTGAGTTACTCCTTTATAAATTGTGACACACCTGCCTGGAGTTCACTCCATCTATCCTTGGGCTAGGCATCCAGGAAGGTAGGAACCAAGAATAGAGGATAAACTTTTGCAGGTTAACCCTTCCTTTTTAATATCGTTTTCTAAACAAGTGGGATGGCCAATGACAGCCACTTACCAGCAACCTAATAGGATTCAGAATTGTAATGGGTACCAGTTCATACTAGCAGTAAAATCAGCTGAAGGAAAAAACTAATCATTGTGTGATACAAATAGGCTAGGCAGTTAACCCAAGCATTAGCAGGCTCCTTCCAGACAGCAGAGGGCACTGAATAGCAAGAGGAGAAGCCAGAGGAGGGAAACTGCATTCACAGGCTGCACTCAGTAGTTCTGACGTTCGCGACTGCTGTTCTAGTTATGTATATTGCCCTTAAAAAGAAGGAATAAGCCGGGCGCAGTGGCTCACGCCTGTAATCCCAGCACTTTGGGAGGCTGAGGTGGGCAGATCACGAGGTCAGGAATTCGAGACCAGCAGGGGCAACTAAAAATACAAAATTAGCCAGGTGTGGTGGTGGGTGCCTGTAATCCCAGCTACTCGGGAGGCTGAGGCAGGAGAATCACTTGTATCTGGAAGATGGAGGCTGCAGTGAGCCAAGATCATGCCACTGCACTCCAGCCTGGGCAACAGAGCAAGACTCCATCAAAAAAAAAAAAAAAGAAGGAATATCACAAAGTTTAATTCTCAATATCCCCTACACAACACAGAACACTTGAAATATGAAACAAAAAAAAATATTAAGGTTTGACATAATTAAATACACAGCCACTTGTTCTGAGCAATACATTTTATTCCCTGTGAGAACCACTGTTTAAAAATGAGAGAGAGAAAAATTCTGAAGACACTTTTATGGCCCAGTTATTTGCACAGCCAACCACCCTCAGTCCAATCCCGAAATTTTATCGTGGATCTGTTTACTGTGTAGGAAAAAAAAGAAGATAGCACCTGTGCTAAAATTTAGAAGGTAGGAACGGTTGATAAGAAAGAAAATTGCATCATAGTTTTTTAGGCTGTTCTATTAAATTTTTCAGGCAAAAAAATTGCTCTGAGACTGGCTATGATTCAGTTCAGCTATTTCCTGATACACTTCTGGGTTTAGTTTATGTAATAACATTCCATTTCCATGGCATGTCTTTTGTTTAAGGACCTCAGAGCACTTTAAAATGCATCATGTCCTTCATCCTCCCAACATCCCCGTGAAGTGGGTTGTAGGCAGCAGGTGGTTTCATCTGTCTTTCACAGATGAGACCCTCAAGGCCCCAGCTCAAGGCCTCTGCCACTGGCCTGCCCAGCCTCTCATTTCTTTTCTTTTTTTTTTTTTCGAGATAGAGTCTTGCTCTGTCACCCAGGCTGGAGCATGGAGGGCAGTGGCAGCACAATCTCGGCTCACTGCAAGTTCCGCCTCCCAGGTTCACGCCATTAGCCTGCCTCAGCTTCCCAAGTAGTTGGGACTACAGGCACCCACCACCGTGCCTGGCTAATTTTTTGTATTTTCAGAAGAGATGGGGTTTCACCATGTTAGCCAGGATGGTCTCGATCTCCTGACCTTGTGATCCACCCGCCTCAGCCTCCCAAAGTACTGGGATTACAGGCGTGAGCCACTGGGCCAGGCCGCTTCTTCATTTCTTAAACCTATATCTCCTCCATATAAGTCTAAACATTAAATCTTCAGGGATCTCCTTCTTCCCAGAGGGTAACATTGATGAAAGTCAGACACACAGGAGACTAAGTTTTCATTCATTCAGAAACAATTATTGAACACCAAGTGTATTCCAGACACTGTTCTAGGAACAGGGCATACAAAACAGGAAAAAAGAATCCATGTTCTTTTGGAGCTAACATTCTCATGGGGAGGTATACAATCTACATAATCAGTCAGTTAATTATATGGTATGTCAGAAGGCGATAAGTTCTCTGGAAAAAAAAAATTAAAGCAAAGTCAGGGGAAATGAGGAGGAGTGACTTTTAGGAATTGCTGGTCTCACCAACCAGGTGACATTTGAGCAACAGTTTAAAGCAATGAGCCAGGGTGCTGCCTGGGTCCCAACCTTCCAGTCAGGGGAGGAGCTTGTGTGAAGCCCTGAGGAGGGGGCTTGCCTGGAGAGTCTGAGAAAAGGGAGGCGGTCTGTGTGGCTGGAGTGGAACGAGGACCCAAGGCCAGAGAGGAGCCGGGGCAGAGGAGCAGGTTTTGGAAGCTGCCATGACATGATGGCCACTTCTTACCCCAGGCCAGGTGACATGCAGACATAAGGGAGGGTCTGAGCAGAGAGCTATCACCTTCTACTTGTATGCAGAAGCCTAGAAGAATGTGGACGCTTTATTTGAGATGTTTGTTTTTTCAGAACAAGAGGATTTTGTTTTGATTTTCCACATAGAAAATTCTGGTAAAATATTAAATACATCTTTTTTTCCTTCAAATTATGCAAATGTACTAGTTTCCTGGGGCTGCCTTCACTAAGCACCATAAACTGGGCGTTTTACAACCACAATTAAACACTGGAGGCTAAGACTTCAAAGCGCAGGTGTTGGCAAGACCATGAACCCTCCGAGCCCTTCCTTGGCTCTTCCTAGCTTCTGGTGGTGTGCGGACAATCAGTGGCCTTGCGTGGCTGGCAGCTAAGTCAGTCTCTGCCTCTGTCGCCATGTGGCCTCTCCCTGAGTGTTTCTCTTCTCTTATAAACACACCAATTATATTCGATTAGGAGCTCAACCTACTCCAGCACAACCTCATCTTAATGTAACTACGGGCACACCTTGTCTTATTACGCTTCACTTTCTTGCCCTTCGCAGAAATTGCATTTTTTACAAATTGAAGGTTGGTGGCAACCCCGCAACAAGGAAGTCTATTGGTGCCATTTTTCCAGCAGCATGGGCTCACTTCATGTGTTTGTGTCCCATTTTGGTAATTCTCCCAATATTTCACCCCTTATTATTACTATTATTTTGTATGTCTTGGCAGTCTGTGGTCCGTGATCTTTGATGTTACTATTGTAATTGTTTCAGGGCATCATGAACCACACCCAAATAAGACAGTGAACTTAATAAATATTGTATGTGTTCTAAAAGTATATAAACTGCACCATGGACCGTTAGTTTCTCCATTTCTCTCCCTCTCCTGGGGTTTTCCTATTGCCTGAGACACAACATATTAAAATTTGGCCAATTACTAACCCTACAATGGCTTGTAAGTGTTCAGGTGAAAGGAAGAATCACATGTCTCTTGCTTTATATGAAAAGCTGGAAATGATTAAGCTTAGTGAGGAAGGCAGGTCAAAAGCTGAGACAAGCTGCAAGCTAGGACTCTTGCACCAAACAGCCAAGTTATGAATGCAAAGGAAAAGTTCTTGAAGGAAATAAAAAGTACTACTCCATTGAACACACAAATGATAAGACAGTGAAACAGCCTCATTGCTGACATGGAGAAGGCTTTAGTGGTCTAGACAGAAGATCAAACCAGCCACAGTACTCCCTTAAGCCAAAACCTAATCCAGAGCAAGGCCCTAACTCTCTTCAATTATGTGAAGACTGAGAGAGGTTAGGAAGCTGCAGAAGAAAAGCTGGAAGCTAGCAGAGCTTGGTTCATGAGGTTTAAAGAAAAAAGCCAGTTCTGTAAAATAAAAGTGCAAAGTGAAGTAGTAAGTGCTGATGTAGAAGCTGCAGCAAGTCATCCAGAAGATCTAGTGAAGATCATTAATGAAGGTGGCTACACTAAACAACACATTTTTAATGTAGATGAAAGAGCCTTCTATTGGAAGAAGATACCTTCTAGGACATTCACAGCTAAAGAGGAGCAGTCTATGTCTGGTTTCAAGTTTCAAAGGGCAGCCTGACTCTCTTGTTAGGAGCAAATGCAGCTGGGGACTTTAAGTTGAAGCCAATGCTTACTTCCCATTATGAAAACCCTAGGGCCCTTAAAAATTATGCTAAATCTACTCTGCCTGTGCTCCAGTAATGGAACGACAAAGCCTGGATGACAGCACATCTGCTTATCACATGTTTTACTGAATATTTTAAGCCCACTGTTGAGAGCTACTTCTCAAAAAAAAAAATTCTTTTCAAAATTACTGCCCATTAACAATGCAGCTGGTAACCTAAGAGCTCTGGTAAAGATGTACAAAGAGATGAATGCTGTTTTCCTGCCTGCTAACAAAGAATCCATTCAACAGCCCCTAGATCAAGGAGTAATTTTGACTTTTGAGTCTTATTATTTAATAAATATATTTCGTAAGTCTATAGGTGCCCTAGGAATTGATTCCTCTGATGGGCCTGGGCAAAGTGAATTGAAAATTTTGTGGAAAGGATTCACAATTCTAGATGCCATTAAGAACACTCATGGCGCAGGACAAAGGGAAGTGAAGCCGGAACTGCAGCCACTTTTTCTGCCCGTGGAAAGACCGTCTTATGCTCCACCTCTCACCCCAGCTCCTGCAACACAAATGCCCAGCACACCAGGGTTTGTGAGATACAATCCATACAGTCATCTCACCTACAACAACTACAGGCTTGAAGGGAACCCAGGCACCAACAGCCAGGTCACAGCATCCTCTGCTATTACCATACCAAAACCCCCAAAGCCACCAGATAAGCCGCTGATGCCCTACGTGAGGTACAGGCAGAAAGGTCTGGGACCAAGTAAAGACTTCCAACCCTGACTTAAAGTTGTGGGAGATTGGCAAGATTATTGGTGGCATGTGGTGAGATCTCACTGGTGAAGAAAAGCAAGAATATTTAAATGAATACGAAGCAGAAAAGACAGAATACAATGAATCTATGAAGGCCTATCATAAATCCCCCATATACCTTGCTTACATAAATGCAAAAAGTCGTGCAGAAGCTGCTTTAGAGGAAGAAAGTTGACAGAGACAGTCTTGCGTGGAGAAAGGAGAACCGTACATGAACATTTAGCCTCCTGAAGATCCAGATGATTATGACGATGGCTTTTCAATGAAGCATACAGCCACCGCCCATTTCCAGAGAAACCACTGCCTCATCAGTGAAATCCTTAGTGAGAGTGTGGTGCCAGACGTTCGGTCAGTTGTCACAACAGCTAGAATGTGGATCATCAAATGACAGGTCCAGTCCTTAATTATTCATCAGCGAAAACTAGAAGCTGAACTTCTTCAGATAGAGGAAATGACACCAGGAGAAGAGGAGGAAATACTTGGAAAGCACAGATTCATTTAATGATGAACTTAAAAGTTTGTGTGGTCTGAAAGTAGAAGTGGATATGAAGAAAATTGCAGGTGAGATTGCACAGGCAGAGGAACAGGCCCGCAAAAGGCAGGAGAAAAGGGAGAAGGAGGCAGCAGAGCAAGCTGAGCACAGAGCAGCATTGTTCCTAAGGAAAAGCAAGCAGCCAGCAAAGGCGAGGAGAAGAAAGATGACAAGAACATTCCAATGGAGATGGAGGAGGCACGCTTTGAAGAAATGACAGAGAGCCAACAGAACAGTGAAGAAGGCACGTCTACTCCTGAGGACAAGGAGAGTGGGCAGGAGTGGGTAGACAGTATGGCAGAGGAAGGAACCAGTGATAGTAACATTGGATCGGACAGCAACAGCACAATAGTGCAGGAGCCACCAAAAGATCCCATACCAGAAGATGAGAAAAAAAGAGTAAATCTTGCCTTGTTTTATGTGTTGTAAATAGTTTTTTAAATGAAAAAATGTTTTTGATTAAAAAAAAAAGAACATTCATGATTAATGGGAGGAGGTCAAAATATTCTCATTAACAGGAGTCTGGAAGAAGTTGATTCCAGTCCTCATGGATGACATTGAGAGGTTCAAGGCTTCAACGGAAGAAGTCACTACCGATGTGGTGGAAACAGCAAGAGAACTAGAAGTGGAGCCTAACTCAGTGAGACATGATGGAATTGTTGCAATCTCATGATAAAACTTGAACAGATGATTAATTTATGGATGAGCAAAGAAAGCGGTTTCTTGAGATGAGATCTACTCCTGGTGAAGATGCTACGAACATTATTGAAAAGACAAACAATTCAGAATATTATATACACTTAGTTGATAAAACAGCAGCAGCGTTTGAGAAAATTGACTCCAATTTATAAGGAAGTTATACTGTGGGTTAAATGCTATCAAACAGCATGACATACTACAGAGAAATCTTTCCAGAAAATGAGAGTCAATTGGTGTGGCAAGCTTCATTGTTGTCTTATTTTAAGAAACTTAAAAATTGTAAGAAATTGTCACAGCCACCCCAACCTTCAGCAACCACCACCCTAAACAATTTGTGTGACTCAATTTATTGCAACATTTGCTTTATTATGGTGGTCTGGAACTGAAGCCACAATATCTCTGAGGTATGCCTGTAATTCCACCTGCAATGAGCCTATTTCCAAATAAAGTAACCTCTGAGGTACTGAGGATTAGAATTTTAACATATCTTTGGCAGGAGGGAGGAAACAATTCAACTCTTAACACTACGTCTCCCGACAATTTCAACTTTGGCCCCTGGGTTGAACACCTGCCTCCTGAGGATCAGGGTAGTCAGCAAACATCCAGAGTGTAGATTAGCTGTGGCACTAGGAATCTCGGCAAAAGATTTGGGATGGTACCCAGCACCTGCTCTCAAAAGCTCATCCCTCCATGATGCGCTGGGGAGGAGACTCTTTCCCAAGACCCAGCTGGGTATGCAATGCTACAAACGTCTCTGCTGCATTTCTTTTCTGGGTTGGTACTTTTTCTAAGAGAGAGAGAGAGAGAGAGAGAGTGCATGTAAAACAGAGAGAGAGAGAAAGGAGAGAGAGAGAATCATTGTGCCTTTGTGTTTGTATATGTGACTGCGTGTGGATGTATGCGTGCCTCGGCCTGTGTGCCTCTGTGTGTGACTCTATGGGTGTGACAGTATGCAACTGTGTCATAACACTGTGTATTTACATCTGTGAGTACATGTGTCTGTGAGTGTGTGATAGAATCTGTGACTATGGATACAGGTTTGTGCAGGCACGTGTATGTCTGTCAGTATTTACACACGTTTATAGTACAGGCACAGAAGCTGTTGAAATGCTCAATGCTATATTGAGCAAATTGAAGAAGGAACAGGTATGGATTGTCTGGGACTGTGAGCCCCAAAGAGAAGCTTCATCTCTCCAGAATCCATTGGTGTTCACACTCACTTCTCATTAGGAGAGAGCAACCCCAATGGCCTTGCCCTTACCCAGAAGCTGAAAAGACAACAGCAGAACTTCTGCAAAAGGCCAGATCTTCTAAACTCACAGCCAGCACAATCATTTGGAACAATCTGGTAGCAGGAAAAATAAGTCATAGATAAGTTAGGCAGATGCCTCCAACTAACCAAGATAATCCAGAAACTCCCTCATTAAATCTGGCTCACAGGAAAGTGAAAGAGAAGAATGACTGTCCTACATTCATCAAAATGCACATGAAACAAAAAGATAATGTATGAGAAGGTGCTTGAAAAAGGTGAAAGTACTACACAGAAGCAGAATATTGTTTGAAAGCTGAACACCCAATCTTTATTGAGATGGCCTGTAGAGGGGAAGAAGCAGGGTGCTCCGCTGAGGCTACTCTGGAAAAGAGGATGACATCCTGGGACGTAACCCTATAGCACCAGCCAGAGTGTGGAGGCAAGGTGGCCTGGGTAGCCTGGGCCAGCACCCCTAGCCTTCTCACCAGTTTCGTAGAGACCTCCTCCTATCAGCTCTTAGCCATAGAGTAAGAGCCACAGCGTGCTCTACAGCTTTGCTCTAAACATTTTCAACCCATGGAGCCAATAGGGAGGTCATGGTCATGATGAACGAAGCACAAGGTTGTCAACTACAGAAGAATGGTAACAACATTTTGATAGACTACATAGCAAGCATTGGTCACAAAACTCATTTGATCCTCACATCAACTTACAAGGTAGAATGACTGTCATTCCCCTTTTACAGATGAGAAAACAGACACACAGAGCAATCGGGTAACTAACTCAGGGTCCACAGCTGGTAAGTAGCAAGGAAAGCACTTCCACAGAGATTAGTTATATTGTAAGTCTTCCTTAGTTTTCTTGAAGCATAGACCAGGTTACCATCCTTCTTTCCTGGCAGCTATTAGATAGATAATGCTAACTAAGTCTTTGTTCTAAAAAAATGTTCAACCTTACATCATACCTGTGCATTTGAGTAGCGTTAGACACAAGACTAAGTCATCCCACATCTCCGAACCACCAATATCGAAGCCGTGGAATTTAAAGACAAGCAATGCCCTTTGAGGCACCCAGGGTAGGGAATTCCATAGGCATTTTTTTTCCTTATCATCAATTTAATGATATACCATGAATCATTGAACCTTTCTGGCCTACCTTTCCCTATCTGAGATTTGGGGAGTTTTGAATAGGCTAAGCTCTAGTATTCTGCTGTACCCTAGGAAGGTGTGTCATGAAAAACAATCAAGACTCTGCCGGGAGAGACCTAGGATTTGCACAGATCTTTGTAACCAAAAAACATTAGACAGTCATCAGACATTATGATTGTTTTATGATTATAAAGCCTAGGCAGGAAGCACTTACAAATGTTAACAGGAGCGGCATCAAAGCCCTGGCCATGTAACTCTTATAGGAGTCTTTAGTCAAACAGAACTCTATTTTTGGAGGGAAGTAAATGAACAGCCCGGTTTTCCAGCTCCTAGGCCCTGACCCAGTGCATCCCAAATATTGCAGGCATCACAGAGGACCAGGCAGGGCTCTCCTTAGTATTGTTTCCCATGACAGTTTAAGATCTGATCTTCAGATTGGCTGAGTGGAGCCTGGCCCTCTCTTTCTCCTCCTTCCTGCCTCTCTCACCACCTCCCACCCCATCAGCCCCATCAGTTCAGGCTGCATTTTTCCAGTCTAGCCCCATGAGCCCATGATCACAAAATTGTGGCAATACAGACAGACTTGAGGATTCCAGCATTGCCAGGGAGGGGAAAACAAGGGTCTTGTGTGCATCCTCCCCAAACTGGCATTCCTTTCAATATTAGGAACTCTGCTAAAAAAATAAATAAGTGCAAGAAGCAGCCCTGTCCAAAAGAGGGAGATTGATGAGCCTGGTGCCTGCAGAGGCTCTCGTCTTCCTTTCAGGGATTCATCAAGATTCCCCGCGCTGGGTCCTGGAGCACCCAGAGCTGAGCCCTGGCTTGGAGGCGCTGTAGCCCTTCCCAGACTCGTTTCCCCTCTTCCCTCCCGTCCCTGCCTGTTCCTCCCTCCTAGGGCCCTTAGCTCCTCCTAGATGTTGTTTACAAGGAGCTCCCCAGCTCTCTAAATTAAGCCCCGTAAGGTCTGCCACTCTTGGAGGCCATGTGTTGAGCCCCATGAGCCGAGTTGTGGCATTTATTAGCGCAAGAGGAAAAGTGCTTGTCTCATCAGAGAGCAGCTGGAGGCAGTGAGCTTTTCAAAGGCATGTAACTGACCTCTAGCGCAGCTGCAGGATGCCTGAAGATTGCAGACTCAGAGGATTCTCATCCTCTCTCTCTCTCTCTCTCTCTCTCCCTCTTCCTTACTTTCTCCCTCTCTCTCTTTCTCCCCCTCTCTCTTTCTCCCTCTCTCACCCTCCTCCTCCTGCCAGCCTCCACCCTCCACCCACTCCTTTCAGTAGAGTCCTGACCTTGCAGGCCTGAATCCCCCCCATCCATCTCCCTACATTGTGTCTCTCCGGTGAACTCATGCTGGGAGATTAATTGCTGCTATCACCCCTAATCCATCACACTTCCCAAAGATTGTTTTGACATCTAGTTAATTTTTGGCTGATGATTTATCAAATTCTTATTACTGTGCTCTGAAGGGGCTCATTTATTGTGTTGATTCATGGTAATGATAAAAGGGAAGCATTTTGAATTTTAACTACATTTCCCTCATGCTTCTTCTACCCAGTGTAGTAAAAAAAGAAAAGGGGAGGGGGAGGGGACTGTAGCCAGGAAACTCTTAAACAATTCAGAATGTGGAAGGAAAGGGAGAGGGGAGAAAATTCTTCCATTATGTGCGCAAAAGCCAAAATGCTGTAAAAGGTTACACACACATACATACACACACACACACACACACACACACACACACACACACGAAGTATTTTTAGCATCTGGGTCTGAACTACGTTTGGAAAGCTTATACCCCTAAGGCTCTTAAACATTGATTGCCCTGTAATATTACCTAAATGTCTACTACCACTTTATTCAAATAGAACTTAATGGTAAATGACTTCAGTCATGTACCAGTGGAGATGTAAAATGACTGTCTCTGCCAGGCCAGATGGCCATCCTACCTTTTAAAAGTGCAAAGAGACTTTCCTTCACTGCTTCGGCCACTCTCCAGACCTTCCAAATTTCTCATTTGCCACTCAGCTTTTTAAAATAAACCAGATGGTGAGGAGCCCAAGGCCAACGTTAGTTACTCTTTTTGCAAAGACTGAAGGAAGTTAATATCTCAAGGATTGAGCTCAGAAGAGACTTGGGAGCCCCAGGGAAAAGGCACTGTCCCATAATCACAGGGTTGGCTGTAGGGGATACAGTTAACCCAGGCAGAAGGGCGAGGGAACACCCTGCACCACCAGGGACAGACTCTAGACCATGCGTGTCCACAAAGAATCCTGATGAAAAGGAGAGAACGTGGGAGAATAAAAGACTATCATAAGTCTTTTCATCAGGAATCTCCAACAGGAAGCTTCCAGCAAAAATATTCCTTATACGAGCTTTCATATTCCATATATGACTATATGAGCTTCCATATATAGACAAGCTTTCTAGAGATAGAACAGACCCATATTTGGTTGTCCTTAGCACAAGAATGTATCAGGAAAGTGTCCATCCCATCTCTCCACACTCCTCTTGATACCTGCCCCAGGTTTCACACCCCCACCCACTGCCCTTCCACTACCCAGCCTTCCCTTTTTCTTTCCATCTCACAAGGTGAGTGCATCACTGGAGAAAGTCAGGATTACCCCCAAATCTTTCTTGCATCAATAGGTGGTAAAGACCTGTGCAGGGGAGTGCAGGAGTTTCACAGGTGCCATGACTTTGTGTTTAAGATCATGTGGAGGGGAGAAAGTATCAGGTACCTTCCCTGCACCTTTAGGAATAAATAGTGAAGCTTTCTCTCTTTTCCATTTTTTGAAAAATTATATAAATTATCTGTCTCTTAAACATAGTGAAATTCATATATAAAATAATCAAGGCCTAGAAATATATATAGTTATATATCCTATACACACACACACACACACACACACACACACACACACACATACACACATATATATATATATATACACACACGCTAGGGGGAAGAAATAATTGAAATTATTTTAGTTTTAAAATAGCTATCAATTTTGTCAGATTTTAGTTTATATTTTGCCAATTTAGATATTGTTTTCTAAATATGTTCTATTTTGCCTCTGTTTACTAAAATATTGACTCAATTGCTTAAACATTTCTTTTAACATTTAAAAATATCTAGGGTACCTATAGTTCTGGCTTGTTTAAATTTATAATGCACATTTTTGCATCTTTATTTATCTTTTTTTTTTCTTTCTGAGACAGAGTTTTGCTCTTGTTGCCCAGGCTAGAATGCAATGGCATGATCTTGGCTCACTGCAACATCTGCCTCCCAGGTTCAAGCGATTCTCCTGCCTCAGCCTCCCAAGTAGCTGGGATTACAGACATTCACCGCCATGCCTGGCTAATTTTATATTTTTAGTGGAGATGGTGTTTCTCCATGTTGGTCAGGCTGGTCTCGAACTCCTGACCTCAGGTGACCCACCCACCTCGGCCTCCCAAAGTGTTGGGATTACAAGCATGAGCCACTGTGCCGGGACACATCTTTATTTATCTTGATCAGTCTTGCTAGAGATTTGCCCACTTTGTTGACCTCTTCCAGTCTGAGTAAGGGCACCATCATTCAACTAGCTACGCAGGCTAAAGTCCTGAGCACCATACTGGCTGCATTTCATGCCTTACATCCAATCTATCTACAAATCATTTAGGGTGCATCTGGCATCTGGTGACTCCTTAGCACCTCCCTCTTGAGCACCCTGGGCCATCCCTCCCCAGCCTATGTGCCATGCTCCTCCTGTTTCCTCCATCCCCAGCCAAGAGCACTGACCACCCATCCTCCCTCTCCCCAACCCCAGCCTCCCTTTATTATGTCTGAGGTGAAGCAAGTCCCAACTGGGCACCATTATCTCCACTTCTGCTCTTTCCCTAGGGCAGTTGATCTGACCAGTTATCTCCTCTGTGCTCCCCACTGTCATCCCCCAACTCACTCCCCCCACCACAGAACCTTCTCTCATCAACATCAAAGCAAAGTCAAGTTTAATGCAGCCTACAAAGAAAAATACCCCTTGGTTCTTGTAGCTTCCACCCTCCCTGACTCTACCCCATTCACAGCCAACATTCTCAGAAGAGGCATCTAACTCCTTGTCTCCACTGCCTCATCTCCATCTCACTCCTTAATGCACCTTGGGCATGATTGCACCCCACTACTCCATCTAACTAGCTCTTGCCCAAATCCCAATGCCTCCTTACTGCTGTACTTCTCAAGCTTGATTTTCCTGACTCTTGGCAGCATCTGACACCACTGACCCCACCCTTTTTCCTGAAATGCACCACCCCTCAACCTGTCCCCTCTCTCCAGCAGCCAAGGTTGGTATCTTTTAGTGTTTTATTGCTCCCACCTCATGTTAGCTCTTGGGTATCTTCTCCCTTGGATTCTATGACTCTGCTCATGGCTTTCTCTTATCTCTCTGACTTCTAAGTAGTCTCCTTTTTCTCAGTCCATACCTTCTATAACATCCCTTAAATGTGATTTTTCCCAGTGTTCTGGGCTCAGCCCCCTTCTTTGCAAAATCTCCCTTGGGTGGTCCTGTCCTGGCTCCAATAGTCATCTATAGGTTGCTGTCTTGCAGATATAGATGTTGTGATTAAACTTATAAGTTAATATTCTTTCTATGAATTGAGGAAAATGTTATTAATTCAAGTCATCTTTTATATGTTTTCATAAAAGTATAATATTTTCTTCATGAGTTCCTGCCTATTTTCTGTCTGATTTTTTTTCCCAGAAATTAAATGTAATTACTATTCACATATGTTCTTTTCTTTTCTTTTGAGACAGAATCTCATTCTATCACCCAGGTTGAAGTGCAGCGGCACAATCTCTGCTCACTGCAAGCTCCTCAACCCAGGTACAAGTGATTGTTGTGCCTCAGCCTCCTGAGTAGCTGGGACTACAGGCGGGTGCCACTACTCCCGGCTAATTTTTGTCTTTTTAGCAGAGACAAGGTTTCACCATGTTGGTCAGGCTGGTCTCAAACTCCTGACCTCAAGTGATCTTCCCACTGTGGCCTCCCAGAGTGCTGGGATTACAAGCATGAGCTACCACGCCCAGCCTATTCACATATTTTCTAATAGGTTGTTTTTAATGTAGATGGAAGCTACAAATGTTTGTATATTTATTCTGTAACTAGCCACCTTATTAAGCACTCTTCAAAGATAATAGATTGGCAAATTCTTCTTATACATTTTCCAGGTTATTAAGAATATAATCTGTAAGTCACAGCAACTGTTTTCTTCCCCTTTCCAATATTTAAGCCTCATATCTTCTTGTGCTATTTCTGGGACTTTCAACATACCATTGAATGATGATGCTGGTAGCCAGTATGTTTAATTTTTCCTAGATTTTAATGGGACTGTCTCTAGTGTTTCATTATTTAAATATAATTATGGCTTTTTATTTAATATGCATATCATTCATGGCATGAAAGTATCTTTATACTTCATGTTTAGTAAGAATTTTGTTTGTAATTAATCAGGAATGGAAATTATACAAATTCTTTTGGAGCATCTATCGAGATAATATTATAATTTTACTTGGCTATCTGTACTGGTGAATTTTATTTAAAACAGATTAATGTTAAAGCATCTTTGCATCTCTGGAACAATCCTTTCTTGGTCATGTATAATCATTCTTAATATTGTGTTAGATATAATGTGGTAATATTTTATTAAAAATTTTTCACTTATACTCAAAAGTGAGATTGACCTATAGCTTTTATATCTAAAGTATTAATTGTCATGTTTTAGGTGTAATATTTTGACAGCTAGTCAGTTGGGAAGATTTCCATCTTTTCCTATGCTCTGGACTGGATTAAATAGCATAGGAAGTATTGTCTCCTTAAATATTCCCCCATAAAATAGTTTTGGAAAATAATTACTTTATTGATTTTTCACATGCATTCATACTTATGGTTTACTTGCTAAATAGTCCATAATCATATATAGTATTTGCCTTTTAATTCTGCACAAAAGTGGTTTCTCTTTTTTCTTCTAATGGCCAACTGTTTGGATTGCTTATGTATATACTTTTATTTGTATTTTTAAAATTTTATTTTTGCATCATGATCAGTGGGGCCTGTAAAATTTCTAGTCTTTGAATTTATTGGAGATTTCTCTTTTTACCCAGAGTAAGATTAATTTTCATAAACATAGCATGGATGTTTCAAAAGAAGATATATTTCTATTTAGAAAGTACATGCTTCTGTATATATTAAGAGATATGATATATGTTTTATTAGATCTGATGTCATTATTTACCCAAACATTGTTGAAATTACATGCTGGATTGTAAATAACACTCCTCCTAGTCCTTGGCACAACTATATGCTTTTTCCTATTTTTTAAAATAGGAAGTTCATTTTCATTGTATTCTGCGAGGCAGAAATTAGACATCCATAATCACAACTCCATTTTATCCAGGAGTTCCAGAGAAATCTTTCTAAAATGCAAATATCATAATAAAACATTTTGTCTAAAACTTTTAAAATATTTCATTTCCACTTCTTAGTGCCTATTTCTTCCCCACTTGTCCTTGGGTCAAGGTGCAGACTCCTTTAAATGACCCCAGGTTCTGGATCCTGCTTGCCTCTCTCTCACCTCCTTTCTTGTCTCTCCTATTTTTTTATTTTTATTTTATTTTATCTTAATTTTTTGAGACAAGATCTGGTTCTGTCGCCCAAACTGGAGTGCAATGGCATGATCAAGGCTCACTGCAACCTCAACCTCCAGGGCTCAAGCCATTCTCCCACCTCAGCCTCCCAGGTAGCTGGGACCACAGGGGTGCACCACCATGCCTGGATAATTTGTGCAGTTTTTTTGTAGAGATCGGGTTTCACCATGTTGTCCAGGCTGGTCTCAACTGGTGAACTCAAGCAATCCGCCCACCTCGGCCACCCAAAGTGCTGGAACAGGCGTTAGCCACCGTGCCCGGCTGCTCCTCCTCATATATAACTTAATTCATTAGTCATAGAATAAATAACTCTTGTAGTTCCACATTTCTTTCTTCTTGTTTTAGGGGTTTTGTACCTGCTACTCAGAACCCAGAACATATTACCTACCTTCTGTTTTGGCCTAGTTAGATCTTACTTGTCCTCTAGGACTTAGTTTAAATGTCCGTTCCCATTTCCGGACTGTGAGATGAAGCTTCTGGAAGCTCCCTCTGATTTCAGCTCGTCCTTTTTGCTGTCTTTAGCGTACATCTCATTGTGCTATGATTGCCTCCCTTCCTAATTAGGCTATAAGCTCCTGTGCCCAGAGATTGGGTGACCTATTTAGTGCCTAGGGTAGTGCCTCTCATAAAATCAGTGTTCTACAGAATCACGTCCAGGATCAGGCTGCTAAATTAGTTCCAGCCCCACCATTTGTGAGTCCGCTGCGCTTTTTACCAGACACTGGACAGAACTGAGCTTACAGGTTGAACAGCTTGTGAAAATAATGATTACAACTGACATCTTTGAGTACTGACTACTTTTCAGGTATTGAACAGAGGTATTATTATTCAGGGACAGCTTCATGGGTGTGTGACCAGTGAAGTTTCACAAGGACACCATGTTCAGTAAGAGTCTCATTTTCAGAGCCTGGTCACCATCTTGAAATTTGTGTCCCATAGGTAAAATCTGATGGGACAATGAAGTGTATGTTGGCAGCTGTTTGGAGTGTCATCTCATGTGTGGTCCCACGTCTGTCTGCACCCCACCCATACATGTCTCCAGGATGGGTTCTCACTTGCCTGCTCCCCCAACCCTGCCCAGTAAGTGCTGTCATTCCCTGCTCCTGGTGGCAGCCTGGGCACAGCAAGGGTTAGCATCAGGCACTTACACCCTGCATGCCAATCATAGGGTGGGGCCCTGGGCACCTGGGAGGGTCTGCATTGCCCTGAAAATGTCTCTGTTGTCCTAGGGAGCATGACATTAAGTGGCAAAGAAAAAACACTACGAGAGGTTGACAGAGAGACAATAAAAGAAAGGAAAAAGCTTTCCTGCCTTTTCTTCTTACACAGGAGCCCCATGGATTATGTAGCCAGCCCTGCTGCTATCATTCTTATTTCAAAGATAAGGAAACCAGAGCCACACTGCTAGTCTTATATGGTGACTCTGTGAAAATGAGAAAGACATCCCCTGTAGGCAGACCAATTATGAAAGCACACTTCTTTTTATCTGGCTTCACAAACAGAATGCTGGATTTCAGACCATTCTTGCCAGTTTAGCCAGATTCCTTTATGTAGGGCACAAAACACACAATCATCTGCATTAACCCTGAAGGAAATAAGGGGATAAAACCTACTCAGGCAACAGAGCTCCTAGATAGTGCATTGATATCCAAACCTATGCTTTCTGGCTTCAGAATCTGTGCTCTAAACTATAATACAAGTGTTTCCAAGTTTGCCTGGATATATATGTATGAGTTATCTTTTGAAATACAAAT
The DNA here is from genome assembly GCF_000001405.40 of Homo sapiens. Taxonomy (NCBI): domain Eukaryota; kingdom Metazoa; phylum Chordata; class Mammalia; order Primates; family Hominidae; genus Homo; species Homo sapiens. The sequence continues at coordinate 37,107,505 of NC_000008.11, forward strand.
TTCCAGTCTCTACCTAATACAATGGAAATCAGACTGTCTCAGGGAAATGTCTGGGAAGCAAGTTATATTTTTTAACAAGTGCTACAGGTGATGCTTATTATTTTAGAAGCTATGGAAACATTGTTATACTACACAGATTTTACAGGATCTGAGTATTTAATTTGCAAAGGACACAACCAGAAAGTACATAACAGATCCAGACAGGCAGAAATGTGAAAAATAAAAATCTCAGCCAGTGGCAAAGTATTATGGTCCAAGGAAGAACATGTCTTGGTTTTGTTGTTGCTCTTAAAATGTGTGCTATTGGCCAGGCACAGTGTCTCATGCCTGTAATCCCAACACTTTAAGAGGCCAAAGTGGGTGGATCACGAAGTCAGGAGTTCGAGACCAGCCTGGCCAACACAGTGAAACTGCATCTCTACTAAAAATACAAAAAATTAGCCGGGCATGGTGGTAGGCACCTGTAATTCCAGCTACTTGGGAGGCTGAGGCAGGAGAATCACTTGAACTCAGGAGGCAGAGGTTGCAGTGAGATGAGATCATGCCATTGCACCCCAGCCCATGCAACAGTGTAAGACTTCGTCTCAAAAAAATAAAATAAAATAAAATAAAATAAAATAAAATAAAATAAAATAAAATAAAATGTGGGCTATATTTACTTTATTTTTTACAAAATCCCATATCTTCAACACAATAATTTTCTTCTAAATTGAAAGGTAATTAGAAAAGGATGACAGAACTTCCCCTTCTGTTCCATAATGAAGTATTTGAATGAAATTGGTCTTATCACCATAAAATCCTACAAAACTGAACAAATATGTGAAACAACCCTCTTCAGACAAGACAGTACAGGTAGTAGGGGACTGTGAACCCTGAGAGAAGGGAAATACTTGAGATGAACCATGCAATCATCCAGGTATCCTGTCCTGAGGCTTTTATGAAGCCCTAGTCCAGGGAGAGAAAACCTAAATAGAATAAGCAGAGTGAAGAGCTAAGAAGACCAAGACTGGAGTTCAGAGAGGTTGTGGAAGCTTACATTTATTAGGAAGAATACCAACAAACTGCACAAAGAGCTCCAGAAATCCACATGAGGAAACCAGGGAGTCTTTGGCTGACATTAAATTACACATGTGTAGTGTGAGTATCTACAAGGCTAGACAAAGACAACTCTCTGGAAAATGTAACCTGAACAACTAAAGCTCACAAAGAGTGGGGAAGTGTTGAGTTATAATCAACCTGAATAAAAGAGTTTTCATTGAACACTCAGCATATTCAGTAAAGATGCCAGAAGGCCATGACTTAGAGGTAGAGTTACATTAGTCTTAGTATAAAGGCAATTTTAGACCTGCCTTTAAAAAAAATCTTATAATAAATCCTCAAAAGCATTAGAATAATTCACAAGTAAATTAAGTGCCTGTTAGAACAAAACTCAACACTAATTAAAAGAAGAAAACAAAATTCAGGCATTCAACAATGCAAGAATTAAAATGTCCAACACTCATTCAAAATTACTAGGCATACAAAGAAGAAAACAACACTTTTTTAAATCAATTACAAAATATTACAAATCAACAGATTACTCTGTTTACTACGTTCAAGCATTTAAATGAAAATATGACTGTAATGAGGAATAAAATGGCAACTGTAAAAATTAATAAAGTGGAAATGCTATGTCAAAAATACAAAATCTGAAATTAAAAATTCACTGGAATTAATATCAGATTACGCATAGCAGAATAAAATAAAAGTAAGTTTGAAGGCATAGCAATAATGATGATCAAAACCGAAGCATTTAGAGAAAAAATGCTGGGAAAAAAACTTATTAAAACCTTAGTTGTTCTTGAAACAATATCCAGTAGTCAACATATAAGTAATGGAGTTCCAGAGAAGACAGTGGAAGCAAGCAAAATAAACTTCTTAAATAAATAATGGTGATATTTTTTAAATATTCCATGAAAAATAGAAATTAATGGATCAAAGGTAATCCAGAGACCCTTAGGAGAATAAACACAAAGAAAACAATTCATTATTTTAAAGTGTTTTGAAGCCACAAAATACTTGCAAACTGAATCCAGCAGCACATCAAAAAGCAAATCCACCGTGATCAAGTAGGCTTTATCCTTTGGAGACAAGGTTGATTCAACATATGCAAATTAATAAATGTGATTCATCACATAAACGCAACTAAAGACCAAAAACACATAGCTATCTCAATAGATGCAGAAAATACTTTCAATAAAATTAACATCCTCTCATGTTAAAAACTCTCAATAAACTAGGAATTGAAGGAACATACCTCAAAATAATAAGAGCAATCTATGACAAACCCACAGACAACATCATACTGAATGGGCAAAAGCTGGGAGCATTTCCCTTGAAAATCATCACAAGACAAGGAAACCCTCTGTCATCACTCCTATTCAACATTGTATTGGAAGTCCTGGCCAGGACAATCAGGAAAGAGAAAGAAATAAAGGGCATCTAAATAGGAAGAAAGAAAGTCAGACTATCCCTGTTTGCAGATGACATGATTCTATATCTAGAAAACTCCATAACCTTGGCCCTAAATCTCCTTCGGCTGATAAACAACTTCAGCAGGGTTTACAGACACAAAATCAACATACAAAAATTATTAGCATTCCTGTACACCAACAACAGCCAAGCCAAGGGTCAAATCAGGAACACAATCCATTCACAATTGCCACAAACAGAATAAAATACCTAGGAATACAGCTTACAAAGGAGGTGAAAGATCTCTACAATGAGAATTACAAAACACTGCTCAAAGAATACTACCCAAAGCAATGTACAGATTCAGTGTTATTCCTATCAAATTACCAAAGAGATTCTTCACAGAAATGAAAAACACTAGTTAAAAATTCATATGGAACAAAAAAGAACCCAAATAGCCAAGGCAAAAAGAATAAAGCTAGAAGCAACACATTACCTGACTTCAAACTATACTGCAGGGCTACAATAACCCAAAGAGCATGACACTGCTACAAAAGCAGACACATAGACCAAAAGAACAGAATAGAAAGCCCAGAAAGAAGCCTGCACATCTACAACCATCTGACTGTCAACAAAGCTGACAAAGACAAGCAATGGGGGGAGGACTTCCTATCCAATAAATAGTGCTGGGATAACAGGCTAGCAATATGTAGAAGATTGAAACTGGACCTCTTCCTTATATCATATACAAAAATCAACTCAAGATGGATTAAATATTTAAATGTAAAGCCCAAAACTATAAAAACCCTGGATGACAACCTAGGCAATACCTACCTAGACATAGGAACAGGCAAAGATTTCATGATGAAGATGCCAAAACAAACACAATGAAAGCAAAAATTGACAAATGGGATCTAAATAAACTTAAGAGCTTCTGCACAGCAAAAGAAACTATCAACAGAGTAAACAGACAACCTACAGAATGGGAGAAAATATTTGCAAACTGCATCTGACAAAAGTCTAATATCCAGAATCTACAAGGAACTTAAACAAATGTACAAGAAAAAAACAAACAACCCAATTAAAATGTGGTCAAAGTGTAACCAGTGGAGGGCCTTGACTATGAGTCATCCAGGTTCTTGGCATTTTAAACAAAGAATTGGACAAAATACACAAAGAAACAAAAGAATTAAGCAAAAAAAAGTATAGATTTATTGAAACAAAACTATACTCCACAGAATGGGAGCGGGCTTGAGCAAGTGGCTCAGGAGCCCAGATTACAGAATTTTCTGGGGTTCAAACACTCTCTAGAGGTTTCCCATTGGTTACTTGGTTACATCCTATGTAAATAAAGGAGTGGCCCGTGACCAGTCTGACTGGCTCTAGGAGGGGACCAATCATTGGCTGAAGCAGAGTTACAAAGTTACATATGAAGACTTGGCCCACAACCACTCTGATTGGGGTTTTCCTTTTGATTCAGTTCTAGGAAGTCAGCGAGAACCAGCTTTAGGTTCCCCGCATCCAGACCCTATTCTTTTGCCTCAAAAGAACATGAACAGACGCTTTTCAAAAGAAGAGATATATGTAGCCAAAATCATATGAAAAAAAAGCTCAACGTCACTGATAACTAGATAAATGCAAATCAAAACCACAAAAGTAAAAAAATAACAGATGCTGGCGAGGTTGTGGAGAAAAGGGAATGCTTATATTCTATTGGTAGGAGTGTAAATCAGTTCAACAATTGTGGAAAGCAGTGTGGTGATTCCTTAAAGAGCTAAAAATGGAAACATCATTCAACCCAGCAATCCCATTACTGGGTATATATCCAAAGAAATATAAATTGTTCTATCATAAGGACACACGCACGCATATGCTCATTGCAGCACTATTCACAATAGCAAAGACATGGAATCAACCTAAATGCCAATCAATGGCAGATTGGATAAAGAAAATGTGGTACATATACATCATGGAATATTATGCAGCCATAAAAAGAATGGAGATCATGTCCTTTGCAGGAACATGGATGGAGCTCGAGGCCATTATCCTTAGCAAACTACTGCATGAATAGAAAACCAAATACCACATGTTCTCACTTATAAGTGGTAGCTAAATGATGAGAACACACGAACACAAAGAGAGAAACAACAGACACTAGGTCCTACTTGAGGGTAAATGGCAGGAGGAGGGAGAGGACACGAAAAAAAAATAACTATTGGGTACTAGCCTTAGTACCTGGTGATGCAATAATCTATACAATGAACTCCTGTAACATGAGTTTACCTATATATCAAAGCTGTACATGTACCCCTGAATCTAAAAGTTTAAAAAATGAAAAAAGTTTTTTAAAAATGCTGAGAAGGATACTTTTTAAGAGAAAAATATTTAAAATAGCCAGATAAATAAGAGACACAAAGATGAGAATACCCACTGATTTATGAAAATTAATGTAAACCAGAATACAACTAAATGTTATATAAGTGCAAACAAAAACAAAACAAACAAAAATTGTGAACCTAAAAAAATAAACTTCAAACATGAAGGTTAAAATTTTCAAACAAAAACTGAGGTTATTCCTCATAAGCAGAATTCTACTACAAAATAATATTTAAAGGGAATTATTTACACTGAAGGAAAATAATCCCAAGTAGAAATTCAGATTGACATAAAAGAATAAAATTTGCCAGAAATGGTAATTATATGTATAAATATGAAAGACATATTATTTATGTTTCAAAGGTAATTTAAAATAACAAAAATAACTATATTGTGAAATTAATAGTACATGAAGAGGTAAAATATATGACAAAAATGGAACAAAGGACAGGAAGGAGTAATATGGCGATATACCATTTTTTTGGTAATAACTTTATTGAGGTGTAATTCACACAGCATACAACTCACCCATTTAAAGAATACAATTCAATGGTTTTTAATATATTCAGAGTTGTGCAACTCTCACCACAATCAATTTTAAATATTGTCTTCAATTCAATAAGAAATCCTATACCTTTTAGCTGTCACCCTTCTACTCTTCCCATCTCCATACCCAGGCCTAAGCAACCACGAACCTATTTTCTATCTGTATAGAATTTCCTGTTGCAGACTTTCATATGAGTGGAATCATATGGTATGTGGTCTTTTGTGCCTGGCTTTTTTCACTTAGCATAATGTTTTCAAGATTCATTTATGATGTAGCATGTTGTATTAGTCAGGGTTCTCTAGAGGGACAGAACTAATAGGATAAATGTAGATATAAAAGGGAGTTTATTAAGGAGTAATGACTCACATGATCACAAGGTGAGGTCCCACTACAGGTCATCTGCAAGCTGAGGAGCAAGGAAGCCAGTCTGAGTCCCAAAGCTGAAGAACTTGGAGTCCAGCACAGTAGAAAGATGTAGCCTGGGAGACTAAGCCAGTCGAGTCTTTCCACATTCTTCTGCCTGCTTTTATTCTGGCCACGCTGGCAGCTGACTAGAAGGTACCCACCCAGATTGAGGGTGGGTTTGCCTCCCTCAGTCCACTGACTCAAATGTTAATCTTCTTTGGCAACACCCCCACAGACACACCCAGGAACAATACTTTGCTTCCTTCATTCCAATCAAGTTGACACTCAGTATTAACCATCACACATGTATAAGTACTTAATTTATTTTTATTGCCAAATAATATTCCATTACTTGGATCTACATTTTATTTGTCCATTCATCAGTTGATGGAAATTTGACTTGATTACACTTTCTGGCTATTATGAATAATGCTGCTATGAACATTTGTGTACAAGATTTTGTGCAAACATGTTTGCCACTGTCATGCCTACATAAGAGTGTAATTAATAAGTCATATGGTAATTCTATGTTTAGCCTTTTGAGAAACTATCAGACTGCTTTTCAAAGAAGTTGCACCACTTTTACTTTCCTGCTGGGAATGTATGAAGATTCCAATGACTGTATTCCCTCATAAAAATCTTGTTGTCTGTCTTTCTGATTGCAGCCATCCTAGTGGGTTTGAATTGGTATGTCACTGTGGTTTTAATCTGCATTTTCTAATGGCTTATGATGTTGACTATCTTTTAATGTGCTTATTGGCCATTTGTATATTGTCTTTGAGAAAAAGTGTATTCAGATCATTTGCTCATCTGTATATTGGGTAACTTGTCTTTTGATTACTGAGTTGTAGGGGTTTGTTTGGAAGTATACTTTTTTCATGTCCTTGCATTGTACAAAAAAAATGGTATAAGATTACAGGAATACCTCAGAGATTGAAGGTTTGGTTCCAGACTACCACAATAAAGCAAATATTGCAATAAAGCAAGTCATACAATTTTTTTTGTTTCCCAAGGCATGTAAAAGTTATTTTTACACTATACAGTAGTCTATTAAGTGTGCAATAGCATTATGTCTAAAAATAGCAAACATACCTTAATTTTAAAAATACTTTATTGATTAAAACATGCTAATAATCATTTGAGCTTTCTGGCAGTTGTAATCTTTCTGCTAGTGGAATGAATTGTAATCTTTTTGCTTTGATGTTGGTGGCTGCTAACTAATCTCAATGGTAGTCACTGAAGGTTGGGGTGACTATGACAATTTCTTAAAATTCTTAAGTTTCTTAAAATAAGACAACAATTACGTTTGCCACACCAATTGATTCTTCTTTTCCTGAAAGATTTCTCTGTAGCATGTGATTCTGTTTGATAGTATTTTACCCATAGTAGAACTTCTTTCAAAATTGGAGTCAATCATTTCAAACTGACACAGCTTTATCAACTAAGTCTGTGTAATATTCTAAGTTACTTGTCATTTCAACAATGTTCAAAGCATCTTCACCAGGAGTAAATGCCATCTCAAGGAAACACTTTCTTTGTTCATCCATAGGAAGTAACTCCTCATCCAAGTTTTGTCGTGAGATTGCAGCAATTCAGTCATGTGTGATGGAATTAAGCTGCGCTTCTAGTTCTTTTGCTATTTCTACTACATTAGCAGTTACTTCCTCCATTACAGTCTTGAACTCCTCAAAGTCATCCAAGAAGGTTGGAATCAACTTCTTCCAAACAACTGTTAATGAGGATACTTTGCCCTCCTCCCATGAATCATGAATGTTCTAAAAGGCATCTAGAATGGTGAATCTTTTCCAGAAGCTTTTCCATTTGCTTTGCCCAAATCCATCAGAGGAATCACTATCTATGCAGCTATAGCCTTACAAAGTGTATTTCTTCAATAATAAGACATAGAAGTCAAAATCACTCCTTGGGCTACAGAATGGATGTTCTGTTAGCAGGCATAAAAGCAACGTTCATCTCTTTGCACAGAGGTCTTGGGTGACCAGGTGCATTGTCAACGAGCAGTAATATTTTGAAAGGAACATTTTTCTTTCTGTAGGTCTCAACAGTGAACTTAAAGCGTTCACTAAACCATGCTGTAAACAGGTATTCTCTCATCTAGGTTTTGTCTTTCCATTTCTAGAACACAGGCAGAGTAGATTAGCATAATTCTTAGGAGCCCTAGGATTTTTGGAATGGTAAATGATCATTGGCTTCAACTTAAAGTCACCAGCTGCATTAGCCCTTAACAAGAGTGTCAGCCTGTCCTTTGAAGCTTTGAAGGCATTAACTTTTCCTCTCTAGCTGTGAACATCATTCCTCTTCCAATAGAAGGCTGTTTCATCTACACTGAAAATCTGTTGTTTAGTGAGGAAACCTTCATCATTTATCTTAGTGAGATCATCTGGATAACTCACTACGGCTTCTACATCAGCACTTGTAGATTCACCTTGCACTTTTATGTAATGGAGTTGACTTCTTATCTTAAATATCATGAACCAACCTCTGGTAGCTTCCAATTTTTCTTCTGAAGCTTCCTTGCCTCTCTCAGCCTTGGTAGAGTTGAAGAAAGTTAGGGCCTTTCTTTGGATTAGGCTTTGCCTTAAGGACATGTTGTGGCTGGTTTGGTCTTCTATCCAGACCACTGTAACCTTCTCTATAGGAGCAATAAGCCTGTTTCATTGTCTTATTATTTGTATTTTCACTGAAGTCACACTTTTAATATTTTTATCTTATTAAATTTATTATACTTATTTGTTAGCTAAAAATGTAAGTTGCAAACTTCAAGGAAAACAAAAAAGTAAAAAGAAATATAATTGACATACTAAGAAAGGTGATAGAATAAAATTATACAAAATGCTCAATTACAACCAGAGGAGGCAGAAAAAGAAAAAAGGAAAATCAAAGAACAAATATATAGAAAATAGTTATAAACATAGTAGACATTAATACAACTGTACCAATATTCACTTTAAATGTGAATAATCTAAACGCACCAATTAAAAGACAGAGATTATTAGAGTGGATTAAGAAAACCATAATCATCTTTAAACTGTCCATAAGAAACCCATTTTAAATATAAAGACTAAGGTGAGTCAAAAATAAATGTGTGGATAAAGATATACAATACTGTAGTAGTTGATATTATGTGTCAACTTGGAGGATAATTTTTAAAAAGATTGACAAACTTTGAGTAAGCAGAGTACCTTCAACAAGGTGGGTGGGCCTCAACCAATCAGTTGAAGGCCTGAATAGACGAAAAAATTGACCTCCTCAAGCAAGAGGGAATTCTTCAAAAGAATACCTTCACACCTCATACCATCAGCATTCCTGGGCCTCCAGTGTGCCAGCCTTCATACTGGAACTGTACCATTGGCTCTCCTGGGTCCCCAGCCTGCTTGGCCTACACTGCAGATTATCTACTTGCTAACCTCCATAACCATACGAGGCGATTTCTTCCAATAAATACACTCATATACTCTCCCTATTGGTTCTGTTTCTCTGGAGAATCCTGACTAATATAAATTTTGGTACTAAGTATGCTTCTAGAGAAACAGAACTTTAAGGATAAATTTACTGAATTTTGAAGGGATTTCTGAAATCTGTTCCTTAACTTTATTAAATTTAAAAACAGTAATGACTATTTCTAGTAGTAAAGAAAGCACTGATAGTCCGTGGCATGCTCTGGCAATAGAGATATACTACTAAATATCATCAATAGATACTCCTAATCAAACACTTTTAAGAAGCAAGAGGACCCAAGTGACTATGTATATAATACTTTCAAACATTTTTGTCAAACTAATAAGTATAGTAAGATTGACTGGTTACTCCTAATGTTGCTGGACAAAGTAGGGAAAGAAAAGGATGAGATCGGTGGTTCAAATTCCCAGCTCAAGTGACATATAAATGACCTGATAGCTTCCATGTCTGACCTGAAGGAGGCCCTTATCTGCTGTAGCCTTAGGGCTGAGATTGATGAAAGTCAATCCCAGAGTCTTATTCTATGAGTGACTGATTTACAAAGCAAATTGAATTCCCAGCCTTGTAGGGTGTCAACTGTTAAAGCACAATCTGGATATGGATAAGTGTCTTTGCCTTCCTCTGTACACAGTTGCACTGCCAAAACAACCATCCATGGACTTACAGATTCCTTAACCACCATCATGGTATTTTACTCAGCATTGTTTTTGAACAAGGAATTCACTTTAGAGCAAACAAAGTATAGCAATTGGCCCACGTTCATGGAATTCCCTGGTCTTACCATGTTTCCCACTCTCCTGAAGGAGCTGGCTTGATAGAATGACAGAATGTCTTTTTAAAGATTCAGTAACAGCACCAGCAGGGCTATGGCAAGATTCTCCAGAAGTCTGTATATGCTCTAAATCAATGTTCAATATATGATGCTGTTACTCCCATAGCCACAATTCATAGGTCTAGGTACCAAGAGATGGAAATGGAAGTAACATCATTCACCATTACCCCCAGTGACCCACTAGCAAAATTTTTGCTTTCTATCCCCATGACATTATACTCTGTAAGCCTAGAGGTCTGAATCTTAAAGGGAAGAATGCTTCTGCGAAGAAACAACAATAATTCCATTGAACTGAAAGATAAGATTGCCACCTGGCTATTTGGGATTCATCATGACTCTGAGTCAACAAAGAATAGAGTTATTGTGGTGGGTGGAGTGATGGATTCTGACTACGAAGGGGAAACTGGACTGTTACTCTGTAAGAGAAGTAAGGAAAAGTTTATCTGAAACACAGGAGATCCCCTGCAGTGTCTCTTAGTATCACTGTGCCCTGTGTCTAAAAACAATGAAAAACTTCAACAACTCAATTCAAGTAGGACTGCTATGGTTCATACCCTTCAGGAATAAAGGTTTTAGTCAGTCCTTCGGGTAAAGAACCATGATCAACAGAGATACCTGCTGAAGGCAAGCGAATACAGAATTGCTAGTAGAAGAAGGTAATTATGAATACCAGCTATGACCATGTGACCAATTTCAGAAATGATAACTGTAATTGTCATGAGTATTTTCTCCTAATTTTGTTATGAATATGTTTGTGTATGTGTGTGTATCAAATATCTGTTTTCCTTACTCTCTTAGCCCCTTTTCATGTTATATGAAATGCATTTATAGCACCGGATTTAAATTACATGAGATCAAGGAAAATAGTATACATCATCTAAGGACGTTCCATCCTCTTCTGAAAAAAGGGGTAGTATGTTTTTGGTTGTACCATGTTAGGTGGAAATATGACCTTAGTATTGTTTTCATTCAGGTATTAAGTATAGTTTATGGGTGCTATTATGGACTGAATGTGTGTTCTCCTCCAAAATGTACATGTTGAAGCCCTAACTCCCAATGTAATGGCATTTGGAGGTGCAGCCTTTGTGAGTTGTGTCTTGGATGTTGAATCCCTTCATAGTGCATTTGGATTGCTATAACAAGATACCATAAATTGGGTAGCTTATAAACAACAGAAATTTATTTCCCACAGTACTGGAGGCTGGGAAGTCCAAGATCAAGGTGCAGGTAGATTTGGTGACTGGTAAGGGTCCTCTTCCTGGTGTATCAATGGACAGCCATCTTCTCACTGTGTCCTTACATGAGGGAAAGGATGAGAGATCTCTCCAGGATCTCTTTTATAGGGGCACTAATCTGATTCATGAGGGCTTCACCCTCACAGCCTAATCACCTCGCCAAAGACCCATCTCTTAGTATCATTACCTTGGGGGCTGGAAATTCATTATATAAATTTAGGAGGGATATAAATATTCAGTCCAGTGCCACCCCTCAGAATGGAATTAGTTTCCTTATCTGAAGAAGAGGAAATACCAGAGCTCTTTCTTTCTCTCTCTTTCATATGAAGACATTGTGAAAATGTGGCAATCTGCAAGCCAGGAAGAATACCTTCACCAAAAACTGAATCTACCAGCACCTTGTTCTTGCACTTCCCAGTCTTTAGAATTGTAAGAAACAAATGTCTGTTGTTTAAGCCACCCAATCTATGGTATTCTGAGCTGACTAGACAGGTGCTAAGTTGATAAGAGGTGATCTTATGATGATTGATAAATTTTGTATGTCAGTTTGGAGGGTGTTTTTGGATAAGATTAACACTTAAATCAGTGAACTTTGAATAAGCAGAATACTCTCCTTAATGTACATGGGCCTCATCTAATCAGTTGAAAGTCTAAATGGAATAAAAAGACCAGCCTCCTCAGTCAATAGAAACCTTCCCACCAGACTTCCTTTGGACTAGAACTGCACCATTGGCTCTCCCTGGATCTTAAGACTACCAGTTCACACTGCAGATTTTGTACTAACCAGCCTTCATAATGAGCAAGAGAACTCATTCTAATACATCTGTTTCCTTGTATATGTATGTGCCATTGGTTCTGTTTCTCTGAAAAATTCTGAATAATGCTAAAACATATTAAGACTAATCAAAAGAAAGTTGGAGTAGCTATATTAATTTCAGACAAAGCAGACTGCATAACAAGGAAAGTTATTGGGAATAAAGGGGAATGTTTTATAATGTTACAGAAGTCAATTTTCCAAAAAGATTTAACAATCCTACATGTTATACTATCTAGCATTTAGATATACCTGTACCTAACAGCAGAGTCAAAATACATGAGAGAAAAAGAAATAATATAATTGAAAGGAGAAATGGGGAAAATCCACTATTATAGTTGGAGACTTCAACATTCCCATTTCAGTAATTGATAGATCAAACAGACAGAAAATCAGTAAGAATATAGTTGGCCTAAACAGTACTATCAATCAACTTGATCTAATTGGCATTTATGGAATGTTCCATCCAACAAGAGCAGAATATACATTCTTCTCAAGTTTACATGGAACATTCGCAACCCCACTCCCTGCTACAAAAAAAAAAAAAAAAAAAAAAAAACAAAACTCATTCTGGGCCATAAAACACACCTTAACAAATTTATAGGAAGATAATACTATAAAAGTTGGCTCCCACACCAAGTGGAATTGAAGTAAAAATCAATAACAAAAAGATAATTGGAAAATCCCCAAATATTTGGAAATTAAACAACATACTTTTAAATAACATGTGTGCCAAAGAAAAAAAAACTTTGAAATTTTAAAATATTATCAGTTAAATTAAAATAAATGTGCAATTTATCAAAATTTATGGGATGCAGCAAAAGCAGTGGATAGGAGGAAATTATTAGCATTAAGTGCAGATATTAGTAAAGAAGAAATATCTAAAATTAATCATCTAAGCTTCTACCTTAGAAAACTAGAGAAAGAAAAGCAATTTAAGCCTGAAGTAAAAGGAAGAAAAGAAATAATAAAATTAGAGCAGATTAATAAAATTGAAAACAGAAAAACGAGAGAGAAAAAAATCCTCCCCAAAATCCAAAGCTGATTCATTCAAAAAAATTAATAAAAGTGATGAACTTATAGCCAGGCTAATCAAGAACAAAGGAGAGATGACATTTATTATCAATGTGAGAAATGAAAGAGGGATAATCACTACTGAGCCCAAAGACATGAGAAAAACAATAAAGGAATACTATTAACATTTCTATGCCTACAGATTTGATAACTTAGATAAATGGGACAAATTTCTTGAAAGACATAAACTACCAAAACTCACACGAGCATAAATAGATAGTCAGCAAAGGTCTATATCTATTGAAGAAATTGAATCATAATTAATAAACGTACAAAAAAGAAAGACTCATGTCCTGACAATTACACTAGTGAATTTTACCAAATATTTAAGTAAGAGATGATAGTTTTCTACAGCCCAGAAAATAGAAGCATATGAAAAAAATTCCTGACTCAGACCAATATTCTCCATGAACATAAATGCAAAATGCACAGCAAAACACTAGTAAATTGAGTCCAAAAAGGAATCAAAATAACTACACACCACAACAAAGTGGAATTTATTCCAGCTATGCAAGGCTAGTTCTACATTTGAAAATTAATCAATATAATCCACCACATCAAAAGGCTAAGGAAGAAAAACCATATAATTATATTAATGGATGCAGATAAAAGGGATTTGGCAAAACCCCGTATCTATTCATGACAAAAACTCAGAAACTAGAGATGGAGGATAGCTGCCTTACCTTGTTAATAAACATCTACGAAAAACCACAATTAGCATACTTACTGGTGTGTTAGATCAGAAAAAAGGCAAGAAAGTTACCTCTCACCACACTTCTTTTCACCATCATACTGGCGTCCCATCTAATGCAATAAGACAAGAAAAGAAAAAGTATACAGATTGGAAAGAAAAATAAAGAAAACTGTCTGTTTATAGATGGAATGATAGTCTATGTGGATAATCCCAAAGAATTAGCAAAAATAACCATCTGGGAACTAGTAAGTGAGTACAGCAAGGTGTAGGATACAAGGTTAAAACACAAAAGTCAATTGCTTGCCTGTATAGCAGCATTAACCTATTGGAATTTGAAATTTAAAGGCAATACCATTTGCAATACCCCCAAAAAAAAAAAAAAAAAATACTTAGGGCCGGGCGCAGTAGCTCACGCCTGTAATCCCAGCACTTTGGGAGGCCGAGGCAGGCAGATCACGAGGTCAGTAGATAGAGACCATCCTGGCTAACACGGTGAAACCCCGTCTTTTTTAAAAATCCAAAAAAAAAAAAAAAAAAAAAAATTAGCCGGGCGTGGTGGTGGGTGCCTATAATCTCAGCTACTCCGGAGGCTGAAGCAGGAGAATGGCGTGAACTGGAGAGGCAGAGCTTGACGTGAGCCGAGATCATGCCACTGCACTCCAGCCTGGGCAACAAAGCTAGACTCCATCCCAAAAAAAACACAAAACTTAGGTATAAATCTCACAAGATATGTGCAAGGATACATATGGGATCTATATGCAGAAAACTACAAACTCTGATGAATAAAATATAAGATCTGTATAAATGAAATAATATTTTATGTTTATGAATTAGAAAGCTCAAAATGGTTAACATTTCAATTATCTCCAACTTGATCTATAAATCAGTGCAATCCCAATCAAAATTCCAGCTATTTTTTAGATATTGACAAACTGTATCTAAAGTTATATGGAAGAGCAAAACACCTAGAATTTTCAATACAATACTGAAGGACAAAATTGGTGGACATGATCTGCATGACTTCAAGACATACTATAAAACTACAGTAACCAAGACAATGTGATATTAGTGTGTTAATCGACAAATAGATCAACGGTACAAAAAAGAATGTACAGAAGTAGAAATGCACAAATATAGTAAACTGATCTTAGACAAAAATTCAATAGAAAAAAAAGATAGTCTGTTCAACAAATGATATTGGAACAATTGGGCATCCATAATTAAAAAAAAAACTCTGGACACAGACCCTATTCTTTCACAAATATTGATTCAAAATGAATTATAGATTTCAATGTAAAATGAAAAACTATAAAACTTTAGAGAAAAACATGAGAAAAATCCGTGGATTCAGTGATAAATTTTTAGATACAACACTAAAAACACAATCCATAAAAGAAAAATTGTTAGGGTGGGCTTTATTAAAATTAAAAATTTATCTGTGAAAGTCACAATTAACACAACACACAAGCCACGGACTAGGGGCAAGATATTTGCGAAACACAGTAAGATAAACTCTTTGTATCCAAAATATGTAAAAAACACTTAAAACTCAGAAATATTAAAAAAAATTAAAAATGGATAAAAGACCTGAGCAAACCACTCACCAAAGATGATAAACATATGGAAATTAAACACATGAAAAGTCGCTCAGCATCACTTGTCATCAGGGAATTCCAAATGGAAACAGCAATGTGATACCACTGTACACCTATTAGATTGGCTAAAATTCAGAAACTGAGGACAACAAATACAGATTTCTTACAATTTCTTACAAAACTAAACATACTTTTATCATAAAATCTAGCAATCATGTGTCTAGATATTTACCTAACTGATGTGAAAATGTGTCCAAACAAAAATCTGCACATGAAGATTTGTAGCCATTTTATGCACAATCGCCACAAAAACTGTGATGCATCACTCCTAATCATGAAAAAACACCAGACAAACTCAAATTGAGAGAAAGTCTGCAAAACATCTGATCGGTAATCCTCAAAACTGTCAAGGCCATAAAAACCAAGAAAAGTCTGAGAAACTGTTACTGCCAAGAAGGGCCTAAGGATACATGGCTAACAAATGCAATGTGGTACTCTGGGTGAGAAACTGGAACAGAAATTAGACATCAGGCAAAAACTAGGGAAATCTGAATAAAATATGGACTTGGTTCATTAATTGTAACAAATGCACCATACTAATGTACTATGTTAATAATAGGTAAAACAGGATGACAGATATATAGGAAATTCATGCATTATCTAACTTTCGGTAAATCTAAAGCTGTTCAAAAATGTAGCAGTTTGAGCCAGGCACAACGGTTCATGCCTATAATCTCGGCACTTTGGGAGGCCGAGCTGGGAGGATTGCTTAAGTCCAAGAGTCCAAGATCAGCCTGGGCAACATGCAAAACATGGTCTCTACAAAAAAACACAAGAATTTAGCTGGGCATGGTGGCATGAATCTGTAGTCCCAGCTACTCTGGAGGCTGAGGTAGGAAGATGATTGAACCCAGGAGATTGAGGATACAGTGAGCCATGATTGTGCCACTGCACTCCAGCCTGGGTGACAGAGTGAGACCCTGTCTCAAAAATAAAAATAAAATAAAATTTGGAAATGTATTTTAAAAACACACAAGTTATAAAAACTAAACATACAGTGTGCAGTCACAGCAGTGCACAGAGGGAAATTTGTAGCTTTAAGTGCGTATAGTATGTTGCTAAGATTTTAAAGTCAATGTACTTAGAAAAAGAAGAGCTAATTTTAAACTCAAAGTAAGTAAAAGAGAAAAAGAAGTAATGAAGACAAGAGTTCATGGAAAAATAGTAGGGAAAAATCAATGAAGCCAAAGATTGTTTCTTTGAAAGAGCAGAAAAATTTATAAAACTTTAACTACACTAACCAAAAAATAAAAGAAACAAATTCCTAATGCAGGAAATGAAAGATATCCTTTTAATAGATAATAAAGGAATATATGAAGAATTTTATGAAAGCATGCCAGTATAGATAGCAGTAGATGAATAAATTATAGAAAATTTCAAATTACCAAGCTGATTCAGGAAGAAATGGAAATTTGAAGTAGTGGCATGTCTATTAAAGAAATCAACCTAATAAAAAAACCATCAATAGATGAACAAATTACTAGAAAATTTCAAATTACCAAGCTGATTCAGGAAGAAATGAAAATTTGAAGTAGTGGCATGTCTATTAAAGAAATCAACCTAATAACAAAAAACCATCTTTAAAAAAAGACCTCTGTGTCCAGATTTTTTCATTGGCCAATTCTACCAAATATGTTTTAGAGAAAAAAATAACAGAAAGTTTATATAATCTCTTCCAGAAAATGAAATAGTAGGAAACAGTTTCCAACTTATTTTAGCATTATCCTGATACTAAAGTCAGATAAAGAAAAATAAAAGAACACTACAGACTAAATTTTCTTATGAAAATAAACAAAAATTTTTGACAAAATATCGGTAAGCCTAATCCAGCAATACATAAGTAATTGAGGTTTTTGTCATTTAAAAGTGATGGAGAAAACCACAATTATTTTTGCACCAAATTAATAATATGACCATGTAGTTTCATTTTAGGAATGCAACATGGTTTTAATATTCGAAAATCAGTGTAATTCACCCGAAGTCAGTGTAATTTATTTAAAAAATGAAGAAGAAAATTATGAAATCATCTTGATAAACACAGAACAAGTATTTGGCAAAATTCAACACACATTCATGAAAAAAAAAAAGCTCTAAAGAAAGTAGAAACTAAAGAAGACTTTCTCAATCCAATAAAAGGCATCTATACAATTTATGACTAAGGTCATATTAAATGTTGATCACCCCTTGGCCAAGAGAAAATTATCAAATATGACAATTCTCTCCATTAAAAATGAAAAACGCAAAGAGGCCAACTTTGAAAATATTGATCAGTTTGCCACCATTAAAACCAGAAAAGAAAAATTATAATAAATTCTGGTTTGGGTATCAAAATAATGTCTTAACAGAAAATAATATTGTGAGTTTTAAAATATCCACATTTCAATTTTTCAGTATTTTAATTACTTTCATGTTCTGGAAAAAAACCTTTTAAAGATACACTAAAACAGATTCCGTTCCTTCTAACCCTTTATGGGGGTTCTTTTTCTGGCTCTAGTTGTTTTTTTGGTGTGTTTTTTTTGAGATGGAGTCTTGCTCTATTGCCCAGGCTGGAGTAGAGTGGGGTGATCTCGGCTCACTGAAATCTCCACCTCCCAGGTTCAAGTGATTCTCCTGCCTCAGCCTCCTGGGTAGCTGGGATTACAGGTGCACGCCACCACACCCAGCTAATTTTTGTATTTTTGGTAGAGACAAGGTTTCACCATGTTGGTCAGGCTGTTCTCCAACTCCTGACCTTGTGATCCACCTGCCTCGGCCTCTCAAAGTGCTGGGATTACAGCTGTGAGCCACATACATGGCCAGTTCTTTTTTAGGTTGTTTCCTCACATGCACTGCTGATCAGTCCTCTTTTATATACTCGAAGAGATTCCTCCGTAGGTGTCCAGAATTCTCTCTCTGCGTGGCTCTCTCCGCCATACTCTGCCTGGCAAACTCTGGCTACCTTGGCTCCCAGCTCTGTCTTTAACCCACTGATCCCTGTCTGGGTTCCACCTCTGCTGCATTCAGAGAGGTGGGTTCTTCAAAGAAACAGAACCAATAGGAGATACAGATAGATAGATATGTATATAGATAGATGTGTGTGTGTGTGTATATATATATATGTATGTATAAAATATACATGAGATATAATTATATGAACATATATGAGATATAAAAGATACGTTATATATAATACATAGAAGAGATATTTTGTGTATTTATTTATTTTTGTGAAGATTTATTATTTATTATGAAGAATAAACTCATACAGTTAAGGTGGCTGAAAACTCCCATGCCTGAAAGCTAGGTCTGCAAGCTGGAGAGCTAGGAAAGCCTCTGGTGTAATTCTAGTCTGAGTCTAAAGGCCCAAGAACCAGGGAAGCTGAGATAGTAAATTTCAGTGCAAGGGCAAGAGGAAACTGATGCCCCAGCTTAAGCAGGCAGGCAGGAAAGTGCTGAATCTTCACTTCCTCCCCTTTTTGATCTATTCAGACCTTCAGTGGATTGAATAATGCCTGCTCACACTGGAGAGAGCAATCTACTTTACCAAATTCATCAATTCACATGTTAATCTAATCCTGAACACCCTCAAAGATATACAAGGAAATAATGTTTAATCTGGGCACCCTGTGATCCAGGCAAGTTTACATATCATGTACATGAACCACTATACCCTCCCTGCTCCACAGCCTGGAAATGTGCTCCAGGGTGTCATCAGGGTAATCATAGGACTCAACTAATTCATCACCTCCCTTCTCTGGGGATCACCGCCCTCCCTTGCTTGATGCATAACACCTTGAGACCTGTGCTTGCACACATTAATATTTTATCAAGATTCTCAGTTGTTTCAGGTGAAAGAGTAAACCCAGTCCTTGTTACTCCAGCTTGGACAGAAGCAAAGCCTCCAAAGTCTACTTTTGATATAATCACATTTGGCCATATTTTGCTTCATAATGTGTGCATTTTAACTAAGGAATGTATTCTCATATAAGAGATTTCATTTTTCACACTCAGTCCACCAGGAATTTGTTTCTATGCATGATGTGAAGTAGATTTCTAAGTTTGCGAGTAGGTTTTGTGTCAAATAGAACTTGACAACACTCTAGTTTTGCCTCTATAATTGCCATGGGTCTCTGGGAGCTTCCTTTCTTTGATTCTGTGTTCCTATTGGTAAAAAGGGCACAATAACACCCACCTTATGGTATAATTATTTAAATAAATGATATAGATCCCTTCCTGTGTACAGTGCCAGGTATAAAGTAGATGCTCAAAAATGCTGGTTTCTTTTTTGAGCTCATCCCAACACTAGGAGTTATTTTCTGTAACTTGTCTATCGTGTGATAATCTGCTAATGTTTGGCTTCTTAATAAACCATGTGGTCCATCTGTTTTGCTTTCTGAGATATTTCCGGAACAAAGAGTGGGGCCAGCCCATAGTAGGCTCTCTGTAAATATTTGTTGAGTTGCTGAATGAGTGCCTCCTCTTCCCACCTCACAGCATTCATCTCTGCCAGCTAATGTATGCCTTGATGATTAATGATTATCAAGAACAGCTGCCGTGGTTTGAATGTGTCCCCTCCAAAATTCAGAGGTTGCCAATGTGGTTGTATTAAGAGGTGGGAGGCCTTTAAGAGGTGATTAGGCCATGCCGGCTCCTCCCTCGTGAATGAGAAGAAGGCTCTTACAAAAGAAGCTTCATTCAGTGTTTGGCTCTCTTGTCCTCCTGCTTTCTGCCATATAAGGTTATACAGCATTTCTCACTTCCAGAGGATGTAGCAACAAGGCATCATCTCAGAAGCAGACAGCAGCCTTTGCCAGACATGGAATCTGCTGGCACCTTGATCTTGGACTTCCCAGCCTCCAGGACTGTGAGAAATAAATTTCTTTTTTTTATAAATTGCCCATTCTCAAGTATTTTGTTACAGCAGCAAAAACAGACAAAGACAACAGCCTAAGGTATAAGGTTGATATAATTTTATGCACAATTTTTGAAGGAATAAACAAAGGCCAAAGTTATTTTTTTTAATTGTTCAAAATTTGTAACAGTGAAAATACCTTAAGCCCTAGTAACTACTACCCCACAGGAACCATCAGGGATATTTGAACTAAATATCAACTGGACACATAGTCCTCCCCAGTTCTAGCACCCAGTAGAGTAGGAAGCCAAATTACCTTGCCAAGGTCTTGCTGTAGGCTGAGAAGAGGTAGGTGTGGTTTTTAGGGAAAGAGTCATGTGTTCATTGTGGCTGGAGAGTGAGTGGGGGGCAATGGGAATGCATGGAGGAAATATGAGTGGCTAAAACGTTTTCCTTCCTTCTACAGTGCACAATCTACGAATGTGTCTGAGCCCTTGCTGCCACATCTAAACAAGTCAACTCCAAATAAGGAGTAACTTAGAAATAATGGAGAACACGGAAATGAAGCCTAAAGAATGATAAATGTTTCTTCCTAGGTTAAATATCAGCTAAGAAGCAATAATGAAATCCTGCCTATCTCTCCAACACTGGCACAGAGAAAGAAACTTATCAAAAAAAAAAAAAAAAGGTGGGGGAGAGAGAAAGGAAAAACTAACATCCACAAAGCTCTGTGGGTTTGGATTGGCTGTAGCAAGAATCATTAATTTTCCCTAGGAATGATCAAGAGTGTCATTAGGACCCATTAAACATCACCTGACAGGGAATGGGGAGTACCAGGAGGAGGATGCACTCTCTCCCTCCCTCCACGATTGCATAATCAATGCAGACGACTCCAACTTGCTCCCAGAATCTTCTCCCCCAATTAGCACCAGCCTGGAGCCTCTCACATTCCATCTTTTACCTCTTCTTTCTCTTTTTTTTTTTTTTTTTTTTTTGAGACAGAGTTTCGCTCTTTTCTTGATTCTTTCCAACGGGGATAGAAACCTATCCTCACAGTGGAAGGAGCCCTATATTTTCCAGGACAGCCGCTTTGGAATCCGAAAGGCTGCTGGACTGGGGAGGCAAAAGAGGCATTGAAGAGCCTTTTTGTTCATGTATTTTGTCAACAAATTATTTTGGACTTGGATGTTAGGGTTGCCTCACACATGATTCCTGCCCTCTCTCTCTTCTTTTATTCTCTTCCCTCTAAGTCCCTCCTTCCCACCCACCCCTGCCTGCCTCACTGACAGATCCCCTCTCTCCCTCAGCCTTCTCCTGTCTCCCCATCTTATTTTCTGTCCCTTTAGATGAGGTCACCCTGACTGGATGAAGGACACGGGGCTCAGAAGAGGTCAGACATTAGCACTGCTATAACTGCAGTGCTACCGAAACTGGGCAAACCCATCCATCACCAGCTCCACTACTCCATTAGGCCTCCCATGAAATATGCCCTGCTCTGAATCGCACAGCCATACATCTCCCGGTCTAGACACCTTCCTGTTGTATGAAGATCAATGCTGCTCGGTCATGCATCATGTGTCATGCAGTAGCCCTCACTCTAATAACCGTGTCTATTCTCTAGTCTGCAGTATAAATTATGGCACTGGGAAAGTACTATATTATTCAGCAACCTTGGTCACTAATGGATTATTGGGTTTATTGGTTGATAATGTGAGCTCCCTTTCCTCCTTCTATCTTTCTTTTTTCTTTTTCTCATTTTTGGCTGAATCTCACTCTTATTTTATTTATTTCTCTCTATTTTTATTTTATTTGTTCAAGTTTGAGTGATGGCTGCTTTAGGCTTCTGTCAACATACTCCTGCATCAAACCCCTAAAATGATGATGCTCTAAAATAAGCCCAATTAGGAAGACTTCTCTGTGATCCCCTATTAGATAATGGACTGAGTCCAGTGAAGGTTGTTTGGCCTTCAATTTCCCTGGGTTTTGGTTGAGGTGCTTTTTTTTTTTTCTTTTGAGGCAGAGTTTCACTTTTGTTGCCCAGGCTGGAGTGCAACGGTGCAATTTTGGCTCACTGTAACCTCTGCCTGCCGGGTTCAAGTGATTCTCTTGCCTCAGCCTCCCAAGTAGCTGGGATTACAGGCATAAGCCACCACGTCTAGCTAATTTTGTATTTTTAGTAGAGATGGGGTTTCTCCATATTGGTCAATCTGGTCTTGAACTCCCGACCTCAGGAGATCCGCCCTCCTCAGCCTCCAAAATTGCTGGGATTACAGGCGTGAGCCACCACACCCAGCCTAAGGTGCCTTTTAATTGAAGGGCACTTTTAGGGAACCAAATGCAGTTTGGGCCCCCAGCAACCTCTAGCGTCCCATGGGGCTCAGTCTCATGAAACCCCTTTCTGCATTCCTTCTCTCCACTTGTCTTTCTATCCTTTGACGACTTATATTCAGTGCTGCTGGACGCTGATAATTGTGATTGCAACACTGGCTCTCAGTTTTTCCTCTCTGTAAAATGGGTGAGAGAGGGAGAGCGCACATCAACAGAAAGAAGGAAAAATTAAATTATAGTAAAGAACTTGGAATGTAAAAGTTGAACTTTTGGGGCATGTTAACTCTAGGAAAAGTTGGATTATCTGACATTCTGAAACCACTGAAATTTTATATTAAAAATTACAAACTTAATTAGCCAGGCATGGTGGTGCATGCCTGTAGTCCCAGCTACTCAGGAGGCTGGGGGAGGAGAATTGCTTGAGCCCAGGAGTTCAAGGTTGCAGTGAGTTATGACTGAGCCACTGCACTCCAGTCTGGGTGACAGAGCTAGACCCTGTCTCAAACGAAAAGAAAAAAAAGACAAACTTTTATGCAGAAATAAGACTTTAATACTAGAACTGTGCAAAGATAGGCTAGGCTTCCATGAGAAAGAACTCTGTCACCAGAATACAAGCCAAGGATGGCCATTTAGAAATGGAGCAAAACTCAAACAACTGAGGAAAACTTAGGCAAGATGCCATTTCAAGTCTTGTCCAATCTTTAGGTTCCATATTTTATCATACATATGACAAATAGCACTATTTTGATACATTTTTAAGGAAAAATTATTTTAAATACTAATAAGAATCAGGGGAGATTAGATCAACCATCAAGGTTAGGAACCCTCATTTTTGCAGCCTGCTACTTCCTATCTGGGCAAGAGCGAAACCAGCACAGTCGATGCCCCTTCTGGGTACTTTCTCTCCTTATGTTTTTCTTGGTTTTGCTTATGAACATAGCAGCAGTGCAGAGTTAAGTCTCAGGTGTCCCTGAACAGAGAAGAAACAAAGGGAGCCGATTCTAAGCTCTCCATCTGATCCTCAAAACTTGGAAAATTGACTCATTTATTTCCCAAATTCACCTGAAACCTACTGGCAAAACTGTATTAGTCAGGGTTCTCTAGAGGGACAGACCCAACAGGATAGATGTGTCTATAAAGGGGATTTTACTGAGGAGTATCAACTCACATGATCACAAGGTGAAGTCCCACAATAGGCTGTCTGCAAGCTGAGGAGCAAGGAAGCCAGTCCGAGTCCCAAAACCTCAAAAGTAGAGAAGCCGACAGTGCAGCCTTCAATCTGAGGCCAAAGGCCTGAGAGTCCCTGGCAAACCACTGATGTAAGTCCAAGAGTCCAAAACTGAAGAACTTGGAGTCCAATGTTCGATGGCAGGAAGCATCCAGCACTGGAGAAAGATGAAGGATGAAAGACTCAGCCAGTCTAGCCCTTCCACATTCTTCTGCCTGCTTTTATTCTAGCTGAGCTGACAGCTGATTGAGGGTGGGTCTGCCTCTCCTAGTCCACTGACTCAAATGGTAATCTCCTTTGGCAACACCCTCACAGACACACCCAGGAACCATATTTTGCATCCTTCAATCCAATCAAGTTGACAGTCAATATTAACCATCACAAAAACCATTCTCTGACTCCATGGTTTCCTCCAGACCCCCGAGTCCTCATACACTGGGGTTGGAGGAGCCCTGCACAGGAGAGCCAGATGGAGCCCTGCTACTGCTTCTGGGCCTCAGGGTCTGAGTGTGTTTGATGTTTATATTTTTGGCCCTTTTAAATAAAATTAATATACTTTATTTTTTAGAGCACTTCTAAGTTTATAGAAAATTTGAGCAAAAGTGCAGAGAATTCCCTTGTTCCCCCCCACCCCCCGCCACCTGCCTCCTCCACAGTTTCTGTTATTAATGTCTAACATTAGTGTAGTACATTCATTACAATTGATGAGCCAATATTGATATATTATTATCAAGTAAAGTGAGTAGTTGCTATTAGATTTCACTCTGCATGTGCCTTCTATGGGTTTTGACAAATGTGTAATAACATGTATCCAGTTATAGCATCCTACGGAATAGCTTCACTGGCCTAAAAATCCTCTGTGGTCTGTCTATTCATTCCTTTCCATCCACAGAACCCTGGCAACCACTGAGCTTTTTACTGTCTTTATAGCAGACAGCATATATATATATATTTTTTCAGAATGTCACTTTTTTTCTCCAGAATGTCATTTTCCGGCATGTCATATCCTTGGATCCTTGCATGTCATCACACAGCATGTAGCCTTTTCAGACAGGCTTCTTTCATCTAGTAAAATGCATTTAAGTTTCCATGTCTTTTCATGGCTTGATAGCTCATTTCTTTTTATCATTGAATAATATTCCATTGTCTGGATGTACCACAGTTTGTCCATTCACCTACTGAAACACCTTAGTTGCTTCCAAGTTTTGGCAATGATGAACAAAGCTACTATAAACATCATGTGCAGGTTTTTGCGTGGACATAAATTTTCATTTCATCTGGGTAAATACCAAGAAGCATGATTGCTGGATCATATGGTAAGAGTATGTTTAGTTTTTTAAGAAACTGCCAAACAATCTTCCTAGGTGTCTGTACCATT